>NC_000002.12:90078251-90402511 GCF_000001405.40 Homo sapiens
CCTTTTAATATACAAATGCAGGGTGCCAAAATATTCTATACACATGGGGATATATGGGGGCAGCCATGTGGCCAGGCATATGTGGGAGCCAGGAGGAAGATGGTGGGAGTCGCCATGTTTGGCTGGACTCAGTTTCTAATGGCCAGAATTTGCATATCAAAGCTTGCCAGCCTGGCTCTAAGAATCAGGGCTTTCCTGCTAGGCAAGAAACTTTTCTGGAGCTACTTTAAAAGAAACAAAACCTTCCCAAGGACACCTTTTCCTCTCTATCTGCCTAAAATAATTTCTTAATAACTCCTATATCAATTGGGTTCCAGAGACGAGGACATGGGCATCTTTCGGGGTGGGGACATTATTCATTCCACCAACAATAAACATATTCCCCAAAATTGTCCTTCTCTAAAGTAAAATTTTAAAAATCGCAAAGTATTTTTATGAAACAGAGCTGGACAAAATCTTAGACTCAGGTTCCTTTAAATTGTGAGCTTTAACTGTTAAGGTATGATCACTCCACTGACTCTAATGTAGATTTATTGCTGTGTAGATTGTTTTAGAGGATTTTTAAGTTTGTGATCCAGTGTAAACAAAACAGTATCTGAGACGGGTCTCAATCAAGTTATAGGTTTATTTTGCCAAAGATAAGGCTTATGGCCTGTGACACAGCCTTAGGATGTCCTGCAAATATGTGCCCAAGGTGGTTGGATTACACATTGGTTTTAAACACTTTGGAGAGACAGAAATTATGAGGAAAGACATAAATCAATACATATAAGATATACATTAGTTTGTCCTGGAAAGGTGGGATATTTTGAAGCAGAGGCTTCCAGGTCATACATGGATTCAAAGGTTTCCTGACTGGCCACTGGTTGAAAGAGTTAAGCTCTGCCTAAAGAGTTGAATTCATCATAAATAAATACTTGAGTTTAGATAAGGGGGTGTGGAAGCCAAGGTTCTTGTCATGTAGAAGAGTCCTATGGGTAGCAGACAAAGTAGATGGTGAATGTTGCCTATCAGACCTTAAAAAAAATGTCAGACTCTTTGGAAAAGACTGAGTAAGGGGAGGAGTTTCTCTGCAGAATGCAAATTTCCTCCACTACAGGCAGCTTTGCAGGGCCACTTCAGAATATGATGAAGAATTACTTTTAAGGTAAAATATTTAGATTTTCTTCAGGGCCTATTATCTGTCATGTTGGAGTATGGTATCTTATCGCTACAAAGCATCTGTTTTGTCAGTCCAAAGCTGTCTCTCGTAATGATAATGTTGGTCAGTTTTGTCTGAACTCCAAAGTGAGGAGAGTATAATGAGGCACATCGAAACCCACCTGCCAGTCATGGCCTAACCTAGTTTTTCTGTTTTCTTTGAAGTTCTCTCTGCCACAAGAAGAGACCGTTCAGCTGATTGGTGGCTTACAACTTATTTTTTTGTTTTAACAAACAGAACAAAAAAAATCACCGCCTAAATTCAATCTAAAATAGATTGGTTAAAAAAAATTAAGTGCTTCCTGGATATTCCTACATGTCAAAGAAAGAGAAGTGACAAGAATAAACATGGGAAATACCCCTCATACAAAAGATAAACAATTTTTTTCACTATCTTGGTTTGGGTCCACCAGCAATGAGGATTCCTGTTTAGGCAGCAAATTTACAGTGCGAAGAAAGGAAGAAAGTGAGGGTGGGAGCAGAAAATGAATGGTAAAAGACACATCAACAGCCCACCTGACTCAGGATAACTAAAGATCAACCACATGTGGAAACATGGACTAAATTCCTCTGGGCTGTTCCATCTGAGAAATGAGGAAGCTGGGGTATGTATACACCTCATCCTGTCCTCACTGATTGTGAGCTGTCTCTCTTGTTCCATTTCAAACTGTTATAACAGGTTCCTTGTCACTGTGTAATTTATAAAGAACAGAAATTAATTTTCTCACACTTCTGGGGAATGGGAAATTTAAGATCAAGGCATGGGCAGGTTAAGGTCTGCTTTCTCTGCTTTCAAGATGATGCCTGGAGCATTGACTCCTTCAAAGGAAGAAAGGCCTTGTCTTAACATGACAGACGGATGGAAGAGAGAAAAGGATTCCAGTCCTGTAATTCCTCTTTATAGTGGCATTAATGTATTCCACTAGAGGGCTTCACCTCATGACCTAAACACATCCCAATAGGCCCCACCTGGCAATACCATTACACTGAGATTTAACTTTACAACAGATGGATTCTGGAGGACACAGTCAAACCATAAAACTTTCCTAAGAGATACACATTCCAGGCCATCTGGCCAGCAAGGCATACAGACAGATCTCTCTGCCCAAGATCATAAAGAACATAAGACAATATATGGCCATTGGAAGTGAGCAGAGGTACAGCAAAGGGGAAAGCCCCAGATCACAGATGGGGACTGCTACATTCATCATGGTACAGTTAATCCTTGAATAACTTGGGTTTGAAATTTGCAGATCCACTTATATTTTCTTCTGTGTGTGTCACCTGTGAGCAAGCACTTTGTAAGTAGTAAATATGTTTTCTCATTTTTATGGTTTTCTTAAAAACATTTTTTTCTTTAGCATACTTTATTGGAAGAATAGAGTATATAATATGTATAATATAAAAAAGGGTTAATCAACTATTTATGTGATCACTAAGGCTTCTAGTCAAAAGTAATCTATTAGTACTTAAGTTAGGGATGCAAAAGTTCTACACAGGTTTTCAACTGCACTAGTGGTCAGTGCCCCAACCTCCACATTGTTCAGGGGTCAACTGCTCTTTCAGTCTGTAGCTGCATCTCTCTGGAACAGGATTTTGGCAGGTGGGTTCCAAGTAAAGGAATCCAGAAAATAACATCTCAAACTGTGCTGCATTTGTATGATGATTATGTAAAACTAAAGGCATTTAGAAAGCGACAAATGCACAAAAAGGCTTTTCCTAAATATCCCTTATCTTCCTAAAAGCAAATTCTTCAGAAGGAAACCAATTTTTAAGAAAATTCTTCCTGAGAATATTTATATCAGGGAAGATTGACACAAAACAGGAGTCAAAAATAGAAAAGACTGGAAGTTCATATTTCATCCAGGCAGGTGATTACCTATTCTTTTGAGGATGCACTTCTATTCTCATCTATTCTCTCCAGGTTGCCTACACTTCCCAATTCCCTCTTCCCTAAACAAGAAATATAAACACCTGGATTTCACTGACTTATCTGGGTAATCACCCTGCTATGATATCCTGCTGCACTTTAAGTGAATTGAGTTTGCCTTTTCTCTTATTAATCTTCCTTTTGTCAGTTTATTTTTAGCAAACATTTAGAGGGCAAATGGAACATTCTTCCTTTCTCCCAATATAAGCAAGTTCCCTTAAAATTCAGGCAGCCTATAAAGCAGCAGGAAGATTTGTGCACAAGCTACAGCACTGTGATTTGGCTCCCCTAGTCAGGCATCAGTAAAATTTTGTGGAGCCCTAGGCTGCAGCCCACTGATGCTGATATGGTTGTATCCACTTTCCCTGCTACTGAACCAGGCTGGGACATTTTTGGGCACATTAGAGATGTGAGATATAACGAGTGCAAATCCATGTCCAATTTCATCTGGATCCAACTGATTTGTCCATGAACATGGGCAGTTGCTTGATAAAAGATTGAGTGTCTCTTTCCTAAAGATGTTAGCAGGGAGGCTGGTGTCTGGGTCAGGATGATGTTCCCACTCACTGATAAAATGTAAAAGCGGACAGTGGCATTGATGGTGCATGGCAGAGACATGCTCCGTGCAGTGGCCATGCTCACTAAGAGAGATAAACTTTGGAAAATAGTACTCAATGGCAGAAAAGAAGGTAGACTATAAGTTGCCCAAAACAAGAATAAGGTACAGCCCATTTAGTCTCTGGGTATTGAAGAGACCTGTCACTCTTGATAATGGTGAATGTGTGAGTGCTGCATGCATTGAGGAAACATGGTATCATCTTTGTGTATTTGTAGTAAATTGCTTGAACTTATACTGGTAAGAACAATAGTATAACACCATTACCTCATACTTACAAATATATGCATCATCATGTCAATATATTTTATTTTTAATTTTTTTTAGAAAGGAACAATGATAAACTTACAGAAAAGTTGCAAGTATACAATAAATACCCCCTTCCCTAACCGGAATTATACAATAGTCTTTTAAAGACCTTAGAATTCTATCGTCTAAAACTTTACTATGTGTTTCCTACAAAAAAAGAATATCCTCCTATATACTCCCCATACGCCAATGAAATATGATACTCCACGGACTCCTAAGGAATATTTCAAATTGTCAAAAAAAATCTAAAAAATGTCTCTCGTAACAAAATAGTCTCCAGTAGAAACCCATTCTCTGCAGACAAATCTGTGCTACCCTGATCTTACCTGGGACACCTGGGGACACTGAGCTGCTGCTGAGTTACTGAGATGAGCCAGCCCTGCAGCTGCGCCCAGCCTGCCCCATCCCCTGCTCATTTGCATGTTCCCAGAGCATAGCCTCCTGCCCTGAAGCCTTATTAATAGGCTGGACACACTTCATGGAGGAATCAGTCCCACTCAGGACACAGCATGGACATGAGGGTCCCTGCTCAGCTCCTGGGGCTCCTGCTGCTCTGGTTCCCAGGTAAGGATGGAGAACACTAACAGTTTACTCAGCCCAGAGTGCTCAGTACTGCTTTACTGTTCAGGGAAATTCTCTTACAACATGATTAATTGTGTGGACATTTGTTTTTATGTTTCCAATCTCAGGTGCCAGATGTAACATCCAGATGACCCAGTCTCCATCTGCCATGTCTGCATCTGTAGGAGACAGAGTCACCATCACTTGTCGGGCGAGGCAGGGCATTAGCAATTATTTAGCCTGGTTTCAGCAGAAACCAGGGAAAGTCCCTAAGCACCTGATCTATGCTGCATCCAGTTTGCAAAGTGGGGTCCCATCAAGGTTCAGCGGCAGTGGATCTGGGACAGAATTCACTCTCACAATCAGCAGCCTGCAGCCTGAAGATTTTGCAACTTATTACTGTCTACAGCATAATAGTTACCCTCCCACAGTGTTACACACCCGAACATAAACCCCCAGGGAAGAAGATGTGTGAGGCTGGGCTGCCCCAGCTGCTCCTCCTGATGCCTCCATCGGCTGAGATTGTTCCTCAGATGCAGCCACACTCTGATGGTGTTGGTAGAAGGGGACATGAAGTCACCTCTGCACCCTAATTCTTTTCTCTTTCTCAGCCCCAACTACACAGACATAGCAATGCCTCTCCGAATTTAATACAGACAGAGATCATGACACCTGAGGAGTCTAGTTTATGGCTTCAGTTGGACTTTATATAACAGAGAAGAAGCCACTATAGATATTCTAGGCAGGAATTGTCTTAATACAGAGAATTAAAGTAAACTACTGACGTCTAAATAAAATGTAGAGATGAATCTCTAAATGTAATGTTTTATTTACACAGAAATATTTCCCAAATGGGGCATACAGGAAAACTCAGTGGTCTTCAATATGTGGCAAGAACAAAGAAAAAGTTAGTGTTTCATGAAAAAGGGAAAATATTACCTATGGCTCTTTGAGAAAGTTCATTGGCACTAGGAAGGGTTGGGAGCTGGCAAGCTCAGACTGGGAAGCAGTGGTGGACAAAGTGAATCCTAGAATTATATCAAGTTATCTCAGAAGTTGTGGACAAATTTGATTTCAGGTTACAAGAAGCCAAAGCAGTGAAGGTTGCAGAGTGTTTTGTTACTGAAATACCAGGGATTCAGCGTAGATCCTGCAGCTCACCACTCAGAAAGCCAATCACTAAGGCAAGTATTGCCAAGGAAAAGGCTTTAATCAGGTGCTGTAGCTGAGGAGATGGGACACCATTCTCAAATGTATCCCTGACCAACAAAAATTAGGGGTTTATATAGCATGGAAGAAATGTGGGAAAACAGGAATTATGGAGGGTTAAGGGAGATAATTTGGTCAACAAGAAGCAGGAGGTCAGTTATGCAGTCATAATGAGTGAAGGGTCTGATGTCCCACTGTCCTGATTCAGTGATATGTAAGTTTCAGCTCCTTGATAGTATCTGGGAGGCCTGATGGTTGGTTTACTGAAAAAAGAACTCAGGTAAGACAGATGTAACTATCTTGAGTTTTAAGATCAGGGAAGTCAATTTCTATGTTTATTCAAAAAACCATAAACATTAGTTCCATGGCATAATAGGGCCTATTTCAATTGCATTCTAGAAACAATATTTTTCACCCTGAGTGCCTTTCCCCTCTGGTTTCATGGCTCTGTTTGGTATGACAAGAATGACCCAATTCCTATGATTAACATTCACACTACAACCTTTCAAAACCAAGGATATAGTATTCAGGAAAGTTGATATTAGAAGCAGCATTCTTTGGTGCTCCCACTGAAAACAGAATGTATCCACCCCTGAAGTAAGGGTTTTCTAACCATGTGGTCCTCAGTCCTGTCTGGAAGCTTAAGTCTGGAATTGCTGAAGTTCTCGCTTCCTAGAGCATCTTTCCAGGTGTTTCTCCAGTCCTCACCTTTGTCTCTCTGCCTCTTAGGTACCAATGGATAATACTGAGTCTTCCTTTTCTCACTTCCAAATCTCATGGGGGACCCTCTTATTGGGCAACCCTATAGGACATGAGAGGTAAAGAGGGATATTTCCATAAGTTAAAATGATTTTCCCCCAAAAAGGTCATTTAAAAAAATTATATTTGAAGCCACATGTTGAAAACACATCCAGCTTTGCTTTCTTATTAATGCAAACTTACATTTGCAAATATTTTCAGGATTGTGAAGGTTGAAAACATGATTATTTGTCTATGGAATGATCAAACACCTCTACAATTAAGTGGAGTAAACATTTTCTTAAAAACTTATACTCATTGAAATAAAGGAATATATTTAAAATGTTTGAAGCTATGTTAGAAATTATTGGACTTAAATTCAACTGTGCGGTTTGGTTTGGGATGTTGATCACTACTGTGACCTGCCACAAGAATCTTGTGTCATGTGTAGTCACTGCTGTTCAGCCTTGTCGTTAAACAACTGATATCTACAGGCTGAATACAATCTACAGGCTCCTCTCTGCTGAGAGGAGCCACTCAGCAGAGACCTTCCTTGATCAGCCAGATGATTGTGAACATGAGCATCTATGAACGTGAAAACAAATGTTTACTGTTATCAGCCACTGAGTTGTACATTTAACCAGTTACCGTAATTAATGCATAAACACTTCCTGATACAGTATTTACACCTCTACCTATATAAACATACATATTTTTTCTTGAATTGGTGGTATAAATATGAATATTTAGTAATCAAATTATGAAGTTATTAAGAGAAAAACACAAAATTAAAACTAATTAGTATTTCAATAAAAAATTAAAATTTACCTTCTTTATGGAAAAAAGTGCATATATATTTAAGATACATAGAAGTGAACATATATTTATTTGATAAAATGTTGGCTACAACTACGTACAGTATTCATATTTAAGTACATTTATTCTGTTATATATGCAATATATACATATTTTATTTATAAAATATTATCTAAATTATATACGTTTAAATAATTGTTACATTCCACACAAAAAAATGGTATTTGTGATGACACCTAATTCATACTCTTGCTACAGAAAATTTATTTGTAGCCTTTATTTTTAAAACTTTACCAAATGGTTGTCCTTACCTAAAATATTTTTCCAATCCAGTAGAGCTCCAAGGGTAAGGCTAGAGCAAATTTTGACTAATGTTGAATATTAACCATTGCATCCTATAAAAGTCTCCATTATGTTCATGCCCACAATGATGATATTCCAAATAGAGTTCTCACAACAATGGATGCTGGATGGAGTCACATCAGTGCCATTGTCAAGGAAGCTCTGGAAATGTAAAACTCATAACAGTGGGTAAACTGCAAGGCCTACATCTGATGATCACGTTGCAAAGAGAACAGCAGTTTAATAATATTGGCTGTTGGTTTTGACAGATCATCAGGCCTTAAAAGAAATGCAACAGGATGATTTCAGACAAAGTCATTCTGTAAGAGCTATGACTAGAAGTTTCAAAAATGAGCCATAATCAAGAATAAGAAGCTTTCCAAGTGAATATTAATTGAAATGCCATTAACGAGCAGCGGGCTTTTAATAATGAGGATGATTCAACATATGGACTTCAGTTACCTCTTCCAGCTTTCCCAGCTAGCCTCACGAACCAGTGTTATGGAGGTCCCTGTGGAGACTCAATAATATGACTTTCAACTAACTGAGATGTACAGGGCTACTGGCTCTTCTGAACACCCAATTTGCCAAGAAAACTGACCCCTCCAGAACCCTTAACATTGTACCACACATCAGGGCTCAGACTAATTACTGGTATCAGGTGATTCTAGTGGACCTCATGGAACATGAGGATGGCAGTGGTTATTTTACTATATATGGATTTGCCTTCCTTTTCGGTTATGTTTCTGCATAAAATATTATTTGTGGATTTTCAAAGAGTTTTCATCAGAGTCAGGAAGTTCTTCCATAATATGGCTTTGGATCAAGCAACTTATTTGCCTCAAAAAAAGTGAAGCAAAATGTAGCTCATGCTCTTGTCATGTGCACAGGTGCAGCTTTCCCTATAGACAGGGAAAAACCCATTATTAGTCAAGCAAAGCTGTCACACAAACCTTTGTGCTATTGAATTGCTATGCTGTCAGAAGTGGTGGAGGCTCTGAAACACTAATCATGAATGGTGCTGTTACTTCCATAAACAGAATATTTATATCTTGAAAATGAGCTGCAGATTCATCATTCTTATGCCAACTGAACAGCTTGAAATACTCTATTTCTATTTTCTCAGGGCTGTGGTTTTCTGGCTGATGGTTCTTAATCCAAACAGTTGACATGACAATTATTGCATGAAATTGGAAGAAATGATATGATAAGCATGTGACCATTCAGACTCAATACAATACTGGATAAGTTGTCAACACAGGGCGTTCAGATGTGTGCTGGGGCCATAGATCTAGCCCGTATAAAGCAAGAGCAAACATAATTGACTTTACATATTTTAGAGAGGAAGTACAGAAAATATGGACCCTAGGGGACCTTCTGGAATCTTTCTATTTATTGCCATTTCCACTGGTAAAACTCAGAGAAGATGTCAACAGTCATCAGGATGAAGTTCTAGGGATCACAGTTATGTGAAGCATTACTTGCACTTGGATCTCCAGTGAGGCAAAGGGAAGACGAAATGCATAGTGGAATGTGGAGGGGTAAACACCAGAGACAGACACCTAGTCAGCTTCAACGTTGAAAAGTGTATTTATTTTTTCTCTTTAGTTTTATCACTGAATCATTTGGATCTAAGAAAAGCGATTATGGCTGGTTAGGCAGAAAGGTGTTTATTATCATGAATTAAATGGATTGAAAACATTTGGGGAAACCAGAGTGGAAGCTCAGGCAACTCCAAGTACTCCTTTTGCTATTGCTTGACCCTCCTCATCTCCATATTTTCCACAGTCAAGAAAGATACTCTCATTTTATAGGAACCTGGCAAGTGAAGATATTGTGCCCACAGGACTGTGCTGCCTGGCTGAGACCGAGACCAGGAAAATGAGCACATTTGAGTGAGATCAGACATTTCCCCTCCCTCATCTCAATCCAAAACGACTCTGTAGTAACACATCTGATGGGCAGTCAGAGAAAGGGGTCAGATTTCCAGCAGTTGACAGTTGATAGCAGAGCTGCTGTCCTCCTGGGGGCAGTAGTGAGAAGAGCTGGTCTCTTTTCTGCTGCAAAAGACAGCTTGAATGTCTCAAACAGTAGGAGCTCCTCCCCAGCCTGTGCCAGCAGTATGATTCTTGGAATTGTTCTAGAGGCTTTGACTGGAGCCTGTTCTTTAAGGCTTTTCAACAATTTGTAAGGAATTTAATATCTTCTAGTTAATCACTTTATGCTTCATGGATCTGACATTTGCAACAGGGAATATACGCAGTCCGCAGTGACATCATTCACAGCCTCCTTTTTTCTTGCTAAATATATAATGCTTTCCAGGTGGACCTGCCAGAGGAAGACAATGTGAACAACAATCCATGTCACCAAAAATGCAAGACAAATAAGCTCGGGAAAGCCACTGGGTTCTCACCTAGTTGCACTGTCCCCCTGAGTCTTTTTTTTTTTTTTTTTTGGTCACCTTAGTCAAAATCATGAACAAAGTTGCCAACTTTGAATGGAGCCCTTTGCAACGGTAGCCTTGGAATCTATTCAACTATACATGTCCAAGGCATTTATTTAAGACCTTTAGAGCCTGCTTGCTCGATGGAAATCCAGGTATCCACTATTTCTATGCATGCTGACTGGAGTCTGTGGCAATGTCACTAGGTGCACCAGACTCAGCTTTTGGATGCAAAAGTTTCCTGAAGTGGCCACCAGTTGTGCCTCTTTTGAATGGCAACTCCTCACTTGCTGTAGGAAAATGATAGGGCCTGAGTATCTCAAGATTTCATTTTTTTTTTTCCTCAGATAGTCTCACTCTGTCACTCAGGATGCAGTGCAGTGGCACGATCTACACTCACTGCAACCTATGCCTTCCAGGTTCAAGCGATTCTCCTGCCTCAACCTCCAGAGTAGCTAGGACTACAGGTGCACACCACCATGCCCGGCTATGTTTTGTACTTTTAGTAGAGACAGCGTTTCACCATGTTGGCCAGGCTGGTCTCAAACTGCTGACCTCCAGTGATCTGCCTTCCTCAGCCTCCCAAAGTGCTGGGATTATAGGCGTGAGCCACTGTGCCCAGCCTCCCAAGGTTTCTAAAGTGGAACTCTAACATTCCTGATAAGAACCTGACCATCTTCCAAGGTTGCTGATAGAGCTGGCATTTCCCCAAAGCACCAAATGAGATCTAGCCAGCTGAAAGTGGGATGGTCCCCAGAACTGACCTTTCACTGATTTTTCCTCATTATAATCTCATTGTAATACTAAAATATCCACCCAAGGCAGGGCTTATCTTCCATTTCCTCATCATGTTATATATGTTAGAGCATGACGCTCCACTGCACAAATGCAAAGAAAACTTTGCCTAACCATGCTTGTATGTCATTCCTTTTTCCGCCTCAGCTTCCTTAAAATGGTAAGAGCTGGGCACTTCAAGGAATAGCCACCAGGATCTCTTACCCATAGGCTGCTCCCTTGCTTTGCTCTTGCCACAAACCTACTAAACCTTGCCTGAGACAATTTCTGTTTGGCCTGGTGTTGATTTCTATTTACAAAAGAGGCAAGGGGTCAGGCACGATGGCTCACACCTATAATCTCAGTACTCTGGGAGGCCGAGGTGGGTGGATCACCGGAAGTCAGGAGTTTGAAACCAGCCTGACCAACATGGTGAAACCCCATCTCTACTAAAAATACAAAATTAGCCAGGCGTGGGGGTGCACACTTGTAATCCCAGCTACTTGGGAGGCTGAGGCAGGAGAATCACTTGAACCCAGGAGGCAGAGGTTGCAGTGAGCTGAGATCACACCACTGTACTTCAGCCTGGGAAACAAAAGCAAAACTCTGTCTCAAAAAAAAAAAAAAGCAGCGGGGAGGAGACAAAGAACTTGGGGTCCCAGCAGCAGCAAAAATTGCATCAGGTGGGAAAGAAGAGCTGATTAGAACTTTTCTTCCAAGTCTTTCACTTGCCACTTAGTGATTTTTACCAAGTGTCCTGAAGCTACCTCAAAGAGTAACACTCAAGTAACTCCAGCACTGCAGGTGCAAAGGTGACCACAGCTGCATGGATGGGCAGGACCCAGGCTCTGACACTCAGGCTGCCAATACAATTGCCATGAAGACAGATGTTGATGCCATCCATGAAGGCAGGGGATAATTCCTTGGCTGATTCTCTAATCTCCACTACACTCACTCTGCACAACACATCTATCAAACTAGACTCAATTTCTCTTCTCCTTAATTGTTTTGAAAAACTCTGTTCACAGTCCAGAGCTTCATTTCCTACAAATCTGCACCTTTCCTTTAAGCAGTTAAACTCCTTTGCTTTCTGGACACTTCGCCTGGTCTCAAGGAAGCAATTTTATTAATGCTACTCCAAGTTCTAATGGAATCTTCATCCATCCTGGAATTAGAGCTTCATGTACAGCCAGGCAAGATCCATGCAACAGTCCAGATGTTGTCTTGGCAGGCCCTGAAGTCAAACCCTTGGGGTTGGGGATGGAGCTTTACCGCTTACATGTTGTGTGACATTAGTAAAGTAACTTAACCCCCCTTTGCCTCCTTTTCTATACCCGCAATGCTGTGACAATAATAGGTTCTACCTCATAGGTCGGTTTACAATTTAAACAAGGTAAAAGATTTAGAATATTATCCAACAGATAATATGTGCTTCTATTAATTTAGGTATCCTTATAGCTATAATACTTAGCACTTAGCAGACACTTATTGAAAATAGTTTTAAATCCAAGTTCTTTCCATCTACAGCCCCAAGAGGTGCTAAAATGGGGGTTTTTACTACCCAGCTCACAGCCCTTTAAATCCTAAAGATTTTGTCTTGATCCATGCTAAATTGCTCAAATCAATCATGCCCATGCATGTCTGTCCAATGCATTTCTTCTCACCATCCATTATCACAACCTATTATTCTATGATAGGTTCAATTGTCGTATTGCTGTCCTGCTTTCTTGTGTAAGTCTTATTCTATCTTTTAAATCTTTTCTCTATTTCTCTAATACTTGTGCCAAAACTCAAAATCTAATCTCAGTTTCTTTGACATGCTTCTATGTTAATGATGTAGTTTATTTGATGTTGTTTATGCTTTTACTTGTTGGATTCCTATGGAAACAAATTATTTTAAGTGCATGTCCTTCTAAGACCACAGAGCTAGAAGGTGAAAAAAAGCTAAGTGGAAGTGTATGAAGAAGAGTGATTTGGGAAACTAAAGTGTCACTTCTCCAAGAGTTTTCAAGTTGTATTTTATTTTTTGTTTTTTTACAAACCATGTGTGACTTTGTCAAACACTTTTTATCTAAAGCCTTTTTTCTCTAAAAGCCCACGTAGATTACCTACATGCAGTAAAAATCTGCTCGGCCTTTCTCTAGTTTCTCCCTGTATACACCCAGAAGTCCACACATGAGACCCCGCCAGATTTAACAGCCTTGGCCTGGCAGAATCTGCAGGACAATGGAGGGGATCCATGTGTCCCCTGAGGAACCAGACTCGACAGCAGATAAAGCTGAGTAGAAGGGCATCCTAATCCTTTCTGCCTTCCCTATGCATTTTGGTCAATTAAACCCATTCAGTGTAACAACTTTGTATTTAAGGCTGGTTCACACCAAACCAAAACTAATATGCTTTCTGTATTTTATTTTGATGAGTAGTTACTGGTTTACATGCAGCTGGGTTAGTTTAGGTATATAAAAACTGTTTCTCTCCCTTCCCCCACCTTCACACTTCCACTGTTTCTTAGTACCTGTCTTTCTGCTGGAAAGGGGCTGGAAAGACCCCTTTTAATACCATTGTTTCAGAGAGTAGCCAGGTAAAACTATTGGCATTCTTGGCTTTTGGCTACTAAATAGATTTCATTAAATCTACTTAAAAACTAAAGTAGGCTAGGCATGGTAGCTCATCCCTATAATCCCATCTTGGGGCGCCGAGATGGGTGGATCACCTGAGGTCAGGAGTTTGAGACCAGCCTGGCCAACATGGTGAAACCCCGTCTCTACTGAAAATATAAAAACTAGCCTGGCATGGTGGTGGGTGCCTGTAATCCCAGCTGCTCGGGAGGCTGAGGCAGGAGAATTGCTTGAACCCAGGAGACAGAGGTTGCAGTGGGCCGACATGATGCCATTGCACTCCAGCCTCGGCGACAGAGTGAGACTCCGTCACAAAAAAAAAAAAAAAAGTCATGTGTCAAATGTCTGATCAGTCAGACACAGCACGATGAAGTAGATGTAGGAGAGATTTCACACTCAGTATGAGTACCCTGATATTTGAGGAAACTAAAGATGCCAGAACACCCTAGCAGAAACCTCTCTCCAGTGAGTCATGGCATTGTGTGATCTACCTCCACAGAGAACAGGCAGAACTTAGGCTTGCTTCTAACCCATATGGTATGGCAGAGGTTATGAGATGTCTTTCCAATGATTGTATTGTATTCTGTAAGCCTCTGTCATAGCAGACTGGAAAGAGACACTCTCTGAAACCTTCTGCTGGCCTTGAACAAACAACCAGCCATGTGGGCATTGCCTGTGTGAGCATCACATGGCAGGGAATTGTCCACAGCCTCTGGGACCTGAGAGCAGCCTTGAGCCAAGAGCCAGTAAGAAGCTGAAGCCCTGAGTCACAGAGGTGCTAAGGCATGGGCTCTGCAACTACCTGAAAGAGCTCTAAAATATCTCTCTTCTCAGGGAGTCTCAGGTGAGAATGAAGAACAGTCTACACTGTGGCACAGTCTTGTGAAATCCAATGGGCAGGATCCAGCAAAGCCATGTGCTGACTGCTGACTCAGAAATTGAGAGATTATAAATGGGTGTAGTCTTAAGTTGATAAATTTGCAGGTAATTTCTTACATGTTTATAACAAACTGAACACACATTTTAAGAACAAATAATAGACCTAAGAGCAGCCATGCCACTGACATTGAATGGAGATGGGCACAGGCTTATTCTCATTGTGACCTTAGGGTTTCCAAGCACTGTGAAAGAGAGGAAAGCTTCGATGTGCAAGCCCTTTCCAATATTCCAATTCTGTCACATCTGCTATTATCCTATTGGCCTGAGCAAGACACATAGGTAACACCTGAGTCCATTTAGAATGAGGCCAACCAAAGGATGAGTGCAGGGAAGGGATTTATTGCAGCTAATTGTGCAAGTAGTTTATCCATAATTTATAAATTTTTTCCTGAGAAATACCCTGAGAAAAGGGAAACCTCTTTAAAAGTCTTAAAGTTTTTCGGTTATAGCTTCGTTGATTATAGTGTTCTGCTTGATATCCAAGTATAAATAACCAAAAACTCCTTCACACTATTATTTCTATGATGGTTTATTTTCCCCATACCTTTACAGGTAATTTTGGTCCTGTAGTGTGCTGTCCAAGTTTACTCTGCAGAGCTGACCATTTGCACAATGTAGCTGACACATCATCGCACCTTGAATGCGGACATTGACTGGTGACCTATGAGAATCCGCTTCAAAAGAATGTATTTGTCACCGCTTTGATCTTTATCCTATCTGAATCCACACACTTCTGTATTGTTCTATGGCTAATCCATATCCTGTCTCTATTAACTCACTCTTGCCATAAGTGACTAAGAGCATCTAACACAGAAATAATAAATACTTCCAGTTCTGAAAATTCAAATTAGTTGAAAAGCATGGGGACATTATAGAAAGAAAATGTATAACTATTTTAAAGACAAAGAAAATGAAGTCTTTGTATTTTGGAATGAAACTGTGTGAAAACTATCTGCAGGTTTCAGCACCAGGGAGGGCCCCTGTCTTTCCTGTGACTGAGCACATTGCCTTTCTCACACCTGCAGGCAACCAGGGAAGTGACTGGATGGGGTGAGCTGAGCTGCACTGTTGGGCCACCCTGGAGAGACTTTGGTAATATATGATGCATTTCAGATGATAACAATAACTGATGACAGCAGTTCAGCTTCTTCATTACCAACGTTTTGTGTGGAATTTCCCCCAAACAACCTACAATGAATAGACGAACTCCTGAGTTGATCTAGAAACGAACTGAATAGAGGTTGGGGAACAGGCCCCATCTCCCTGACCTATGTAAACCGAAACCAAATGTTGTCCAACCTGCACATCAAATCAGCTTCCAGATAGGTTAAACAAGTCATATCAGACCATCTAGTCACAACTGAACCACAGGGTAACTGCAGACACATGAGCAGGCTCAGCAGAGATCAGTTCAGCCAGCCCAGAATGGAGGAACCACAGAGTTGATCCTCAGAGTTATAAGGAGCAGTATAGTCATCTCTCTATCCATGGGATCTGCATCCATGGATTCAACTAAACCTGGATCAAAAATATATAGAAAAAAAATCCACAAATTTCCAAAAAGCAAAACTTGACTTCACCATGTGCTTAGTACCACTTGGTTGAATCCACACAGGTTAAGTCATGTATACATATTGCGTCAGGTATTATAAGTAGGCTAGAGATGGTGTGAAGCGTACATGAGTATATGTGCACAATCTATTACTAATGGGGGAAGAAAAATGACATAAAACAAGGTAAAATTTTATATTTATTTTAAATGGTAATATTATGACACCAACATACTGTGAGAAGCTATGGATATAAAGGAAATACCATGACAACCAATTTAAAAATCACTATAAAAAGAGATACCCTCAAATTAGGTAAAATTAAAATGAAATTCTAAAAATGTTCAAGTAACCCAAAGGAAGGCAGCAAAAAGAAAACGGAGAAGCAAAAAAAGATACAGCAAAAAAGTAGAGCGAAGACTTAAATCTTAGTATATCAATAATTATCGATATATTAAATATGCAAATTAGTAAATTATAACAGACAGCAATTGATGAATCAAAAAGAAATGTCCGAACAGTATACTGTCTATAAGACACTCACATCAAATATGACACTAGAAGTAGACTCAATATAAAAGAAAAGAAAATGGCATAGTATGCAAAATTAATAAAATGAATCAGTAGCAAATACTAATATCAGATAAAGTAGACTACAAAGCCAAGAATGTTACCAGTGACAGAAATGTACATTACATAATGAAGAAAGTCATTTCGGAAAGAAGACAGAGCAGTTCTAAGTGCGTAGACACCAAGCAACAGAGCGATACAGTGCATGTAGCAGAAACTGGTGTGAAATGAAGGAGGCCTTCATTTTCTATTTGGGAAGCAAATGCTCTCTAAGTATAGCAGGACATTCTGGGATATTTTTTAAGCAAAGTACCCCCGTGGTCATATTTTTTTTTTGTAGCAGAGTAACCCGTTCCCTCTTCAAACCACATCCCTCTCCATTGTCCCAGCTCCTCTCTGACTGCAAGCCTCCTCTTTTATTTTAAGGACCTTTGTGATCATATTGGTTTCATCTAGATAACTGGGTCGCTTATTCTTCACTTATATCTGTCAAGTTTTTTTTTTGCTATGTAAGGTAGAATTTTTATGATACGGCTCCGTTGACTGGAGGAACACCAGGGTTCTTGGTCTCACACCACTTTGGATAAAACAACACAGACACACGTGGAGTGCTTTTAGGGAGAGAAAGGTTTAATATGCAAGAAGGACGGAGGAAGAAAACAGCTCCCCCACACAGAGACAGAGGGAGGAGGGATTCCAACAAAGACAAAACTCCATTGCAGCAGAAAAGTGGCTCTTATATGAGGAGGCTGGAGGAGGTGGTGTCTGATTTATATAGGGCTCTAGGGACTGGTTTGACCAGGCATGCCATTCATGAAGCCTGCAAAATAACTGGCCTTCCCAACAAGACTTTTAATATGCAAATACAGGGCGCCAAAATATTCTATACACATGGGGATATGTGGGGGCAGCCTTGTTGTCAGGCACATGTGGGGGCAAGGAAGAAGATGGTGGGAATTGACAGGTTTGGCTGGACTCAGTTTCTAATGGCCGGAATTTGCAAATCAAAGCTTCCCAGCCTGGCTCTAAGAGCCAGGGCTTTCCTGCTAGACAAGAAACGTTTCTGGAGCTGCTTTAAATGAAAGAAAACCTTACCAAGGACACTCTTTTCCTATCCGCCTAAAATAATTTCTTAATAACTCCTGTAACACTTGGGTTCCAGAGATGAGGACATGGACATCTTTTAGGGTAGAGACATTATTCATCCCATTGACAATAAATATATTCCCCCAAATTGCCTTTCTCTAAAGTAAAATTTTAAAAATCATGAAGTATTTTTTATGAAGCAAGAGAGCTGGCCAAAATCTTAGACTCAGGTTCCTTTAAATTGTGAGCTTTAACTGTTAAGGTATGATCATTCCACTGTCTCTAATGTAGATTTATTGATGTGTAGATTGTTTTAGAGGATTTTTAAGTTTGTGACCAGTATAAACAAAACAGTATCTGAGACGGGTCTCAATCAATTTACAGGTTTATTTTCCCAAAGCTTATGGCCTGTGACACAGCCTTAGGATGTCCTGCAAACATGTGCCCAGGGTGACAAGAATACACATTGAAATACTTTGGAGAGACAGAAATTACAGGGAAAGACATAAATCAATACATATAAGATTTACATTAGTTTGTCCTGGAAAGGTAGGATAGCTTGAAGTAGGGGCTTCCAGGTCATAGGTGGATTCAAAGATTTCCTGACTGCCAACTGGTTGAAAGAGTTAAGCTCTGCCTAAACACTTGAATTCATCATAAAGAAATGCTTGAGTTTAGAAAAGAGGGTGTGGAAGCAAAGGTTCTTGTCACCTAGATGAATCCTGTGGGTAGCAAACAAAGTAGGTGGCTAATGTTGTTTATCAGACCTTAAAAAAAAGTCAGACTCTTTGGAAAAGACTTAGTAAGGGGAGGAGATTCTCTGCAGAATGCAAATTTCCCCCACAACAGGCAGCTTGCAGGGTCACTTCAGAATATGTCAAAGAAATACTTTTAGGGTAAAATATTTTGATTTTCTTCAGGGCCTATTATCTGTCATGTTGGAGTATGGTATCTTATTGCTACAAAGCATCTGTTTTGTCAATCCAAAGATCTCTGTTGTAATGATAATGCTGGTCAGTTGTGTCTGAACTCCAAAGGAAGGACCATATAATGAGGTACATCTAAACCCACCTGCCAGTCGTGGCCTAACCTAGTTTTTCAGATTTCTTTGAAGTTCTCTCTACCAAAAGAGGAGTCCGTTCAGCTGGTTAGTGGCTTACAACGTAATTTTTTGTTTTAACACACACACAAAAAAAATCACCGCATAAATTCAATCTAAAATAGATTGGTTAAAAAAAATTGTGTGTTTCCTGAATATTCCTACATGTCGAAGAAAGGGAAATGATAAAAGAATTCAGATGAGAAATACCCCTCATACAAAAGATTAATGATTTTATTTACTATCTTAGTTTGGGTCCACCAGCAATGAGGATTCCTGTTTAGGCAGCAAATTTACACTGGGAGGAAAGGAAGAAAGTGAGGGAGGGAACAGAAGATGAATGGTAAAAGACACATCAACAACCCACCTGACTCAGGATAACTGAAGATCAACCACATGTGGAAACATGGACTAAATTCCTCTGGGCTATTCCACCTGAGAGACGAGGAAGCTGAGGTATGTATACACCTCATCCTGTCCTCACTGATTGTGAGCTGTCTCTCTTGTTCTCTTTCAAGCTGCTATAACAGGTTAGGTTCCTTGACACTGTGTAATTCATAAAGAACAGAAATTTATTTTCTCACATTTCTGGAGAATGGGAAATTTAAGATCAAGGCATGGGCAGGTTAAGCTCCTCTTTCTCTGCTTTCAAGATGACGCCTGGAGCTTTCAGTCCTTCAAAGGAACGAAGGCCATGTCTTAACATGACAGACCAGCAGAAGAGACAGAGAGATTCCAGCCCCATAAACCCTGTTTATAGTGGCATTAAGGTATTCCACTAGAGGGCTCCACCCTCATGATCTAACACATCTCAATAGGCCCCACCTGGCAATACCATTTCACTGAGATTTAACTTTATAACGATGGATTCTGGAGGACACAGTCAAACCATAGCACTTTCCTAAGAGATACACATTGCAGGCCATCTGGCCGGCAAGGCATGCAAGCAGACCTCTCTGCCCAAGATCATGAAGCACATAAGACATATATATAGCCATTGGAAATGAGCAGAGATACAGCAAAGGGAAAAGCCCTAGACTATAGATGGGGACTGCTACATTCATCATGGTACAGTTAACCCTTGAATAACTTGGGTTTGAAATTTGCAGATCCACTTATATTTTCTTCTGTGTGTCACCTGTGAGCAAGCGCTTAATAAGTACTAAATATATTTTCTCATTTTTAAGGTTTTCTCAATAACATTTTTTCTTTAGCATACTTTATTGGAAGAATAGAGTATATAATATGTATAACATAAAAAAGGGTTAATCAACTATTTATTTTATCATTAAGGCTTCCAGTCAAAAGTAATCTATTACTACATAAGTTGGAGATGCAAAAGTTCTACACAGGTTTTCATCTGCACCAGTGGTCAGTGCCCCAACCTCCACGTTGTTGAGGGGAAAACTGCTCTTTCAGTCTGTAGCCACATCTCTCTGGAACAGGATCTTGGCAGGTGGGTTGCAAGTAAAGGAATCCAGAAAATAACATCTCAAACTGTGCTGCATTTGTATGATGATTATATAAAACCAAAGGCATTTAGAAAGCAGGAAATGCACAGGGGGCTTTTCCTAAACATCCCCTACCTGCCTAAAAGCAAATTCTTCAGAAGGAAACCAATTTTTAAGAAAACTCTTCCTGAGAATTTTTATGTCAGGGAAGATTAACACAAAAGAGGAATCAAAAATGGAAGAGACTCAAAGTTGATACTTTACCTAGGGAGGTGATTACCTGTTCTTTTGAGGATGCATTTCTATTCGCATCTATTCTCTCCAGGTTGCCTACATTTCCCAATTACCTCTTCCCTAGAAAGGAAACATAAACACCTGGATCCCATTGAGTTATCTGGGTAATCACCTTGCTATGATATCCTGCTGCACTTTAAGTGAATTTTGTTTGCCTTTTCTCTTATTAATCTTCCTTTTGTCAGTTTATTTTCAGCAAACATTTAGAGGACAAATGGAGCTTTCTTCCTTTCTTCCAATATAAGCAATTTCCCTTAAAATTCAGGCAGCTTATAAAGCAGCAGGAAGGTTTGTGCAGAGGCTACAGCACTGTGATTTGGCTCTCCTAGTCAGGCATCAGTAAAATTTTATGGAGTCCTAGGCTGCAGCCCACTGATGCTGATGTAGTTGGATCCACTTCCCCTCCCACGGAACCAGGCCGGGACATTTTTGGGCACATTAGAGATATGAGATATAACGAGTGCAAATCCCTGTCCAGTTTCATCTGGAACCAACTGATTTCTCCATGTACATGGGCAGTTGCTTGATAAAAGATTGAGTGCCTCTTTCCAAAAGATGTTAACAGGGATCTTGGTGTCTGGGTCAGGATGATGTCCCTGATAAAAAGTAAAAGAAGAAAGTGTCACCTATGGTGCGTGGCAGGGACATGCTCCATGCGATGATCACCCTCACTAAGAGAGATGAATGTTGGGAAATAATACTTAATGGCAGAAAAGAAGGTAGACTATGAAGGTGCCCAAAACAGGAATAAGGTGCAGCCCATTTAGTCTCTGGGTATTAAAGAGACCTAGAGCTCTTGATAATGGTGGATCTGTAATTGCTGCATGCATTGAGGAAACACGGTATCAACTTAGTGTATCTGAAGTAAATTGCTTGATCTTACAGTGGTAAGAACAATGGCATAACACCATTACCTAACATTTACAAATATATGTAGCATCATGTGAATAAATTTTATTTTTAATTTTTTTTTTAGAAAGGAACAATGTTAAACTCACAGAAATGTTGCAAGTATATGATAAGTACCACCTTCCCTAACAGAAATCACATGAGAGTCTTTTGAAGACCTGAAAATTGTAGGGTCTAAAATTTTACTATGTGTTTCCTACAAAAAAGAATATTCTCCTAAATAATCCCCATACACCAATGAAATACATTGCTCCATCGACTCCCAAGGAATATTTCAAATTGTCAAAAAGAAACCATAAAATGTTTCCCATAACAAAATAGTCCCCAGTAGAAACACATTCTCTGCAGACAAATTTGAGCTACCTTGATCTTACCTGGGACAGGTGGGGACACTGAGCTGGTGCTGAGTTACTCAGATGCGCCAGCTCTGCAGCTGTGCCCAGCCTGCCCCATCCCCTGCTCATTTGCATGTTCCCAGAGCACAACCTCCTGCCCTGAAGCCTTATTAATAGGCTGGTCAGACTTTGTGCAGGAATCAGACCCAGTCAGGACACAGCATGGACATGAGGGTCCTCGCTCAGCTCCTGGGGCTCCTGCTGCTCTGTTTCCCAGGTAAGGATGGAGAACACTAGCAGTTTACTCAGCCCAGGGTGCTCAGTACTGCTTTACTATTCAGGGAAATTCTCTTACAACATGATTAATTGTGTGGACATTTGTTTTTATGTTTCCAATCTCAGGTGCCAGATGTGACATCCAGATGACCCAGTCTCCATCCTCACTGTCTGCATCTGTAGGAGACAGAGTCACCATCACTTGTCGGGCGAGTCAGGGTATTAGCAGCTGGTTAGCCTGGTATCAGCAGAAACCAGAGAAAGCCCCTAAGTCCCTGATCTATGCTGCATCCAGTTTGCAAAGTGGGGTCCCATCAAGGTTCAGCGGCAGTGGATCTGGGACAGATTTCACTCTCACCATCAGCAGCCTGCAGCCTGAAGATTTTGCAACTTATTACTGCCAACAGTATAATAGTTACCCTCCCACAGTGTTACACACCCAAACATAAACCCCCAGGGAAGCAGATGTGTGAGGCTGGGCTGCCCCAGCTGCTTCTCCTGATGCCTCCATCAGCTGAGAGTGTTCCTCAGATGCAGCCACACTCTGATGGTGTTTGTAGATGGGGACATGAAGTCACCTCTGCACCCTAATTCTTTTCTCTTTCTCAGCACCAACTTCACAGACATAGCAATGCTTCTCCTTATTTAATAAAAACAGAGATCATGACACCTGAGGAGTCTAGTTTATGGCTTCAGTTGGAAATCATAATGCAGAAGAAGCCACTATAGATATTCTAAGCAGGAATAGTCTTAATACAGAGAATTAGAATAAACTACTGAAGTCTAAATAAAATGTAGAGATGAATCTCTAAATTTAATGTTTTATTTGAAGAGAAATATTTGCCAAATGAGGCATACAGGAAAATTCAGTGGTCTTCAGTATGTTGGAAGAACAAAGAAAAAGTCAGTGTTCCATGAAAAAGGGAAATATTACCTATTGAACTTTGAGAAAGTTCATTGGCACTAGGAAGGGTTGGGAGCTGGCAAGCTCAGACTGGTAAACAGTGGTGGACAAAGTGAATCCTAGAGTTATATCAAGTTATCTCAGAAATTGTGGATAAATTTGATTTCAGGTTACAATAAGCCAAAGCACTGAAGGTTGCAGAGAATTTTCTTACTGAAATACCAGGGACTTGGTGTAGATCCTGCAGCTCACCACACAGAAAGCCAATCTCGAAGACAACAAGTATTGCCAAGGAACAGGCTTTAATCAGGTGCTGCAGCCGAGGAGATGGGACGCCATTCTCAATTGTATCTCTCTGACAAAATAAATTAGGGGTTTATATAGGAGGGAAGAAATGTTGAAAACAGGAATTAGGGAGGGGTAAGGAAGATAATTTGGTCAAGAAGAAGCAGGAGGTCAGTTATGCAATCACAGCGGGTGAAGGTTCTGTTGTCTCACTGTCCCGATTCAGTGATATGTAAGTTTCAGCTTCTTAATAGTATCTGGGAGGCCTGATGGTTGGTTTACTGAAAAAAGGACTCAGGTAAGACAGACGTAACTATCTTGAGTTTTAAGACAGGGAGGGGGAGACAATTTCTAAGTTTATTCAAAAAACCATAAACCTTAGTTCCATGGGATAACAGGGCCTATTTCAATTGCATTCCAGAAGCAATATTTTGCACCCTGAGTGCCTTTCCCCACTAGGTTTCTTGGCTCTGTTGGGTATAACAAGAATGAACCAATGCCTATGATTAACGTTCAGACTACAGCCTTTCAAAGACAAGGATACAGTAGTCAGGAAAGTTGATATTAGAGGCAGGATTCTCTGGTTCTCCCTCAGAAAACAGAATGCATCCGCCCCTAAAGTAAGGGCTTTCTAACCATGTGGTCCTCAGTCCTGTCTGGAAGCTTAGGGGTAGGCGTGCTGATGCTCTTAGCTTCCTGCAGCATCCTTCCAGGTGTTTCTCTAGTCCTCACCTCTGTCCTTGTACCTGTCTTAGTTACCAATGGATAATATTGAGTCTTCCTTTTCTGATTTCCAAATCTCATGGGAGGAACTCTTATTGGGCAACTCTATAGGACACAAGCACAGCAAAAAGGGATATTTACATAAGTTAAAATGATTTTTACCCCAATGAGTCCATTTAAATAAATTATATTTGAAGCCACATGTTGAAAACACATCCAGCTTTATTTTCTTATTAATGCAAATTTACATTTGCAAATATTTTCAGGATTGTAAAGTTTGAAAACATAATTATTTGTTCATGGAATGATCAAACCCTTCTATAATTAAATGGAGTAAACATTTTCTTGAAAATGTGTACTCACTGAAATAAAGGAATATATTTAAAATGTGTGAAGCTATGTTAGAAATTATTGGACTTAAATTCAACTGTGCAGTTTGATTTGGGATGTTGTTCACTCCTGTGACCTGCCACAAGAATCTTCTGTCATGTGTAGTCACTGCTGTTCAGCCTTGTCCTCAGACAATTCATATCTGTAGTCTGAAGGTGAGCTCAGTGCCCTGCAGAGGAACGACTCATCAGAGCCCTTCCTTGGTCAGCCAGAGGATTGTGAACGTGAGCATCCACGAACACGAAAACAAATGTTTACTGTTTTCTGTCACTGAGTTGTGTATTTAACCAGTAACCAATCATTATGCATAAAGGCTTCCTGATACGGTATTTACACCTCTACGTGTATATAAACATATGTATTTTTTTCTTAAATTGGTGGTATAAATGTGAATATTTAGTGATCAATTTATGAAGTTATTAAGAGAAAATTAAGAACAGAATTAAAACTAGTATTTCAATAAAAAATTAAAATTTACCTTATTTATGGAAAAATGTGCATATATATAAGATACATAGAAGTGAATATATATTTGTTTGATAAAATGTTGGCTACAAATATATATAGTATTCATATTTAAGCACATTTATTCTATTATGTATGCAATACTCTTGCTACAGAAAATTTCTTTGTAGCCTTTATTTTTAAAACTTTACCAAATGGTTGACCTTACCTAAAATATTTTTCCAACCCAGTAGAGCTCCAAGGGTAGGACTAGAGCAAATTTTGACTAATGTTGAATATTAACCATTGCATCCTATGAAAGTCTCCATTATGTTCATGCCCACAATGATGATAGGCCAAATAGAGTTCTCACAACAATGCATGCTGGATGGAGTCACATTAGTGTCATTGTCAAAGAAGCACTGGAAATGTAAAAATCCTAACCGTGGGTAAACTGCAATGGTTACATCTGATGATCCCATTGCAAGATAACAGCAGTTTAATAAATATTGGCTGTTGGTTTTGACAGATCATCAAGTCTTAAAATAAATGCAACAGGCTGATTTCAGACAAAGTCATTCTGCAAAAGCTATGACCAGACATTTCAAAAATGAGCCATAATAAAAAAAAATGCTTTCCAAGTGAATATTAAGTGAAATGCCATTAACAAGCAGGGGCTTTTAATAATCAGGATGATTCAACACATGGACTTCAGTCAATCACCTTTCCCAGCTTCCCCAGGTAGCCTCATGAACCAATGTTAATAAGGTCCCTGTGGGGACTCAGTAATGTGAGTTTCAACTAACTGAGATGTACAGGGCTATTGGCTCTTCTGAACACCTAATTTGCCAAGAAAACTGATGCCTCTTGAACCCTTAACATTGTACCACACATCAGGGCTCAGACTAACAGCTGGTGTCAGGTGATTCTAGTGGACCTCATGCAACATGAGGAAGGCACTGGTTATTTGCAATATATGAATTTGCCTTCTTTTTCGGTTATGTTTCTGCATAAAATATTATTTGAGGATTTTCCAAGTGTTTTCATCAGAGTCAGGAATTTCTTCCATAATATGGCTTTGGATCAAGCAGTTTATTGACCTCAAAAAAAGTGAAGCAAAGTGTAGCTCATGATCTTGTCATGTGCACAGGTGCAGCTTACCCTATAGACAAAGAAAAACCCATTATTAGTCAAGCAACGCTGGCACACAAACTCTTGTGCTATTGCATTGTTATGCTGTCAGATGTGGTGGAGGCTCTGAAACACTGTTACTCTCATGAACAGAATATTTATATATTGAAAATGAGCTGTAGACTCATCATTGCTATGCCCACTGAACAGCTTGAAATACTCTATTTCTATTTTCTCAGGGCTGTGGTTTTCTGGCTGATGGTTCTTAATCCAAACAGTTGACATGACAATTACTGCATGAAATTGGAAGAAATGATATGATAAGCATGTGACCATTCAGACTCAATACAATACTGGATAAGTTGTCAACACAGGGCGTTCAGATGTGTGCTGGGACCATAGATCTAGCCCGTATAAAGCAAGAGCAAACATAATTGACTTTACATATTTTAGAGAGGAAGTACAGAAAATATGGACCCTAGGGGACCTTCTGGAATCTTTCTATTTATTGCCATTTCCACTGGTAAAACTTAGAGAAGATGTCAACAGTCATTAGGATGAAGTTCTAGGGATCACAGTCATGTGAAGCATTACTTGCACTTGGATCTCCAGTGAGGCAAAGGGAAGATGAAATGCATAGTGGGATGTGGAGGGGTAAACACCAGAGACAGACACCTGGTCAGCTTCAACGTTGAAAAGTGTATTTATTTTTTCTCTTTAGTTTTATCACTGAATCATCTGGATCTAAGAAAAGCGATTATGGCTGGTTAGGCAGAAAGGTGTTTATTATCATGAATTAAATGGATTGAAAACATTTGGGGAAACCAGAGTGGAAGCTCAGGCAACTCCAAGTACTCCTTTTGCTATTGCTTGACCTTCCTCGTCTCCATATTTTCCACAGTCAAGAAAGATACTCCCATTTTATAGGAACCTGGCAAGTGAAGATATTGTGCCCACAGGACTGTGCTGCCTGGCTGTGACTCAGACCAGGAAAATGAGCACATTTGAGTGAGATCAGGCATTTCCCCTCCTTCATCTCAATCCAAAACGACTCTGTAGTAACACATCTGATGGGCAGTCAGAGAAAGGGGTCAGATTTCTAGCAGTTGACAGTTGATACCAGAGCTGCTGTCCTTCTGGGGGCAGTAGTGAGAAGAGCCGCTCTCTCTTCTGCTGCAAGAGACAGCTTGAATGTGGAGTCTCAGACAGCAGGAGGAGCTCCCCCGACCTGTGCCAGCAGTACGATTCTTGGAATTGTTCTAGAGGCTTTGACTGGAGCCTGTTTTTTAAGGCTTTTCAACAATTTGTAAGGAATTTAATAACCTCTAGTAAATCCCTTTTTGCTTCATGGATTTGACATTTGCAACAGGGAATATACGCAGTCCGCAGTGACATCATTCACAGCCTCCTTTATTCTTGCTAAATATAATGCTTTCCAGGTGGACCTGCCAGAGGAAGCCGATATGAACAACAATCCATGTCACCAAAAATGCAAGACAAATAAGCTCGGGAAAGCCACTGGATTCTTACGTAGCTGCACTGTCCCCCTGAGTCTTTTTTTTTTTTTTTTTTTTTGGTCACCTTAGTCAAAAGCATGAACAAATTTGACAACTTTGAATGGAGCCCTTTGCAACGGTAGCCTTGGAATCTATTCAACTATACATGTCCAAGGCATTTCTTTAAGACCTTTAGAGCCTGCTTGTTCTATGTAAATCCAGGTGTCCACTATTTCTAGGCATGCTGACTGGAGTCTGTGGCAATGTAAAATTGTCACTGGGTGCACCAGACTTAGATTTTGGAGACAAATGTTTCCTGAAGCAGCCATCATTTGTGCCTCTTTTGAATGGCAACTCCTTACTTGCTGTAGGAAACTGATAGGGCCTGAGTATCTCAGAGCTAGAGGACCAGGAGTGACACTGCTATCTTAACTACAGATTCTCACTTTGGTGCCTACAAACACAATCAATAAAACTGGACAGGCCCAACAGATCCAAATTACTAAATGGAAATGTTACAGTCAGAATCAGCCCTAACCAGGATGCCACAATACCCATGTGCCCCATAAACAAATGACAAGCTTGCAAGAAGGGAACAAATGACCCACAGGGGACAATTCAGCTTCTCCTTTGGCCACATAGAGTCAAAGATTCAAAGACATGCCTATGTCAGTATGGCATGGGGCCCTGATGATTGTACAAAACACATGCCAGTGGGTCCACTGGGTGTGGCCACCATCCAGCCAGGGGATGGCATCTTTTGATTGACACTAAACATGGCCATTCTGCCCAATGGGCCAAACTGCATGCAATGATAGCAGCCATGCAGGCTGCCCCTAACACTATATTTTGCTCCATTTCCATTAAATCATGGGCCACTTTCAACAACCCATTCATCTGGTCAGGAAAACAGCAACTGAGCGACTGAACTATTAAAGGATCCCCTGTGTGGAGAAAAGGACTATGGCAATAGCTTGCTTCCTGGACTGCTAAATATATGTCACTCTATTAGATGCTGGGGCTACAATGGCCACCCTTGAGAGGAATTTATGTCATATTTTGGATACTCCATGAGACTTCACTCTGACCAAGAAACAACCTCACTGCCCAATCAGCGTGACAATGGGCACATTCTCGTGGAACATAACGGATGTTCCATGTAATTACCAACACCCAACACTGCCTTCTGTACCTGGATAAACACCTCAGGTATCCTAGAAATATAAGTAGAGGTGATCCTGATGCAGGCTCAATGGCTGCAGACAATGGGGCATCTGAAAGATCCCCCTTTCACCTCTTTGGCATCTTAATTTCTTGATCATGGGATCCTAGACTAGGTCACTGCTTTCGGGGGTCTTATCCTCCTGCCAGTGGTAGTACCCTTCCTTAGACCAGCGAAATGTACTCTCACTATGGCTTAATAATCTGCACTGAGGTTGTGTAAATCAAGGTGCTTCGTCAATCTGAAGAGATAAACCTCTGCCTTCAGTTTGGGGGAAATTGGTGGGCGTAGGAAATATGCTAGCTTTACTAAGGGGGATGTCTAGGTGGTGGGGTAACTGCAAGACAGTTCTCCAATGACCCTGGGCTGACTTAGTTCTCTCCACTTTCTTGATTATTTTAAGAGTTCTCAAGAATAATTGTAGAATGTGCTGGAATTGTAACATCCTGAGATAGAGAGGAACTGGCCAGAACAGCCTACCTGTGCTGTATTCCAGTTTCTCATAGAATGGAATGTTCTTAAGCACGTTAGCCCTGTGCGTCTCATTACCCCAGGATATAAAACCCAGAGTGTCTGCTTTTCCGGGTTCCTGAGCTGTGATGCAAGCGGGGTACACACAGTCGACTCTATCAGCTCCACATAACTTTCGCATGCCTTGGGGGACTGATCCATAATGAGTCCAAGAGTTTTGTGATCCCTTGCTGCTTATCTGTAATAATAAACCCCCTTCATGTAACTTGCTGTGTGGGGGTGTTGTGTTCCTCGCGCTCAGGTACGTTGGTAACCAGTGTACAGTGAACCTGCTTCAAAGATGTCACTGACATAGAGGCAGAACTGGAATGGAGGTTGCTAGGGATAAGGATACAGGAAATGGGGGGAGTATTGTTTAAGGGGTATAGATATTAGTTTTTATAAGACGAAAAGAATTCTGGAGACAGTATCGGTAATAATAGCAGAACATGTGAATATGCTTAATGCCACTGCACTGCACTTTTAAATATGGTTAAGATAGACAATTTCATGTTCTCTGTATTTTCTACAGTTAAATAATTGACATCTTTATTATAGTATTGTTAGCTCAGAAGACATTGCTTTATTTTGTAATTTTCTTAGCCAATGTTCATAAATAATCACTTCTTGATGCCACTGTTCACAAATTGTGTGTGTGTGTGTGTGTGTGTGTGTGTGTACACATGTGGTCTCCCTATGTTGCCCAGGCTGGTATCAAGTTCTTGGCCTTACGTGATCCTTCCTCCTTGGTCTCTCAAAGTGCTGAGATTACAGGTGTGAGCCCGAGCACCCTGCCATAAGAAAAAATGTATAAGACATTTCATAGGGGACTTCTTCAAAATATATATTTCATTGCAGCCACATCCAAAGCCAATCTCCTAAGCCATGTTTCTGTACACAAGTGCACTTCTCCCTCTGTGATGTCACATCCCCTCAGCATAAAGTCACACAGACACATAGGAGAACAAGGCAAGGAGTCAACCCAACTTTATGAGTAGAAATCACTGCAAAGATCTGGCATTAATAGGGTTTAGGTGTTGCAGCACTTCTCCACTAGCAAAACACTCTGATTTGTCTTCCTGGATTGTTTTCTCAAAGGTTTCCTAATATTTAATGCTAAAGCTGAGATTAGAACCTTTTTATCCCGAGTCTAGCTGAATGCTATTTCACTCAAAATGTATTGTCTTAAGGAGTATGATAATAAATATTGAATAATGCCTGTTACTACTACCAATATTCCCTTTAGATCTCCTGTTATCATCCTAAATATCATTACTTAGAAAAAGTGTTTAAAAGGGGGTTAAGACAATATTGATCCTGTTTTCAATATTCTGATACAAGTCAAGCACCCACAAAAGTCAAGGAAATTGTAAGGAAAACATGACTTAATGATCATTAGCCATTCTGGTCACTGTTGAGTGATGATTAAGAAAAAGTCTTAAAAACAAGTAGCTGAAACATTGAGAATTCTCATCAATTCTGGGCTGAGATGTAAAATGGTATAACCACTTTGGAAAACAGTATGACAGAGTATTAAACACTTACTGTAAGACCCAGTAACTGCACTCCTAGGTATTTGCCTAAAAGAAATAAAGAAATATTCATGCAAAGCCTTGTATAATGCCATTCGTGGTAGCTTTATCCATAATAGCCCAAAGTGGAAACAACCCACATGGTCATCAGCAGGTGATGGGATACATTGTGAAATTACTACATATTTAAATAGTACTCAAAAGTAAAGAGTAACACATCACGAGGACACAAGGCGACATGAATGAGCCTAGGAAACAATTATGCTGCACGAAAGTCACCAGCCACAAAAGAATATGTGCTATATTCCTTTATGTGAAATTCTTAAAAAGATAGTGGAATCTATACTAACAATAAGCTGAATAAGGATGGTCTGTTCTGTGAGGTGGAAGCAAGTTGATTGCTGAAGAGCAGGACAAAACTTTTTGGAGGTACAGAAATGTTGTGTGTATTGATTTTGCTTCCAAGAATGTATTTATTTATTAAACCCAACAGTACACTTAAAATCAGTGTATTTGATTGGAATCTTTTTTTTCAATAAAATTGGTTAACAGTGAATAGTGAATAATTGCAAATCCAATTAAGTAACATTGTCTTCACATCTTTTATTCTTGCAGTGTCCTGGAAGCTATATGAGCCAAAAGTTATTTCTGGGAGATAATCTCAGCCTGACACTAAAGAACTGTGTATCTTCTGGCAAGAGCTCACTTTTCTAGGTATTTTTGGATTTTTCCAAGAATTTAAATATATTTCATAGGTTAAATCAAAATGGTAGGCTTTTAATACACATTTTTTATTTATATCAACTAAAATTCTAAGCAATAAAAAGTCATTAAAAATTGGTAAAGAATTTAAATGTGAAGAAATATTTTTTAAGTTAGGGGAAGAGATCCAACATACCTTATAGTTCATATACATTTTTCAGAAATTAAAATTACCTATCAAGAGTTTTTATAAAAACTGTAACACTTTTTACAATGTGTGTTCACTAAATGTGCAGATATACAGTGGGATTGCATTTTTCTTTTATTCTTAAGATATTTATTTTTATATTCACAATGGATATCAGCCTTTAATTTCTTTGTTTCGTTATGTGCATATTAATTTTTGGACTACAGGACATTATGACCTCCTATAATAATTCTGAGAGTATTTTTTATTCACTTGAATCTTTGTGTAACTTTGATAAGTACCATGTCACTAACTACCAAATATAAAATTGGAGTTTTCTGTCTGGGTAAATTTTCATTACAGATTTCTTGTTACTTTTGAGGCAAGAGGTAGGCAGGACTCCGCTCTGGACCAGATGTGAGGCTGGCCAAAACAGGAACAGGGTTCTGAAAGGACCTCTCCATAAGACATACCCACCAGTGCCATGAGAGTTTACCATTGCCATAGAAACATCCAGAAGTCACAGCGCCTTGCCATGGCAACACCTGGAAATTCCTGCCCCTGCCATAGCAACACCTGGAAGTTGGGGCAACACCACCCATTTTCTAGCTATTTCTGAACAACCTACCCCTTAATTATCACATGATTAAAAGTGGGTATAAATGTGACTGTAAAAATGCCCCTGGCTGCTACTCTCAGCCCTCTGCCTATGAATTACCCGTGCTCCGCAGGAGTAGTCACAGAGCTGTAACACTGCTGCCCCATCAATAAAGCTGTTTTCTTCTATTACTGGCTTACTCTTAACATTCCTTCCTGAGCAAAGCTGAGGACTTGCCTTGCATCAGTATTGAGCCAGCCACTCACTACTAGAGATGGTGAGAAGCAGCATTTGATGTGGCAGTAAGACAGTGGAAACAGCGGAGAAGCAAGACAGCAAGAGACAGCAAGAGATGGCACTTTATGAGAAGATGGACACAGTGATCAGCAATGGGCAAGACAGCTATTGGAGAAGTGGCAAGACAGCGATCAGTGAGAGAGGATGAGACGGTGATATGCGCTACAGCGATCAAAGCTACAGAGTTGCTAACATTGCAGAGCTATTAACACTAGCCAAAGACTGTTTTAAGAACCATCATCTTTCCTGACAGGTGGTGGAGCCCTGGGGATGGGCAAGAGGCCACAGAGCCACTGCTTCATGCAGGCCAGCCGCTCCGTGCTCCAGTTCCCCCATAGGAGCCCAACCCACCCGAGCTGGGAAGCCTGGAGAGATCTTCATGCAGGCCCCATGTCAGACACTGCTTGGCCCCATTTTGGCTCCTGCACACCTGTAAGTGTCCCATCTACCCACCTGCCTATATCAGATGATCCAGGAAATAAGGCCTTTGGCTAGATAGTCCATTTGAAGTCCCCCATAGCACACCTGACTACATCCTCATTGTTCTTTCTCTTAGTCATTTCTCCTCTAATGCCATTTTATTTATCCATCAGCCATTTTATTTTATTTTCTGCCCCGATATATGTGTTTGCTTTGCAGTTTTTTCTTTGGGTCCATGCTAATTATGTTTGTGCAATTGTTTAAGGCAGGACACTTGGATGTAAGAATTCTCCTGTTCTGTTGACTCTAAGAAGCCAGAGTCACATTGTTCTATGGCCCCAACCAGGCCTTTGGGGCTCATTGTTGGCCACCCCACTGAGGCTCCAGGATTTTCTGCACTGGTCAGCCCCTGGATACTCCAGGGTTTCCTGGCATTTGGTGTGGGGACACTCATAGGCTGTTACTTGGGTATTCTGGGTTTTCAGCATTTGGTATTTTGGGCCACTATCTGGATGCTCCAGAGTTTTCACCCTTGACATTCCTCCTTGGATTGTGCATTGGAGGCTTGCCCTACAGGAATCTTGGTTTGCCTTTTCTTGTTTTCTGCCCTAAAGTTATCGTTTTCCATTACGGCATTTTGTTTTCTTATTGTCACCTTACTTACACTTTTTCTTCTACACTTTACTTAATAAAAATATTGCTTAAATCCCAGTGCGGTGGCTCACGCCTGTAATCCCAGCACTTTTGGAGGTCAAGATGGATGGATCATTTCACGTCAGGAAGACCAGCCTGACCAACACAGTGCAACCCTGTCTCTACTAAAAATACAAAAAAAAAAAAAAAAAATGAGCTGGACGTAGTGACACACACCTGTAATCCCAGCTACTTGGGTGGCTGAGGCCTGAGAATCACTGGAACCCAGGAGGCGAATGTTGCAGTGAGCCAAGATTGCACCCACTGCACTCCTGCCTGGGTGACAGAGTGACAGTCTGTCTCAAATAATAAGCAATAGAAATTTAAAAATAAAAAATAAAAATACTGTTTGAGTCATATTTTGTTCACTAACAAATGCTTACAATCCATTTTCATAACGTCTGGCTACCTATATGTATACCTTCTATGCAGGAAGTGGAAATCTGAGATGAGAACAATGATGGCCCAGTCTCTTTCCCTCTTGTTGGACTTAGAAAAACTTCTGTGTCCAGTAGAAATCCTTGTTAGACATGGGGACAATGGCGAGCATCACAGAGGACTTGCCACTAGGGTGTCTATTAGGCTATTGGAGCAAATTCAAATTCAGCTTAAAGAAAAAGAAACTCATTTTCTATCACAACACTGCTTGGGTTCAACACAAATTAGAAAACCAAGAGACTTGTCTTAAACATGAGTCCATACATTATAACGCTATTTTACATTTAGACTTATTCTGTAAAAAAGAAGAAAAGTTGTCTCTTGTGTACATGCTTGTGTGGCCCTTTACTCCCTCCTGTTATTAGCCGGGTGTGGTGGCACATGCCTGTAATCCCATCTACTTGGGAGGCTAAGGCAGGAGAACCACTTGAACCACGGAGATGGAGGTTACAGTGAGCCAAGATCGCACCACTGCACTACAGCCTGGGCGACAGAGCAAGATACTGTCAAAAAAAAAAAAAAATTGTAGCTTTGAATTTTAAACATCTATTTGACAAGAAATGCATAGTTCCTTCTCTTTAAAATAATGTAATGTTTCTTTCAAGAGTAAGCTTGGTTTGATGCCTCTCTCCCCAACATGATAGAAGTGTAGCATAAATCTATGAAAAATTCCATTTCACTGTGCCTACAACCACTACCTGGGATTGAAAGCTTCTTCCCTTGCTCTAGTCCTTTCTTCTACACTTACTTCCACATCATCTGTGACTCAAAACAATACTTGTCAGGAAAGATCCTGGAAAGAGCAAAAAAGACTTCCTTAGAGGTGTCAGAGATTCCTGTGCCACTATCTGTCATCTCTAGAAGGGGTTGTGAGTATGAGGAAGAGCAGAGCTTGTAAATTTTCTACTTGCTTTCACTTCCACTGTATTTCCTAACAACAACAACCACAGCAACACCCATAACATCACAGGACAAACCTCTAGTACTTCCAAGGCTTTAGTCTCAGTAAATCTTCTCTACCTCCATCACAGCAGCTAGAAGGTTTGATACTCATACAAATAGTACTGTAGCTTTCTGTTCATAATTGGAAAAATAGACAAGACCCAATGTAATACAGGCTTTCCTTCAGCCAGTTAGCGTTCAGTTTTTGGATCACCATTGCACACATATACCCAGCATATGTCTAATATATATGTAGAAATCCGTGAAGCAAGAGTTATAATAGCTTGTGTTTTCTATTGTATTGTATTTTCCTCTTATATCATCTTCTTCTTCGTTCATTAAAAAAAAACTGTTCAAGTAGGTCTAAATTACTTATTGGACCATAAGTAGATAAAATCTTTTATTTCATAACACATTGACCCGATGAATATGTTTCTTTGCCAGACATAGTCCTCATTTCCAAGGTAACAAGCCTGAAAAAATTATACTGGAGCAAGTCAACAGGTAATGATGGTAGCTTTTCCTTATTGTCCTGGGGCAACAATAAGACAAAAGATAACAGGGTAGAATAAAGATTGTGTAAGAAAGAAGGACAGCAACAGGACATGGGAACCTTTTATAGAGTAACATTTTGATAATGGATGATGAGAATTAATGCGTTAGACAGGGATGGGTGGGAATGATTGAAGGTGTGAGTACTTTAGCACAGATTAAGACCAAATCATTAGGATTTAAAGAGTTGTGTAGAGTTAGTGAAGGAAAAGCCTTAGAATTAAATTTGGCTGTGGATAAAACATTCTTGGATTAGACTGAAGACTCTTTTCTGTGCTAAGTAAGTATATTTATGATAATGATGATGACTGTAGTGCTAAATATTTAATAAATAAAAACAAAATTAATTGCCACATACATAATGTCCTGAATACTATTGTAAATGTTTTATCTTATTTTCTTTAAACTGTCTACAGCACTATAAGGTAGGTACCAGTATTGTCACAGTTACACAGATATGGAAACCGAGACACAGGGAAGTTAAGTTACTTGATCAATTTCAAGCAATCGGCAAGCCATGGAGCATCTATGTCAGGGCTGCCAGGACATGTGACTGTAAACAGAAGTTTTTCACTTTTTAACTCAAAGAGGGTATGTGGCTGGGTTAATGGAAAGCTTCAGGACCCTCAGAAAACATTACTAACAAGCAAATGAAAGGTGTATCTGGAAGATTAAGTTCTAACAGATTCTTCATTTCCATCGATCCAATAATGCACTTAGGGAGATGACTGGGCATATTGAGGATAGGAAGAGAGAAGTGAAAACACAGCTTTTTATATTGTTCTTAACAGGCTTGTGCCAAACATCTTCTGGGTGGATTTAGGTGATTGAGGAGAAGAAAGACACAGGAGCGAAATTCTCTGAGCACAAGGGAGGAGTTCTACACTCAGACTGAGCCAACAGACTTTTCTGACCTGACAACCAGGGCGGCGCAGGATGCTCAGTGCAGAGAGGAAGAAGCAGGTGGTCTTTGCATCTGGAAGCTCAGCTCCCACCCCAGCTGCTTTGCATGTCCCTCCCAGCTGCCCTACCTTCCAGGGCCCATATCAATGCCTGGGTCAGAGCTCTGGGGAGGAACTGCTCAGTTAGGACCCAGACGGAACCATGGAAGCCCCAGCGCAGCTTCTCTTCCTCCTGCTACTCTGGCTCCCAGGTGAGGGGAATATGAGGTGGTTTTGCACATCAGTGAAAACTCCTGCCACCTCTGCTCAGCAAGAAATATAATTAAAATTCAATGTAGATCAACAATTTTGGCTCTACTTAAAGACAGTGGGTTTGATTTTGATTACATGAGTGCATTTCTGTTTTATTTCCAATTTCAGATACCACTGGAGAAATAGTGATGACGCAGTCTCCAGCCACCCTGTCTGTGTCTCCAGGGGAAAGAGCCACCCTCTCCTGCAGGGCCAGTCAGAGTGTTAGCAGCAACTTAGCCTGGTACCAGCAGAAACCTGGCCAGGCTCCCAGGCTCCTCATCTATGGTGCATCCATCAGGGCCACTGGCATCCCAGCCAGGTTCAGTGGCAGTGGGTCTGGGACAGAGTTCACTCTCACCATCAGCATCCTGCAGTCTGAAGATTTTGCAGTTTATTACTGTCAGCAGTATAATAACTGGCCTCCCACAGTGATTCAACATGAAACAAAAACCTCAAGAAGACCATCAGTGTTTACTAGATTATACCAGCTGCTTCCTTTACAGACAGCTAGTGTGGTGGCCACTCAGTTTTAGCATCTCTGCTCTATTTGGCCATTTTGGAGCTCAAGTTCTCAAGTCCAAAATTACTTATGTTATTCCATTACATCATACCATTTCAGTGTGGCTATTACATTCATTTAAACGCATTTCAGAAGGCATCTCTGTTTATGGCATCACAAAGAGTTTAATAAATCTGTGCAAGAATAAACAACAAACACACCTATAAATATAAAGCTGAAATATCAAAACTATTTCAGCACTCTGAAAATTGGCAAAGCATAAAATAATTAAGGATGCATATTTTTTATAGAAAAAAAAAGTACTAGTGCTTTGAGTAAGGACAGAAAATGTCTGTAGCCTTTTGCCTGTGACAGCACCCTTCTATTCCCAGCTCAGTCAATATGAATTGCAGAACTGGAGTTTTACCCATGTAAGGATAGCAAATAAAACTGGCAGCTTGCTGCCAAAGTGGGTGGACTTGAGTAAAGCCAAGGAGTGGGAAATAATTCTTCAGTGTTTCCAGCTAAACAGGGAGAACACCATAGGAAATGAACAGAAAAAGCCCACAGCCTTGCTAGTCCAAGATGATGCCTTGTTTGAGGCAAGTAGTACATCTGCTGATAGTAAATAGCAGATTCCTGGATAAGATAGACCCACATTGCTGAAATAATCTCTGCACATATTCCTAGTGACCTAGAAGTTATAGATATGAGTGATGAGAACTAGGAGTTTCCGGTGCAAAGTAAAACCAGAGGGAGGTAAGAACTAGCTGCATTTTGCATGCAGTTTGCTTTTTAAACTACACACAGATGGGTTGACAGAAGATAGATTTATAACCTCCAGATATTTGAGCAAAATGTCTCAGATCATTGGTGACCACTTCGCTATGCAGATACATGTGTAGTTCCTATAAAATCAAACTAAATATTAATATTAAGAACAGAAAGAAGCAGAGATATCTGTGGTCAAACGCCACATGAGATACAGATTTTTCTATATCTTGCATTGAAAATATATTTAATACATCTAATCCACTTAACATTATGCCTCAGCCTATCCTATCCTAAATATGCTCAGAACACTTACATTAGCTTACTGTTGGTCAACATTATCTTACACAAAGCTTATCTTACAATAAAGTGTTGAATACCTCATGTAATTTATTGAATACTATATTGAAAGAGAAAATAGAATAGTTGTGTAAATACTAGAATTTCTATTTCTACTTGAATGCATATCACATTCACACCATCTGAAAGTCAAAACATTATAACTCCAACTGTCATAAGTCAGGTACTATCAGTAAGTTCAGACAAGAAACTAAGAAGAAAATTAAAAAATGATCAGAAAAACAAAACAAATTCCAGGCCTGACATGGTGGCTCAAGCTTGTAATCCCAGTACTTTGGGAGGCTGATGCAGAAGGATTACTTGATGCCAGGAGTTCGAGACCAGGCTGGGTGGGCAAAATAGTGACACTCTTATCTTACAATTAAAAAAAAAATAACAGAGAGTGGTGGCATGCCCCTATAGTCCCAGCTACTCAGGAGGATGAAGCTGCAGAACCCCTGGACCCCCAGAGGTTGAGGCTGCAGCAAGCTATGGTCACAGCACCACACTCCAGCCTGGGTGAAAAAGTAAGACCCTATTTCTAAAAAAGTTAAAATTAAAATAAAAAAGCCCAAAATCTAAAGACAGCTACTATAATATGCTATCAAAAATGTACAATTTTTAGTTTAACAACTTCTGGAAAAAAGCAGAGAAGTATGAACAATATTAAAGGAATAAAAATAAAGCAGCTACAATAATAACAACAGAAAATAGTCAATGAAAGCTAATTCTAACTTGCCCCAATTATTGGATTTAGCAAAGACTACAAAGCAGTTAATATGCAGATGTTCAAATAATTATGTTTAAATCTATGATCATTGACATAAAAAAGAAAATATTAAAAAAAAAGAAGATTCGGCAAGTAGGGCCTCAAGAAAAGACATGGAAAATATAAAAAAATGACCAAATTGGAACTCTAGAAATGAAAAGTGCAATAAACCAATTTAAATATTTGTTAGCTAGGTCTAATAGCAAATTGAGATGGCAGAACAATCAGTTAACTTGAAAATAGAGGTATAGAAATTATTGAGTCTAAAGAAAAAGTTTAGAAAAAAAAGAAGACTTCAGAGATTTATAGCTCAGAGTGAAGAATACCAACAAATGTATAATAAGAGTCACAAAGGAGGAGAGAAAGAGAAAGTGGCTGAAGAAATCTTTGGAGAAATAATGACAAAAACTTTTCAAAAGTAATAAAAAATTCTTAGATGAAAAAATTCAATAAAAATCTTTTAGATAATCAATAGGAATTAATAACTGAACACATTATATTAAAATATTGAAAGACAAAGAGAAAATCTTCATTGCATCAAGAATGAAAGCAGACACTACATACAGAAAAACAACAACATAGCCATTGGCCGAGTTTTCATCAGGACCAATAGAGGCTAGAAGGAGTGAAATGTCATATTTAAATGCTGAAAGGAAAAAAAAAGGCAACCAGGAAATCTATATCCATCGAAAATACCCTTCAAATCTAAAGAAAAAGCAAAAAAATTCTTTGATAAACAAAATACATTCATTCATAGCAGCTATGTCTCTTACAAGACATTTGAGAGAAAATCCTTCAGAATCACAGGAAATGACATGAGACAGGACCTTGAATCCTCTGAAAGAAATGAAGGCCTCAAAAGTTGTAAGGAGCAATACCAAGTCTAAAAAGATAAAAATACACTTAATGCTATTTATATAAAGTTTAAGACAGGAAAACCTAAATGATTGTATAGATGTCAGAAAGACATTAATTTTGCTGGGTGAGAGGGGTGATAACTGACAAAGATTGTCCATGAGGGAAGCACAAGGGAATGTGAAATATTCTATCATTCCATTCGGACAATGAATTACACAAAAACTGTATTCAGTTGAACATTCAAGATTTATGCACTTTACTCTGGCTACTTTATCAGTTGAAATAAAACTAATAAAAACCAAACCTAGACTCTTTCACATTTACCAGTAATCACAGCCAAGAGCCCAGACTAATTTGGATTATTATTATTATTATCACCACTTCAATACCCTTTCTTGACATTTACACTTTTTATCCAGCTACAGTTTCACAGCTCCACCTCTGGCCCATTCTTTTGGAAGACCCCATAGCCATAGGTTAGGTAACACCTATGGAAGACTCATAAATGACATGATTGATGGGTGTTTAGCAGAAAACAAGTAGTATGTATCACAGACTGTCCTATGCAGAGGGTACAATACACGTCAGTGAGAGAGTCCCACTAGCACAGAAAAGAAGTGTGAACTACACCTTCAGAATATGGTCCAGATTTTAGAGTTCATCAGATGAACACAGATCAAGGTGTCCTCTCATCTGGGTATGGGAAAGTGAAATGACTGCAGGTTCTCCCCAGATCAGTGGCCTCTGTCTTTGGAGACGTGTACATGAATCTCACATTTGTTCACATCCACAGTCACTTCCTGGCTTCACCCATAGCAATGATGGTCTGGCTTCGTTATTTAGGAACTCTGCACACAGGCTGTCAGTTACTAAAATGAAAATTAAAAACAGTGACTTTGGTTAAATGTATATCAGTAGGTACATCCTTGAGGGAAAAATGAGCAGAGGTGACATATTTTAATATCAAATAAAAAATCACAATCTTGTGACTCCTTTCTCTTCCCATATAATTCATGATGGTTGTACTGATATTTCAGAGTATCAAATGAGTCTTATATTTTCATCCCTATAGCTTTGTCCTTCTCCAACCTGAGCCCACATTTTGGCCATCCAGTGGCTTCCGAGCACACTTGTGAGATGATCACTGTCCAAACAGGATTGCTGGGATAACTCACAGGCAGCTCCATGCTGAGTCTCCCTTTGAACTCCCAGCATCACTGACCCTGAAGGAGTGTCCTCCTGTCATCCAAAGCACCCAGAGCACAGCCTTCCCTGTGGTGATTTCACTGCCCAACTCAAAACCTCATCACAGATTCCACTGGCTCAGAGACAAAGTCAGGTCCCAGGCAGAGGCTGGTGTGGGGGCCTAAAAAAACCATCTTTTCATCAATCTTTCTGTTAGAAATTTCCAGGAATTTATAAGCTGAATTTCTATAATAGTTACTATCTTAAAAATAAAAGCTATTTGTAATATGAGAAACATAAAACATGGGAAATAATTAAAACCCACAAGAGCATCATATAGTCAGAGACTCAAAATTCACCTAATCTAATTCGGAGCTCCCTGCCTTATGGTCCATCTCCATGGTGTCTATGTGCTCCACCCTTATCAAATATATGTTCAAAGAATTATTTTAACCTATAATAAAAGACTGAAAAAGGAATTTGTAAAGACAATGATTCAACCAATAGAGGCTCTCAAACAGAGACAAAACTATGAAAACAAGCATACTGGGAAATCTAGAAATGAAAAGTACAACAACTCAATTGAAAAATGTATTAGATAGACTCAATAGCAATTTAAGATGACACAAGAATCAGTGAACTGAAAAACAAGTCAATAGAAATGGTCTCATATAAAGAAGGAAAAAATTATAAAGAAGAATGAATAAAACCTCAGACATCATAGGTCCATGTGTATAATACCAACAAATTTGTATTAGGAATCACAAAGGAGAAGACAGAAAGAGGCTAAAAATGTGTTCCCATCTTTATGCCCATGAATACCCCATGTTTAGCTCCCACTTATAAGTGAGAACATGTGGTTTTTGGTTTTTTGTTTCTGCATCTGTTCACTTAGGAAAATGGCCTCCAGCTGCATCCAAGTTTCTGCAAGGCCAAGATTTTGTTCTTATTTATGGCTGCATAGTATTCCATGGTGCATATATACCACAGTTTCTTTATTGAATCCCTGGTTGATGGGCACAATAGACATTGTGCTAGAAGGAACACAAAGGGAGAAAGGGCAGGGGCTGAAAAACTACCTATGGGTACAATGTTCACTAACTGGTTAATAATTTCTGTCATACCCCAAACCTCAGCATCATGCAAAATAACTTTGTAACATATCTGTACATGTATGGTTTGATTCTAAAATAAAAACTGAAAAAGAAAAAAATGGAGAAATAATGAAAAACATTTTTCACAATGATGAAACACATTAGTCTGTACATGAAAGTAACTCAGTGAAACTCTTCTAGGATAAGCACAATACAATTCATAACAATACACATTATAGTACCAATGTTGAAAGACAAAGACACAGAGAATTTGGAAGGCATCACTAAAATACTGACTTACTCTATACTAGGAAGCAATAATAAAGGTATTGGCTAAATTTTCATCATTACTAATAGAGGTGGGATGAGAGTGGAATGATATATTTAAATGCTGGGGAGAAAAGTCAGCCACAAATGCTATATCCAGCAAAACAATCATTTAAACGTAAAAGCAAGGTAGAAATGTTCCTTCATACACAAAGACTAATTCATTATAGCATATGTGCCTTGTGGAAAATTCAAGAGAAAATCCTTCAGAATAACAGGGAATGAGAGCAGACAGCAATTCAAATTGATAAGAAGGAATCAAGCCCTCAAAAAATGAAAGAAATAAGAAAGAAGCTACAAAAAATGTTTACCTGATATGAAGATTAAGTACAGGAAAAAAAACAATTATAATAGATGTCACAGTATCAGTTACATTGATTGTGTTTTGAGCAGCAGTTGCTGACTGGGAAGGTGCATAATGAAAGCAGCAAGAGAATTGGAAACCTTCCATATTTTGATGTGGATCATGACATGAAATGATCTGGATTTCGACATTCATTTGCACCCTTAAGATTTGAACCTTTTGCACTGTGTGTTTTTCCTTAAATAAAATAAAATAAAACAAACCTAGGCTCTTTTAAATAAGCCTGAACCAAGAAATAAGAATCACCAAATATTTATGAAAGCTCAACCTTATTAAAGAGAAGTGTAAAACATGCCTGAGAAAGTCCTAACGAACTAGAAATTGGGTAGAGGAAATAGCAGGAAACATCTAAATATGTCCCTTCTGCCACTCAGGAAACAGATTTTACCTCTCTTGATATCCTTAAAAACATAAAATATATTTATGTCATTTTGCTCACAAGAGAGGTCCCCACCTTCTCCTTGGCTCTTTCCACCCCACTGCACCCACCAGGGGATTTGCATGCTGTCCCCTAGGGAAGACCTTCCCTTGTGAGTCTGAGATAAAAGCTCAGCTCTAACCTTGCCTTGACTGATCAGGACTCCTCAGTTCACCTTCCCACAGTGAGGCTCCCTGCTCAGCTCCCTGGGCTGCTAATGCACTGGGTCCCTGCTGAGAGCAGAAGGGAAATGAGGGAGGATGATGGGGTGGGAGGGTGAACTCTGTGGGCCCTGCCACCTCCCATGTGTGTTCTGTCCTCGTGTTAGATGTGTCTTGTCCTCCAGGATGGGGCATGTGATGTCTAGATCTGTGAGAGTGAGGAAGATTCCAGAAGGAGCAAGGACATGTACTTTAGTGAAAGCTGTGACACAGAAAGAGGGGGATGGGATAGGTGATTTCTAGAGGCTTATTTGTGCTTTGCAAATCTTGGTTCTTTTTAAACCTGTATGTTTTGGGAGTATTAACCAAAATCATACACAAAAAATAATTGAGCAAAACATAAATAACAGACAGAAAATTATTAAAATGGCTCACAGTGTTTGTACATAACCTTGCACTTCTCTCTTATTATTTCAGGATCCAATGGAGATGCTGTGTGAACCAGCCTCCACTCTCCCTGCCCATCACCCCTGGAAAGCCAGCCTCTATCTCCTGTAGATCCAGTCATAGCCCCTTTCACAGTAATGGATACACCTATTTGAATTGGGACCTACAGAAGCCAGGCCAGCCTCCACGGCTCCTGATTGATTTGGTTTCCAACAGGGACCCTGGAGTCCCAGACAGGTTCAGTGGCAGTGGGTCGGGGACAGATTTCATGTTTAAAATAAGGAGGATGGATGCTGAGGATGTTGGGGTTTATTGCTGCCAGCAAAGTACACATTATTCTCCCACAATGGTACAGTCCTGAACACAAACCTCCCTGCTTGCTGTGGCCTAGCTGCCCAGATGTGTTGTTTCTGTGGAGAGCAGGCACTGTGGATTCTCTTAGATGCCTAAAGACCAAGATGTTGGAGAACTCAGAGGACTTGGTACAGCTGAGGGCTCATGACCATAAATTTCTCAGCTACACCTCAGGCACCACATTTTAAGTTCCCATCAGCTGCAGCAGCCTTTGCATGACAGAGTCTGCAAAAAGGAGGAGGAACACCTCCCCTTTGAGCAATGAGACACAAGAGAAGAGAAAGCTCAATGAAAGCTCATTCTAAGCCTCTCTTCCTTCCCTACATTCATTCATCAAGTAAATTCGTTCTGCGTAACAGGCACCTAATTGAGACTGACTACTGGCAACGCAAAACTAATACATTCTTTTGATTTGGTTTAGCAGTTACTAGAGTATATGTATGTTGATAAGGTTTGGTAATATTAAAACAGTTTCCCTCCCCTCCTCCACCTCCCCCCACCACTTTTCCGAAGGCAGACCCCTGACCAGGACACCAGCAGGCACTGTATTTTTTCCTACTTTTTTCAGGGAGTACCAAAATATAACTCTTCACGGTCTAGATTTTTAAGTTACTAGATATGTTGCTGCAAATGTATGCAAAACTAAAGACCTAGTGCCAAAAGTCTTTCCACAGTCTCAACCACAGCATGTTGAAGTAAAAAGTAGTTTTCTGAACTCCAAAGCTGGGTTTCAACAATAAGGACCAAGTTTGAAAGAATAAAGGAACATAAATATGCCATCTTAAACAGAATTACAAGATAATATGTAAGCCATATTTTTACCGCATGAAAAATAACCATCTGAAGACTTAGAGCAGAGGTCAGTACGTGAGAGACTGGTGGGTTGCGTTTGAGATATGAACCCAGATGCAAGTTCTTATGTATTTCCTGGGAAGAATCACAGAGTTGAGAGACCCCTGCCTGGCATTCAAGGCTGGGCCCTGACGCCACTGCAAGCTCCTGAGGAAGTGCTGCATCACACAGAGCTCTAGGTCTGTGTGGTGACTCAATGGTTACCTTAGGTCGTATCACACATTCCAGTCAACCCAGCAGGAAATAGATGATCTTCCAAAGGTTGATTCTGCTTGTGTCACTTACCTAGAAATAATTTGAGAGAGAAATTTTAATACACTATATGTGTATTAGGCATTAATAAGTTGAGGATATCTTCTGTATAATAATCTTGCATATTTAGCAAGTTAATATAAGAAAAAATCTATAATTAAACTAATTCAAATGAAAGCATGAATCAAGAAAATCAGAGGAAACAAGACGGTAGGTTTAACCCTAACTTTACAATAATTGCATCGTAAATAAACAAATTTTTCCAAGTAAATCATAAAATTATCAGACAGGATTAAAATCAAAGATGTATGTTAATCATTAAATACACACTATAGTAAGAATATAGAATGGCTTTGAAAATGAAAGGATGAAAAGTACATATCATGTAAAACTGAGCAAAAGAAACTAGGTCATGACTTTAATGCAAGAGATAAAATGGACATTTTATAATTATAAATTGGTAAATCCATCAAGAAGCCATTAAAATTCTAAATCTGTCTGAATCCTGTATTAGTCTGTTTTCACCCTGCTGAAACAGACATACCTGAGACTGGGAAATTTACAAAAAAAGAGGTTTAATGGACTTACGATTCCATAAGCTGGGGGTGCCTCTCAACCATGGCAGAAGGAGGAGCAAGTCACATCTTAACGTGGATGGTGGCAGGCAAAGAGAGAGAGCTTGTGCAGGGGAACTCCTCTTTATAAAACCATCAGATCTCATGAGACTTACTCACTATCATGAGAACAGCATAGAGAAGACCTGCTCTCATGATTCAATTACCAACCACCGGGTACCTCCCACAACCTGTGAGAATTCAAGATGGGATTTGGTTGGGGACACAGCCAAACCATATCACTCTGCCCCTGGCCCCTCACAAATATCATGTCCTCACATTTCAAAACCAATCATGCCTTTCCAGCAGTCCCCCATAGTCTCAACTCATCTCAACATTAACTCAAAAGTTCACAGTCCAAAGTCTTATCTGAGACAAGGTAAGACCCTTCAACCTATGAGCCTGTAAGACCAAAAGAATGATAGTTACTTCCTAGGCCCAATTGTGGGTACAGGCATTGGGTTAATACAGCTGTTCCAAATGGGAGAAATTGGCCAAAACAAAGGGACTACAGACCCCAGACAAGTCTGAAATCCAGGAGGGCAGTTAAACCTAAAGTTCCAAAATGGTCTCCTTTGACTCCATGTCTCATATCCAGGTCGCGCTGATTCAAGAAGTGAGTTTCCGTGGACTTGACTAACTCTGTCCCTGTAGGTTTGCAGAGTACAGCCTCCCTCCTGGCTGCTTGCAAGGGCTGGCGTTGAGCATCTGTGGCTTTTCCAGGTGAACGGTGTAAGCTGTCAGTGGATCTACCATTCTGGGATCTGGAGGACAGTGCCCCTCTTCTCACAGCTCCACTAAGCAGTGCCCCAGTAGGGGCTCAGTGTGGGGGCTCCAACCCCACATTTCCCTTCAGCACTGCCCTAGCAGAGGCTCTCCATGGGCACCCCACCCCTGCAGCAAACTTCTTGCCTGGGCATCCAGGTGTTTCCATACATCCTCTGAAATCTAGGCGAAGGTTTCCCAACCCCAATTCTTGACTTCTGTGCACTTGCAGGCTCAATACCACGTGGAAGCTGCCAAGGCTTGGGTCCTCTGAAGCCACAGCCTGAGCTCTACATTGGCCCCTTTTGGCCATGGCTGGAAGAGCTGGGACACAGGCCAACAAGTCCTTAGTCTGCACACAGCATGAAGGCCCTGGGCCTGGATCACAAAACCACTTTTTCCTCCCAGGCCTCTGGGCCTGTGATGGGAGGGGCAGCCATGAAGACCTCTGACATGCCCTGGAGACATTTTCCCCATTGTCTTGAGGATTAACAACACTGGGCTCCTCATTACTTTTTTAAATTTCTGCTGCTGGCCTGAATTTCTCCTCAGAAATGGGATTTCCTTTTCTATCACATTGGCAGGCTGCAAATTGTCTGGACATTTATGCTCTGCTTATCTTATGTAACTGAATGCCTTTAAAAGCACCTGAGTCATTTCTTGAATGCTTTGCTGCTTAGAACTTTCTCCCACCAGATACCCTAAATCATCTCTCTCAAATTCAAAGTTCCACCAATCTGTAGGGCAGGAGCAAAATGCCACCAATCTCTTTGCTAAAACATAACAAGAATAACCTTTACTCCAGCTCCCAACAAGTTCCTCATCTTCATCTGAGAACACCTCAGCCTGGATTTCATTGTCCATATCATTATCAGCATTTTGGTCAAAGCCATTTAACAACTCTTTAGGGAGTTTCAAACTTTCCCACATTTTCCTGTCTTCTTCTGAGCCCTCCAAACTGTTCCAACCTCTGCCTGTTACCCAGCTCCAAAGTCATTTCCACATTTTTGGGTATCTTTTCAATAGCGGCCCACTCTCCTGGTGCCAATTGACTGTATTTGCCCATTTTCATGCTTCTAATAAAGACATATCCGAGACTGGGCAATTTACCAAAAAAAAAAAAAAGAGGTTTAATTAAGTTACACTTCCATATGGCTGGGGAGGCCTCACGGTCATGGCAGAAGGCAAAAAGTAGCAAGACACAACTTACGTGGATGGCAAAAGGCAAAGAGAGACAGCTTGTGCAGAACTCCTCTTCATAAAACCATCAGATCTCAAGAGACTTATTCCCTATCATGGGACAAACACAGGAAAGACTTGCCCTGAGTATTATGAACAATGTCACATCGGTGGTGATATTGGGAGCAATTTCATCCTCTCCACCACAGGGTACTATGAACAATATCACAAAAGAGGAGTAAATCACCCGTGATATGGAGAATAATATTATCTTCTCCACCACAGGGTATTACAAACAATATTACAGAGGGGGTACACTGCATGTGATATTAGGAGTTATATCATCCTCTCCCTGCCTGGGTATTACGAACAACAACATCATGCTGGGGCAGGGTACAATGCCGAGATATTGGGAGTAATATCATCCTGACAGCCCTGTGTATTACAAACAATCTCATGGCGGGGAGTACGCCACCTGCGATACTAGGAGTAAGATAATCCTCTCCCTCCCAGATATTACAAAAAATGTCACAAGAGGGTGTACACCCCCCACAATATTGGGAGTAATATCATACTCTCCCCTCCTGGATATTACAAACAATAGGACAGGGGCGTGTATACACAAAAAGTTTATGATATTGAAAGTAATATCATCTCCAATCACCCCTGAATATTATGAACAATATCACAGGGAGGTGTACACTCCCTGAGATATTGGGAATAATATCATCCCCTCCTCCCCTGGATATTAGGAACAATGTCACAGGGGTATGTACAACCCCGTGGTATTGGGCGTAATATCATCCTCTCCCCACCTGGATATTATGAACGATATTACAGGGGGGTGTACACAAAAGGTGTTTACGATGTTTAAAGTAATATCATCTCAAATCCCCCCGGATATTAAAAACAATATCACAGGGGGATTTTACACCCCCCACTATATTGGGAGTAATGTCATCCTCTCCCCTCCAAATGTTACAAACAATATCAAAAGGGGGTGTACATTCCCCACAATATTGGAAATAATGACATCTCCCCCCGATTATTACCAAGAATATCACAGGGGGGGCACACCCCCCACGATATTGGGCATAATATCATCCTCTCCCCTCTCTGGATATTATGAACAATATCACATGGTGGTGTACACCCCCCACAATATTGGGAGTATTATCATCCTCTCCCCCTCTGAATATTACGAACAATATCACAGGCGGGTGTACACACAAGGTGTCAACGATATTGAAACTAACATCATCTCCAATCCCCCCCTGGATATTACAAACAATATCACAGGGGGGTGTACACTCCCGGCGATATTGGGAGTAACATCATCCTCTCTCCCACTTCATATTACGACAATATCACAGTGGGTTGTACACCCCCCGCAAAATTGGGAGTAATATCATCCTCTGCCCCCCTGGATATTAAGAAAAATATCACAGGGACGTGTACACTTCCCGAGATGTTGGGAGTAATATTATCCTTTCCCCCACTGGATATTACGAACAATATCACAGGGGGGTGTACACACAAGGTGTTTACGATATTGAAAGTAATATCATCTCCAACCATCCCTGGATACAATGAACAATATCACAGAAGGGTGTACACCCCCCGCAGTGTTATGATTAATATCATCCTTCCCCCCCGAATATTAAGAAAAATATTACAGTGGGGTGAACATCCCCAGCGATATTGGGAGTAATGTCATCCTATTCCCCGCTGGATATTGCGAACAGTATCACAGGGGGCTGTGCATGCCCCGCGATGTTCAGAGTAATTTCCTCCTGTCTCTCCCAAGATGTTATGAACAATATCACAGAGGCGTGCACGCCCCCGCGATACTGGGAGTAATATCATCCTCTTAACTCCTTAACGAACAATATTACAGGGGTGTGTAAAGCCACCGAGATATTGCCAGTAATATCATCCTCTCCCACCCTGGATATTATGGACAATACCAAAGGAGGGTGTACACACAAGTTACTTACGATATTGAAAGTAATACATCTCCTCTCCCCCACTGGACATTATGAACAATATCACGGGGGGTGTACACCCTCCGTGATACTGGGAGTAATATCATACTCTCCTCTCCCGGATATTACGAACAATATCACAGGGGGGTGTACACACAACGTGTTTACGATATCGAAAGTAATATCTCCTCTCTCTCCCTGGATATTATGAACAATATCGTGGGGTGGGGGGGTGTACACACAACGTGTTTACGATATTTAAAGTAACGTCATCCTCTCCCCCCCACCCCGAATATTACGAACAATATCACAGGGGGGTGTACACACAAAGTGTTTACGATTTTGGAAGTAATATCATCTTCCCTTCCCCCACGGATATTACGAACAATATCACAAGGGGGCGTGTACAGCCCGGGCGATATTGGGAGTAATATCGTCCTCTCCCCTCCTGGATATTATGAACAATATCACAAGTTGGGGGTGTACACTCCCCACGATATTGGGAGTAATATCTTCCTCTCTCCCTGGATATTACGAACAATATCACAAGGGGGTTGTACACTCCCCGCAATACTGGGGGTAATGGCGTCCTCTCCAACCCTGGATATTACGAACAATATCAAAATAAGGGGTGTACACCCCCCACGATATTGGGAGTAATATTGTCGTCTCCCCCCAGGATATTATGAATAATATCACAAGAGGGGTGTACACCCCCCACGATATTGGGAATAATATAGTCCTATCCACCCCCCTGCCGGATATTATGAAGAATCTCACAAGGGGGGGTGTAAACCCCCCACGATATTGGTAGTAATGTCATCCTGTTTTCCCCCTGGATATTAAGAACAATAACACAAAGAGGGGTGTACACCTCCCGCAATATTGGGAGTACTATTGTCCTCTCCCCGCTCTGGATATTACCAACAATATCACTATCTTGACTAGTGGTTTTGACAGATCATCAGGCCTTAGAAGAAACACATCTGAAGGATTGGACACAAAGTCACTCTGGAGGAGATATGACTGGACCTTCCAAAAAAGGACCAGTAGAAAAAATAAATCCTTTCCAAGTGAATATTTATCTAAAGGCCATTAGAAGCAGGAGCTCAAAATAATTAAAATAATTCAAAACATGGACTTCATCAGTTACCTTTCCCAGCTTTCCCAGGGAATCTCATGAACTGATGTCATGACTATCCATGCATGGGCTTAACAATATGAATTTCAGTTAACTGGGACTCACGGGGATACTGGCACTTCTGAGCATCCACTTTTCCAAGGAGAATAACCCAAGATTGTACCAGACATCAAGGATCAGACTAACAGCTGGTGTCAGGTGTTTTTAGCAGGCCTCATCCAACATGAGAAGAGCAGCAGTTGTTTTCCTGTATATGCATTTGTCTTTCTTTCAGTTATATGTCTGCATGAAATATTATTTGAGGATTTTCCAAGTGCTTTCATCACAGTTAAGAAATTCTTCCATAATATGGCATTGAATCAGGCAAATTATTTACAACAAAAAAGTAAGGCAAAGGGTGCAGTTCATGATCTTATCACCTGCACAGGTGCAGCCGTCTCTATAGAAAGGAGAAAACGTATTGTTAGTCAAGCAAAACTGACACACAAACCCTAGGTAATTGAATTGATACCCTGTCAGATGTGGTGAAGGTTCTGACACGCTAATCATGTATGATGCTGTAACTTCCATCAAGGAATATATGTATAGTGAAAGTGAGCTGTGTACTCATAGTTAATTATTATGCCAACTGAACAGCTGGAAACATTGGTCGCTGTGGCACCCACTGAATAAAAGGAGACTCAGTGGCAGGTAGGCCCCTTTGCGAATGGGAGACGGCATAAACCTCACCTGGGTGTTCTTTTGGTTCCCTTAGTCAAAATCATGAACAAAGTTGCCAACTTTGAAAAAGGCGTTTTGCAACAGTAGCCTTGGAATCTGTTCAACAAGGCCTGGCCCAGTCACTTCTCTAAGATTTTTACAGCCTGCTAACCAGATGGAAGTCCAGGTATCCACAACCTCTATGCATACTCAGTGGAGCGTATAGCAACAGAAAACTATCAATGAGTGCACCAGCCTCTCAATCTTAGGACACATAAGTTGCCTGAATCAGCCACTGAATGTGTTTATATTGAATGGCAACTCCTTGCTTGCTATTAGGCACTGATGGAGACTGAACATGTTAAGGCTTCAGCACCATGTGTGACTGTGACACTGGTCCCTTAGCTGTCCATTCTCACTTGGATACTTACAAACACCATTAGTAAAACTGAACAATCTGAACAGAGCCATGTTATCAAATGGAAATGGCACATTCTTGATCAGGTTTAGTCAGGACCCCACAGGATCTGTGGCTCCATGAACAAATGGGGAGCTTGCTAGAAGGGACCAAATAACTTGTAGGTGATAATTTGGCTCTTTATTTGCCCATGTGGAGCCCAAGATTCAGAGATTTCCATATGGCAGGAGTCACTGAAGGCTGAGCAAAACGCTAACTGACAGGTCCACTAGGTGTGGCCACCATTCAGCCAGTGGATGGCCACTTTTTTAACTGAAACTTAACATGGGCTTTCTACCCAGTGGGCAAAACTACATTCAGTGGTAATGGCCATGCAGGCTGTCCCAACAACGCACCATGCCACATATCCACTAAATCCTCGGCCATTGCCAACAGCCTTGCCATCTGTTCAGGAAAATGGCAACTGAGAGACTGGACTATTAAAGAATCCCCAGTGTGAAGGAAAGGACTATGGCCACAGCTTTCCACCTGCAGGAAAAAGAAATATGATGCTCAATTTGATGCTGGGACTACCTAGGTAACCCTTGAGTGCAATTTATGTCATATTTTTGGATACTCCATGAGACTTCTCACTCACAAAGGAGCATCTTTCACTGCCCAAGCAACATGACAATAGGCACACTCTCATGGAACACGATGAACTTTCCATGCACCCTGCATCCACAGGCCAATGATCCTAGTGAATGCTAGATCAGTGGAATCACACAGCAATATGCAGAAAGGACATCTACAAAGTCTGTTAATGGGGTGGTATCCCATCTGACTAGAGAAATATGTACATTAAGGATCCTGGGCCACAAAAAGGGAAATAGTGCATGTTGAGAAACACAGAGCTGGGTGGAAGTAAAGGTAGGCCAGGCAGACACTTATATTAGTCTGGACCTGTGAAAGCTATTTCAGTGTTCCTAACCATTCCTTTTCTTTTTTTCCTTTAGAATATATGCTCTGGGGTGGTTTGCAATCTAGGCCATTACAATGCCCCAGACAGGCCCCCTAACTCTAATAGGAGGATTATGTTTCCTCTGGGTGCTTCCTTTCTACAAGATCCCACAGTGATGGATAACAAGACTAAGAAATATCATGGAGCTAGGGGCCCTCTTCTGGTGCCAGGGACATCTTATCCTCCCTTTAGTGTTGGTGATATTATGAAATATGACCAGTTTTTATAGGGCAGAATCTCCCTTCCTGGAGTGGACAATCAGGACTGAAATATCTGGATCAAGTGACAAAGGCAATGGATTGTTCACAGAGCAAGGACAGCCAGACCGCATTCCTACACCAACACGGCCCAACCCTTGTAGATGGGTAGGGGACACCTGAGACCCTGGGATGGGTGAGAGATGATGCATTAACCTGTGAGGCTGCATTTTGACAAGAATGAGGCAGCAAAGGCCTAGAAGCACAATGTCTTTGTTAGCTTCTTTTAGGTCACCAGGGTGATCTTTCAAAATAGTGAATCTCCCATTCTTGACCTCATTCTGTCATTAACTAGAGGTTCCCTTTCATTCCACCAAGGGTAAATTACACCAACATTCCTAATACTAAGGTGTACATCAAAAGGACCCAAGCACTGGCCCACGAAGTGAGAATCTGACACCTGCCACATGGGAGGAAACTGGAGGACCCCTGTTTAACTTAATTGCCTCTGGCGAATGTCATGACCACAACTAAAAAAAACATTGGTGGACTAATATTTTGATGCACCATACTTTTTTGATTGCATAGATGAGAAACATCCCAATGGCAATGATAAAAACAAGGACTGGACTAATGCTAGCCCTCTGTCTACAGACAATATTGTATGAGCAAAACTTTGCTCACGCAACTCTACTATCAGTGAGACTTGGCTAATGAACGCACCAATACCAGCATAACCATGACTGAGTGATTGAAGAAAAATGGGAAAAGGGGGGCTGTATGCACCCAAGGGCTACATCTTTCTCTGTAAGCGGTTTGGGAGTGACCAAAATGCAGGATATGTGATGCCATCTCTGGATATCTGTGGAATAGTGAGATCCTGCATGTTGGGCATGCTGGGGTTGTCTCTGGATATTGTTCCTTGGAATTAGGTAAATCATAGAGCCTGAAGCCCAAAGCTGTACCTCAGACTTACTAGGGACCTACCAGAAGGTACAACAGATGATAGGTTTATGTCTTTTATGATATTTTTGGTACTACGTATAGGAGTCAGTGCTCATGAAAAAAAGTGAAATGATAAGGAACTTGTCCCTGACCATGGCAGATATTGCTCCTCCTCCATAGCCACTGCCTTGGTAACCCAGCAGACATCCCTTAACTCCATTGGGATGGATGTTTAAGATAACAGTGTTGCTCTAGACCTTTAAAAAATCCCAACTGGGAGGAATGTATACAATTTCCAATACCCCCTGCTATACCTGGATAAACACCTCAGGTATCCTAGAAATTCAAGTAGAGGAGATCTGGAAACAAGCTCATAATTGCAGAAAATGGATTCTGCAGATTCAGAAAATCCCACCTGAAGGATTCTTCTTTCACCCCTTTAGCAACTTCTTCTGTGGATCATGGGATCCTGGGCTACATAACTGCTTCAGGTGGGCCTGATCATTCTGCCTCTGGTAGTAGTTTTCATTGGCCCAGTGAAATCTTTTCTGGCTCTGTCTCAATGATGTTGCTTTGAGATTGTGTCAGTCAAGGTGCTTCATCCCTCTGACAAGACACACCTCTGCCTCCAGTTCACGGTGGTTGGTAGGCATATAAAATGGAATAGCTTTCTACGGGGGATGTCTGTGTTGGGGGACGACTTCACTCCAGTCCTCCGATGGTCCTGGACTCACTTGATTTTCCCCACTCTCTTTCTTACACTTCTCAAGAATAATTGTAGAATGTGCTGGAAATGTAACATTCTGAAATAGCGAGGGACAGGTCAGAACAGACTGGCTTCTGATCCAGCTCCCTCTAGTACTGTCCTCCTGTACTTAAGTCCTCCAGTACTTTAGCTCCATGTGTCCTGTGACACCAGGGTTTAAAACCCAGAGCATCTTCTTTCTGGGGTTCCTTAGCTCTGGTCCAAGAGGGGTACACACAGTCAAGATTCCATCAGCCCCACTTACCTGTGCCTCAGGGTAAAGACCCACAATAAATCCTCAGCTTCTGCCGTGCCTTGCTGGCCACCTGTAAATACTAAACTAGATTCTTGTAACTTGTTGTGTATGATTGTTCTGTCTCCCTGGACTCTGACAGGTTGGTAACCAGGGCACAGCAAACCTGTTTCACAGCAGTCACTGTCATAGAGACAGAACTTGATTACAGGTTGCCAGGGACTGGGAGCAGGGGAAACGGGGAGGGGGTTGTCATTTAATGGCTATGGAGTTTCAGTTCTGGAAGATGGAAAGAGTTCTGGAGATGGATATTACTGATGCTAGCCCAACAATGTGACTATACTTAATGCCATTGTCCTGTACACTTGAAAATGGCTAAGATGGGCAATTTTATGTTCTCTATACTTACCATAGTTTAAAAACTTCACATCTTTATTATGATATTATTGGATCAGAAGGCATCGTTCTATTTTCTAATTTTCTCAGCAAATGTTAATAAATAATCACTTAGAGATGCCATTGTTTACACCACATCTTAACAAACAGTGTTTTTTTTCTAGAGATGAGGGGGTCTCCCTATGTTTTCCAAGCTGGTCTTGAACTCCTAGATTTCTGCTACCCTCCCTACTTGATCTTGCAAACATCTAGGATAACGGGGATAAGTCCCCGCACCTGGTCTTAACTATCAGTTTACCAGGAGGTTTAACAGGGAACTTCCTTGAAAATGTGTATTCCATTGCAGCCACCTCTAAGGCCAGACAATCTACTAAGCTATATTTCTGCACCCAAGTGCACTGCTCCCTCTGTGATGCCACATGCCCTCAGCATGAAGTCCCATAAGGAGAACAAGGCAAGGAGGCAACCAAATGTTCTGAGTGGAAATTATTGTGAAGGGCTGGCATTAGAAGAGCATCAGTATTGCAGTGCTACTTGACTAGCAAAACACTCTCTGGCTTATGTTGCTGGATATTTTTTTCCTCAAACTTTTGCTAATACTGAATACTAGGGTTGATATGAGAACCTTACTATGCTAAGTCTAGTTAAATGCCATTTCATTGAAGATATATTGCTTTATGGAATATAATAAGTATTGAAAATACTTATTACTACTCCAACACTCCCTTTATATATCATGTTACCATCCTAAACATTATGGCTTGATAAAAGTGTTTGATAGGGAACTAGGACAGTATTGATTCTGTTCTCAATGTCCTGTAACACATCAATTCCCCAAATTGACAAGAAAATGGGAAGAAAAACATAGCTTAATAATCACTAGCTATTCTGGTTACTGTTGAGTAACAATTAGGTGAAATCTTAAAAAAAATTGAAATATTTTGGAGGGTGTGGAGCTATAATAAGTTATTGGTGGACATGTAAAATATTATAGCCACTTTGGGTAAAGTCGGACAGAGTATTAAACACTTACTGATAAACACAGCAACTACACGCCTAGGTATTAGCCCAAAAGAAATGAAGACATATGTTCATGCAAAGTCTTGTTCAAGAACATTCACAGCAACTTTATCCATAATAGCCCAAAATGGAAACAACCCACACGGCAATCAATAGATGAAGGGATCCATCATAAAATTACTGAACAGTTAAATAATACTCAAAAATAAAGAGGAGCACATAATTAGAACACAGGACATCTGAATGAATCTGAGAAAGAGTCATGCTGCACAAAAGTCACCAGACACAAAAGAGCGCATCCTATGTTTCATTTATGTGAAACTCTTACAAGGAAAATGAAATCTGTACTGACAAGAAGCAGATCAAAATTCCCTGATCTGTGAGGCAGAAAGCAAGTTGATTCCAAAAGAGTGGGTCAAAATGTTTTGGAGCTATAGAAATGTTCTATGTCTGGATTTTGGATGTGGTTCTAAAGATGTATTTATTTGTGACAGTTCATTGACAATGTGTTTTATTGTAATCATTTTTTTTTTACAGTGAACTTAGTTAACAGCGAGCAAAGCAAGTGTAAGGCCAATTGGGTAGTGTTGTCTTCACATCTTCTGTCTTGCAGTGTACTGAAAATTGTATGAGCCAGAATATCTGAGAGATAATCTCTGCTTTGAAACTGAAGAACTGTGTATCTCATGGCAAGATTTCTCTTTTCCAAGTACTTTGGATTTTTCTTCTATAGAATGAGAATTTAAATACACTTCACAGATAAAGTCAAAGTGAATAAAATACCTAGGAATCCAACTTAAAAGGGATGTGAATGACCTCTTCAAGGAGAACTACAAGCCACTGTTCAACGAAATAAAAGAGGACACAAAACACATAGAAGAACATTCCGTGCTCATGGATAGGAAGAATCAATATAGTGAAAATGGCCATACTGCCCAAGGTAATTTATAGATTCAATGCCATCCCCATCAAGCTACCAATAACTTTCTTCACAGAATTGGAAAAAACTACTTTAAAGTTCATATGGAATCAAAAAAGAGCCCGCATTGCCAAGACAATCCTAAGCAAAAAAAAAAAAAAACAAAGCTGGAGGTATAACACTACCTGACTTCAAACTATACTACAAGGCTACAGTAACCAAAACAGCATGGTACTGGTACCAAAACAGAGATTCAAACCAGTGGAACAGAACAGAGGCCTCAGAATTAACACCACACATCTACAGCCATCTGATCTTTGACAAACCTGACAAAAACAAGAAATGGGGAAGTATTCCCTATTTAATAAATCGTGCTGGAAAAACTGGCTAGCCATATGTAGAAAGCTGAAACTGGATCCCTTACTTACACCTTATACAAAATTTAATTCAAAATGGATTAAAGACTTAAATGTTAGACCTAAAACCATAAAAACCCTAGAAGAACACCTAGACAATACCATTCAGGACGTAGGCATGGGCAAGGACTTCATGACTAAAACACCAAAGCAATGGCAACAAAAGCCAACATAGACAAATGGGATCTAATTAAACTAAAGAGCTTCTGCATGACAAAAGAAACTACCATCAGAGTGAACAGGTAATCTACAGAATAGGAGAAAATTTTTGCAATCTACCTATCTGACAAAGGGCTAATATCCAGAATCTACAAAGAACTCAAACAAATTTACAAGAAAAAAAACAAACAACCCCCTCAAAAATTGGGCAAAGGATATAAACAGACACATCTCAAAAGAAGACATTTATGCAGCCAACAGACACATGAAAAATGCTCATCATCACTGGTCATAAGAGAAATGCAAATCAAAACCACAGTGAGATATCATCTCACGTCAGTTAGAATAGCAATCATTAAGAAGTCAGGAAACAATAGACGCTGGCGAGGATGTGGAAAAATAGGAAAGCTTTTACACTGGTGGTGGGAGTGTAAATTAGTTCAACCATTGTGGAAGACAGTGTGGCAATTCCTTAAGGATCAAGAACTGGAAATACCACTTGACCCAGCAATCCCATTACTGGGTACCTACCCAAAGAATTATAAATCATGGTACTATGCACACGTATGTTTATCATGCCACTATTCATAATAGCAAGACTTGGAACCAACCCAAATGTCCATCAATGATATAATGGATTAAGAATATGTGGCACATATACACCAAGGAATACTATGCAGCCATAAAAAGGATGATTTCATGTCCTTTGCAGGGACATGGATAAAGCTGGAAACCATCATTCTCAGTAACCTATCACAAGGAAAAGAAACCAAACACCTCATGTTCTCACTCATAGGTGGGAATTGAACAATGAGAACACTTGGACACAGGGTGAGGAACATCACACACTGGGGCCTGTCATGAGGTCGGGGGCAGTGGGAGGGATAGCATTAGGAGAAATACCTAATGTAAATGATGAGTTGATGGGTGCAGCAAACCAATATGGCACATATATCCCTATGTATCAAGCCTGCACGTTGTGCACTTGTACCCTAGAACTTAAAGTATAATAAAAAAAATTATATTTTGAGACTCATAGCAATTGCCCTCGTTCTGCAAACATTTCTAGAGGTAGCAGGCCAGTGGTGCTCACAGCAGTGTCTAGCATGCAGTATCTGTTCTATTGTTCATGAAAATTGTCTCACATAGTCTAGCAGTGGGCAGCAGCAATTAGGTGTTGACATCATTTCCCTGAGTCTTGTTTAATAGACTCCTTAATAAATCATTTTCCTACTATTAAATATAAATTTTGCAGATATTTAGAGATAATTGGCTTATGATAATTGCAATTAAGGAACCTTGAGGACATGTTAGAAATCACAAAGTTTAGGATATTTTGCAAATGTTATGCTTCCAATAGCTAGGTTACCCTAAAACCTCTCTTACAAAGTATGCTTCCCAAGATGTTCCCAGGGGTCACAGGACTAGTCAATGCCAGTAAGTACAGGACAGATTTCACACTCAGTACAAGTACCTGATATTTGAGGAAACTAAAGATGCCAGAACACCCTAGCAGAACCCTCTCCCCAGTGAATCACACAATTGTATAATCTACCTCCACAGAGAACAAGCGGAACCTAGACTTGCTTCTAATCCATATGATATGTCATAGGTTATGAGATGTCTTTCCAATGATTGTATTCGATAAGCCTCTGTCATAGCAGACTGGAAAGAGACACTCTCTGAAACCTTCTGCTGACCATGAACAAGCAACCAGCCATGTGGGCATTGCCTGTGTGAGCATCACATGGCAGGGAATTGTCCACAGCCTCTTGGAACTAAGAGCAACCTTGAGCCAAGAGCCAGTTAGAAATTGAAGCTCTGAGTCATAGAAATGCTAAGGAATGAGCTCTGCAACTACCTGAAAGAGCTCTAAAGTATCTATGTTCTCAGGGGACTCACAGGTGAGAATGAAGCCCAATCTACACTGTGGCACATTCTTGTGAAATCCAATGGCCAGGACCCGACAAAGCCATGTGCCGACTGCTGACTCAGAAATTGAGAGATGATAAATGGGTGTAGTCTTAAGCTGATAAATTTGTGGTAATTTGTTACATGGCCATAACAAACTTAGCACACATTTTAAGAACAAATAGTAGACCGAAGAGCAGCCATGCCACTGACATTGACTGTAGATGGGCACAGTCTTATTCTCATTGTGACCTTAGGGTTTCCAAGCACTGTGAGAGAGAGGAAAGCTTCGATGTGCAAGCCCTTTCCAAGACTCCACTTGTGTCACATCTGCTATTATCCTATTGGCCTGAGCAAGACACATGGGCAACACCTGCATCCATTTAGAATGAGGCCAACCAAAGGATGAGTACAGGGAAGGGATTTATTGTGGCTAATTGTGCAAGTAGTTTATCCATAAATTTTTTATCATTATTTGCTGAGAAATACCCTGACAAAAAGAAACCTCTTTAAAAGGCTTAAAGGTTTTAGGTTGTAGGTTCATTCATTGTAGCGTTCTGCTTTATATCCAAGTATAAATAATTGAGAACTCCTTCAAATTGTTATTTCCATGATGGTTTATTTTCCCCATACCTTTATAGGTAATTTTGGTCCTGCAATGTGCTAGCCAAGTTTAATGTGCAGAGCTGACCATTTGCACAATGTGACTGACATGCCACTGCACCTTGAATGTGGACCTTGACTTGTGGTGATCTATGAGAATCTGCTTCTCAAAAGAATGTATTTGTCACCCCTTTGATCTTTATCCTGTCTGAATACACACACTTCTCTATTGTTCCATGGCTAATCTGTATGTTGTCTCTATTAACTCACTCTTGCCATAAGTGACTAAGAGCACCTAACACAGAAATAATAAATACAACCAGTTCTGAAAATTAAAATTAGTTAAATAGCATAGGGACATTATAGAAAAAAATGTATAACTATCTTAAGTATAAAGAAAATGAAGTCTTCGTATTTTGCAAAGAAGCTGTGTGAACGCTGTGTCTGCAGGTTTCAGCCCCAGGGTGGGCCCCTGCCTTTCCTGTGACTGAGCATATTGCCTTTCTCATACCTGCAGTCATCCAGTGAAGTGACAGGATGGGCTGAGCTGAGCTGTACTGTTGGGCCACCCTGGGGAGATCTTGGTTATATAAGATGCATTTCAGAGGATAACAATAACTGCTAACAGCAATAAATGACAGCAGTTCAGCTTTGTTCATGTAGAATTTCTCCCAAACAACCCACAATGAATAGACTTGAACCCCAGAGTTGATCTGGGAACAAACCTAATACAGATTGGGGAATAGGACCCATCTTCCTGACCCATGTAAACCGATACCAAAAGTTGTCCAACCTGCACATCAAACCAGCTTCCAGATAGGTTAAAGAAGTCACATCAGACCATCCAGTCACAAATGAACCACAGGGTAACTGCAGACACAAGAGCGGACTCAGCAGAGATCAGTCCAGCCAGCCCAGAATGGAAGAACCACAGAGCTGACCCTCAGAATTATAAGGAGCTGTACAGTCAGCTCTCTATCCATGGGATCTGCATCCATGGATTCAACTAATCCTGGATCAAAAATATTTTGAAAAAAAAATCCACAAAATTCCAAAAAGCAAAGCTTGACTTTGCCATGTGCTGAGTAACACTTGGATGAATCTACACAAGTTAAGTCATGTGTAGACATCGTACTAGGTACTATAAGGAGGCTAGAGATGGTGTGAAATGTACGGGAGGATATGTGTAGGTTATATGCAAATATTGTGCATTTTACATAAAGGTTTTGAGTCTCCAAAAATTGGAATATCTGCAGGGTGCCCTGGAAACTATTTCCCATGGATACTGAGGGAGGACTGTACATACTCATTTTATGGCATTTTGTTTGGAGCTGGTTTGTTTTCAAAGAAGAGTTAATAATACAACCTGTTTTTGTGAACAGGAGCCAATAGAGTTAAGTGATAGTGTAGTCCCATTTATTGCAATTTTTTTGTGACTGCAAAGTCTATTTGCTTGTTTTTTAAAAAAGATAAGAATACTCTTACCTGATTATCATGGACTTTGGATGTCTTCCTTATCTCCCCAGCAAAATACAAACTATGAAGAGCAGCACACTGACTATGAAGAGCTGACTATGAAGAGCAGCACACTGCTATTCAAACTTCTCATTACTCAGAATAATCCATGTTTTACATTCAGTGGGTTGTTTTCAATGTGTATAGGTTAAGAGTGTTGATTATGTCTTGGAGAGTTTCTTATTAACTTTTCATTATTCATTCATTCAATAAAGTGTTAATTGAGCAACTATGCTGGTCCAGGAACGTATCTAGGCTGCACCCCTGAGAAAGTCAGTGTCTGACTCTCATTTACCTATATCTTTTCTGGTGAAAAAAAGGCCATGTCTAATTAAACATAAATCAACAAAAAGATTCTAGAAAAAGTTAAGGGTCATAAAGGAAAAAAATGGCAAGGGAAGAGGAAGTGGTTAATGAGGAAAAGGAGTCAGTTAGTTAGGGAGGTAGAGGCTACTTTTTCTGAGGAGGTGACTGACCTGGATGAGGAGAACAACTGACCTGAAGAGAAGTTTCTGAAGGGCACTGAGGTTCATGACAATCAAGGCGCTTAGAAGGAATACAGTATGAACGTGTGAAGGACAGAGAAAGGCACTATGAGGAGAGTGACTTAACTGAGGTAAAAAAGAGAAAGTTTGTGAGGGGGCAGGTCAGAGACATTTTCTCTCAGTGTCTTAAAGATCACCACATGTGACTGATGTGAAATTAATAAGGCCTTCATTTTCTGTTTGGGGAGCAAATGTTTTGTAGGTACAGCAGGACATTCTGGGAATTTTTTTAACCAAAGTACCCCCATGGTCATATTTATTTTTTAGCAAAGTAATGACTCGAATTGGGCTGTGAGAAGCAGAAGAGATGCTTATCTGGGCAAAGTGGATCCTGGCATTAACTAGTTTTGGGGCAGTGAAGATTGTTGGAGACATAGGCAGATGATACCATATTTTTAAATCAATGTCATTTACACTCCTTGGTGTGAGAAGAGTCAGATTAGGAGTGACCTGGCAGCTTTGGCCTTAATCTATTAGATAGATTCTGACTTACTGATGTTAAATGTATTAGCGGCCAAGAAAGTTGAGATAAAATGAAAGGAGTTTGTTATTTTTGCTCAATTCTAGATTGAGACACCAATGAACATGCAGATTAAGTGGGCAGGTTTGCAAGTGAGTGGAGTTTGAGCTCAGAGAAAAGAAAATACGCATAGGTATTCAGCAGCGCTTACAGGGTAATTTATGGTATTAAAACCACGTGTATGAATATGCATCTGCACATATTTATGCCTGTGTATGCATGTAGATAAACATATGCATATGAGTATTTTTCAGAAAATAAAAGGGATAAAACCAATAATCTCCGCTTCCACCTTATGAAACTACATAAAGAGGAGCAATTTATATCTGAAGTAGAACATGAGCAAAATAAATAATAAATATTAGGGCAGAAATCAATAAAACTGCAAACAGAAAAAGTGACACTGAACACCAGGCAGACCAAAGGCTGGTTCTTTGGAAAGAACAATATTGTATAGTTCCCATATATTTGAAAATTTGGGGGTTACATTTTCAATATTGATTTCTAGTTTGATCCCTCCATGGTCAGAGAACACATTCACTGTGATTTTAATTATTGCAAATATGTTGAGAGGTTATGTGGGCAGGATATGTCCTATCTTGGTATATGTTGTGGGCACTTGGAAGAAAAAAATGTGAACTTCTATTGTTATGGGTTGGAGTGTTCTATAAATGTCAGTTAGATCTCGTGGGTTGATGATATTGTTGAGTCCTAAATCCTTGCTGATTTTCTGTCCAGTTGTCCTATCGAAGATTAACAAGGGGTTTTGAAGTCTCCGTGTGCAATTGTTTTGTTAGTTTCTGCCACATGCACTATATCGCTCTTTTGCTTGGTGTCTACGCACTTAGAACTGCTCTGTCTTCTTTCCAAAATGACTTTCTTCATTATGTAATGTACCTTTCTGTCCCTGGTAACATTCTTTGGCTCTGTAGTCTACTTTATCTGATATTAGTATTTGCTACTGATTCTTTTTATTAATGTTTGCATAGTATACCATTTTCCTTCCTTTTATATTCAATCTACTTATACTGTTATATTTGATGTGAGTGTCTTGTAGATAACATACAGTTGGGACATTTCTTTTTATTCATCAATTGTCTTTTTCAAAGTTTCATAATTTGCATATTTAATATATTGATATTGATATATTAAAATTTAAGTCTGCACTCTACTTTTTTGCTGTATCTTTTTTTGCTTCTCTGTTTTCTTTTTGCTGCCTTCTTTTGGGTTACTTGAACATCTTTACAATTTCATTTTAATTTTGCCTAATTTTGGGGTATCTCTTTTTATAATGATTTTCAAATTGGTTGTCATAGTATTTCCTTTATATGCATAGCTTCTCACAGTATGTTGGCATCAATATATTACCATTTAAAATAAATATAGAATTTTACCTTTTTTATGTCATGTTTCCTCCCCCATTGTAAATAGATTGTTTTTTAAAAGTAATTTATCTGCATATATTAGGAAAAAAACAGTATTACAACTTTGATACAACTATCACACATGATTTAGCAATGCATTATATCCATCTATCTTCTCATTTTTGTAGCCTTTTGTCCCTAACATTATTTAATATCCTCTCTTTATCTTTAGTTTTATCTTCCTAGGGCTCATTTTGCCTATGTTTAAAGTGGATCTGTTGGCAGCAAATACTCTTAGTTTTTCTACAACTGAGGACTTCTCAATTTGTCCTTCATTTCTAAATAATAATTTTACTGGACATAGGATTTTAGGGCAGCAGATCTTTTCTTTAAATACTAGAAAATATGTCATAATTGACACCAGATGACAAGGTGGAAATATTTCCAAGAACAGAGGACAACCATGCTCTCAGTGAGGTGAAAGACATCTCTTCCCCTTGCATTAGTTTCCAATGCTGCTGTTTAAATCACCACAGTCTTATTGGCTTCACACAAATAAAATATAGTACCCCGTGTCAGAAGTCTCACTGAGCTAATGTTAAGGTGTCAGTAGGGCTGTAATCTGTCACACATGTGTGTGTGAAGAGACAACCAAGCAGGCTTTGTGTGAACAATAAAGCTTTTTAATCACCTGTGTGCAGGCTGACTGAGTCCGAATAAGGAGTCAGCAAAGGGAGATAGGGGTGGGGCAGTTTTATAGGATTTGGGCAGGGTAGTGGAAAATTACAGTTAAAGGGGGTTGTTCTCTTGTGGGCAGGGTCAGGGGTCACAAGGTGCTTTGTGGGGGAGCTCCTGAGATTCATTTTCCAGGAGAAGGAATGTCACAAGGTTAATTGATCAGTTAGAGTGGGGCAGGAACAAATCACAATGGTGGAATATCATCGGTTAAGGCAGGAATTGGCTATTTTCACTTCTTTTGTTGTTCTTCAGTTGCTTCAGGTCATCTGGATGCATACATGCAGGTCACAGGGGATATGATGGCTTAACTTGGGCTCAGAGACCTGACATTCCTATCTTCTTATATTAATAAGAAAAAACAAAATAGTGGTGAAGTGTTGGGGTGGCAAAAATTTTTGGTGGTGGTATGTAGAGAGAATGGGCATTGTTTCTTAGGGCTGCTTCGAGTGGGATTAGGGGTGGCATGGGAACATAGTGTAGAAGATATTAAACTGAAGAAAGATTTTCGGGTAAAGGGTGGTATTGTGGGGTTGTTATAAGGAGCATTTGCCATATAGAATGATTGGTGATGGCCTGGATGCGGTTTTGTATGAATTGAGAAACTAAACGGAAGACACAAGGTCTGAATAAGAGAAGGAGAAAAACAGGTATTAAAGGACTAAGAATTGGGAGGACCCAGGACATCCAATTAGAGAGTGCCCAAGGAGGTTCAGCATAATTATTTGCTTGGTTGGTGAGTTTTTGGGCTCTATCCTTGAGTTTTTTTATGTTGTCATATACCAGGCCAGATTGATTTAGGTAAAAACAATACTCTTCATTTAAAAATACACAGAGTCCTCCTTTTTCAGCGGCAAGTCAAGGCCTTGGCAGTTTTGGAGGACAACCACAGCTAAAGATTCAACCTGGGCCTGAACAACTGATAAAGTTTGTGATATGTCTGCGATGCTAGCAGAGAAGTCATTAGAAAGGCTACGGAAGGTTGTGACAGAGGTTGAAATGCCTGCTATTCCAGTTCTGAGAGCAATAGTGGAGGCAGAAAGTCCTAAACTGACAAGTAAGGGAATTAGTGGAATAACACTTTTTTATCGTGTCGGTTTCATGAGGGGAACAGGAAGCTGTTTGGTCCCATTTGCAAATTGAATCTAGGGACTTAGGAAAAGTAGTGTGCATGTGCCTGTCCAATTAGCAGATAGACACATGTAGGTAGAGAATCCACAGAGGAAGAAGAGACCTTGTGCAAGGCAATACCAGAGCTGCAAAGTGAAAAGATGAGAAGGAGTACTAAAAGAGGTGTATTGTACCCAGACTCCTAGGGATCCAGCTAGCGCGGCAGCCGTCAGAGGTTGTAATGGGGACTGATGGGGTAACCGCATAGAGGGGAAGGTTCGATTTTCATGGTGTAAGAGAAAGTGTCGAGTGTCTATGAGCAACCTTTCACTGTTATTTACGGGGCTGGGTATAAGCAAACAAGAAGAGGGCCTGGGAGGAGAGTCTGAAGAGCAAGGGGAAGGCAGCAAAGGATGGAGTGAAATACAGGGTAATGTCTTCCTAAGCAATAATAACTGCTAATGTTTTTAAGTTTGTCAGTACTGATAGAGGGCTTATCTGTAATATGGAGCTGGAAAGCCACAATTGTTTCAGTGGTATGTGTAGCTGGGCTTTGGAGATCAAGAGTGAAGGAACATCGAGAAGATGCAAGGTTACCCAGGGGAATTCCAGTGGGTATTTGCCAAGAGATACATAAAGGAGCAGCCACAAGAATAGCAGCTTGTGTTGTGAGGGGTCTAAATATGGGGGGAGTAGAGTTGATATAAGGAGAAAGGTTTTTTAAGTAAGTGCGAAGAAGGGCAGCAGCTTGCTGATGTGAAATGTCTGGGGAGGTCTTCCTGGACCTGTCTAGAAAGTAAAGAAGTTCTTCAGGAGGGTAAAGGTGAGGGCTGTTAAAGGAAGTTCGGAGATGTACGGAGACAGGAGATGTTGCCCAGTAGGTATGTAAGGCAGGGACAGCTTTGTAAGCGCAGGAAGAAAGGGAAATGCAAAGCCAGCAATTGTTCACTAAGGAGGGATTAGAAATGGCTGGGAGAGAGTGAGTGAGACTGATAGTGTAGTGGAGATAGTTGGGGAGAGGGAGAGGGTGGCATAAGAATGGGAATGAGAATAAGAGTGAGTATAAAAAAAAAGAATAGGACTTCATCATGGTGAAAATATTGGAGTGTGCCCTGCCAGCAAAGATCATCTATCCACTCCAAGAGGGAGTCAAGAGTGGTGGTTTGGCAATAGGGCCAGGAGATATCAGCTGTGATGGTTTGGAGAAACAGTGTAAACCGGCAGTATAAACAAGAGCAGGGCATTTATGAGTAGTTGAGAATGGTGAATAGGAGTATGACTAGACAGAAGATAGTAGGGATGACAAGTTTTGGGGCACAGTCCAAGTAGTGGGGGTGACTGTGTAAAGCCCTGTTGCAAAAAGTAGAGTAAGGATGAATAGACCTAATAGAATGAAGGAACATATTAGGTTCATAAGGGTTATTACTGTTTTCAGAAATGTGAGTGAGTTTAAGGGAAGTAGTGGAGAGTACTTGCAACTTCCAGGAGGAAGAGGAGAGATCAGGCTTGCTGTCCGATGGACACAGCTTTATTCCGGAATGGTGAACCCAATGGGGAGGGTCCTGCAGATGGACAGCAGTTGGGGTGCTATAGATGACTAGATAGGGTCCAGTCCATCGAGGCTGTAGAGTTTGAGGGCTCAGACCCTTAACAAGAACTGATCGTTCAGCTAGGGTGTCTTCATATGGCTGGGAATCTGGAGTAGGAAAGAGAAGATTAGCAGTCGGGCGAATTTCCTGTCTAGCCTGCTGGAGGACTGGAAGATAGTTGTCCAGAGGGCTGGTGTCTGGAACAAGGTTGGGGCCAAGCAAGAAAGTAAGTCCATATAAAAGTTTAAATGGACTGTACCCTGTAGCATCTTGAAGGCAGGCTCTACTTCTGAGAAGGGCAAGTGGTAGAAATACTGTCCAGTCCCTTTTAAGTTGGAAGCTGAGCTTGGTGAGGTGTGTTTTTAAAAGACCATTACTCCTTTCTACCTTTCCTGAAGACTGAGGATGGTAGGGGGTATGAAGTTTCCACTGAATATCAAGAGCTTGAGAGACAGCTTGGAGGATTTGACTAATAAAAGCCAAACCATTGTCAGATTGAATAGAAGTAGGGAGGCCAAATCAGGGAATTATATCTGTTAGAAGGGAAGAAATGACTGCAGTAGCCTTTTCAGAGATAGTGGGAAATGCCTCAACCCACCCAGTGAAGGTGTCAATCCAAACCAGGAGATATTTAAATTTACAGATATGGGGCATATGAGTGAAGTCAATCTGCCAATCTTGTGTTGGAGTAAATCCACGAGCCTGATGCGTAGGAAAAGGAGGAGGGCTGAGAAAGCCTTGGGGGCTGGTGGCATGGTAGACGAGCATTGAGAGGTGACTGTCTTAAGGATGGATTTCCATGAAGAGAAGGAGATGAGGGGCTGCAGGAGGCGAGCCAGAGGCTTGTATCCCACATGGAAGTGGTCATGAAGGAAAGAAAGCATGGACTGAGCTTGTGAGGCAGGAAGAATGAATTTTCCATGATTTAAGAAGCACTTTCCCTGAGTTGGAAAAGACTAGTAGAGCAGGCTTTCAAAAGAGTAGGTGGTAGTGATAGATAAGGAAGAAAAATACTGGTCCTCTGGAGTGGGAGCTGGAATATTAGCGGGTGTGGAGGCATTGGTTATTTCTTTTGCTGTCCTGTCGGCATAGGCATTTCCTTTTGCAATAAGATGAGTAGGTTTCTGGTGTCCTTTACAATGAATGACTCCAGGCTTGGCCAGCAGGAGAGCAGCCTTAAGGAGGGCCTTTATTAGGGAGGCATAGATAATGGAAGAGGTTTGTGTGGTAAGGAAGCCTCTTTTAGCCCAGATGGCAGCATGGTTATGGAAGATGTGGAAAGCATATTTGGAGTCAGTATAAATGTTAATGTGCATTCCCTTAGCGAGAGAGAGCACATGAGTTAAAGCAATCAGTTTGGCTTGTTGGGAAGTGGTGGAGGGAGGAAGAGCAGCAGTTTCAATAATAGAGATGTGGGACATGACAGCATATCCAGCTTACCTGGTGAAAATTGATTGGGTGGTCTGGATTTTGAATTCGAAGAATAGAAATACAAGGAAAGGAGGAAGATGCTATGTGTATTAGGGAAATACAGTCACGTGGTTCAGGACTTGTGTTGGTTACTAACTGAGAAGCTGGGTTGAAATCGTGCCCATGGCCAATAGTTACTGTTGGGGTTTCAATAAAAGAATAGAGCTGGAGGAGTCGAGGGGCAGACAGTAAGTGTGAAAGGTGTGAGGAGGATATTAATGCTTGAAGGTTGTGAGAACTGTAGAGGGTAAGTGGAGCATAGCTTGTGATTTTGAGGGCTTCCAGAAGTATTACAGCAGCAGCTGCTGCTGCACGCAAATATGAGGGCTGCACCAGAATTGTGAGGTCAAGTTGTTTTGATAGAAAGGCAACAGGTCGTGGGCCTGGCTCCTGTGTGAGGACTCCAGCAGCGCAGCCTTGTATTTCAGCTGTGTGTAAGGAAAAAGCATGGGACGAGTTGGGGAGTGCTAGTGTGGGAGCTGTCTCCAGGGCCTTTTTGAGAGAGCAAAAAGAACAATGGGCAAAAAACTTAGGGTCTATGGGATCAGTTAAGTTACCTCTTGTGAGCTTGTAAAGTGGTTTTGTTAGGATAGCAAAGCCTGGTATCCAGAGTCGGAAATATCCAACAATGCCTAAGAAGGAAAGGAGTTGTTGTTTTGTGGTGGGGATTCGGGTCTGGGAGATTAACTGAGCACAGTCTGCAGGAAGGGCATGTGTATGCTGATGGAGGATTATACCGAGATAGGTAACACTAGGGGAAGAAATTTGTGTCTTGGAGGGGGATACTCGGTACCCCTTTAAATAGAGATGTTGAAGAAGCAGGGTAGTGTCCTGCTGGGAAGATTGGTAAGAGGGACTGCAAAGAAGAAGATCATCAAAATATTGAATAAGATGGGAGGCAGACAGGTGAAAAGAAAGCAGATCATGAGAAAGGGCCTGGCCGAAGTAGTGTGGGCTGTTCCTGAAGCCTTGGGGCAGAACAGTCCAGGTGAGTTGTTGGGATTGGTGGGTGTCACGGTCAGTCCAAGTAAAGGCAAAAAGAGGCTGAGAGGAGGGATACAAGGGGATAGTAAAGAAGGTGTCTTTGAGGTCAATAACAAAATAGTGAGTTGTGGAAGGGGGTATTGAAGATAGGAGGGTGTAGAGGTTTGGCACTATAAGGTGGATGGGAAAGACGATTTGATTAATAAGGCAAAGATCCTGAACCAACCTGTAAGATTTGTCTGGTTCCTGGATGGGTAGGATAGGGGAGCTGTAATGTAGCAGGATGAGCCATGGACAAAACCTCTCAGACACCGAGTTGTAGAAGGAAGGGCTTTATTCAGCTGGGAGCATCGGCAAGCTACTGTCTTAAAATCGGAGCTCCTTGAGTGCACAATTTCTGTCCATTTTAAGGGCTCACAACACTAAAGATTTTACATGAAAGGGTCGTGATTGATTGAGCAATCTAGGGGTTATGTAACAGGGTCTTCATGCACTGGTAGTCAGAGTCAAACAGAACAGAACAGGGAGTTTCACAATGTTCTTCCATACAATGCTTGGAATCTATGGATAACATTGGTTGCTAAGTCATGAGTTGATTTTTAACTACTAGGTTTAGGCCAGGCAGGCCCAGGCCTGGCGCCGGGCTGCCTGTCTCTGATTTCACTTCCTTGATTTTTACTCTTAAAACAGGTACTGAGTATAAAACAATATAAAACAATATGAGAGGGTCTCTCTCTTCCCTCAGTAAGGAGAATTTGTAGGCTTTAAGAGGCCATGTTGTAACAGGTGGGTGATAACACGCTCTAGTGGTAACAGTGATTAGGTTTTAACGGGATGGTAAGGGGTGCATGATCAGTTGCCAAGGAAGGAGTAGAGGTATCCCATACTTGTGGATTAAGGCAGGGAGACACAGGGGAGGATGCAAAGGAGGCTTTGAAGTGAGGAAAAGGGTGGCAATGAGGTGTGGCTGTAGCCCAGGAATAGTCAGGGAAGTGGATAGTTTTGTTAAAACGTCTCGACCTAATAAGGAAACTGGGCAGGTAAGGATAACTAAAAAGGAGTGCATAAAAGAATGTTGTCCAAGTTCGCATCAGAGTTGGGGAGTTTTAAGAGATTTAGAAGCCTGGCCATCAATACCCACAACAGTTATGGTGGCAAGGGAAACAGGTCGTTGAAAAGAAGGTAATGTGGAGTGGGTAGACTCCACATTGATTAAGAAGGGGATGGACTTACTCTCCACTGTAAGAGTTACCCAAAGTGTCTGTGATGGTCCAGGAGGCTTCCAAGGCGATTGGGCAGCATCAGTCTTCAGCAGCTAAGCTGAGAAGATCTGGGAAGGAGTCAGTCAGAGATCCTTGGGCCAGAGTTCCAGTGGCTCTGGGAGTCGCTGCCAGGAGAGTTGGACAGTCCAATTTCCAGTGGGGTCCCGCACAGATGGGACACGGCTTAGGAGGAATCCCAGGCTGTGGGCATTCCTCGGTCCAGTGGCCAGATTTCCAGCACTTGAAGCAAGATCCCAGGGGAGGAGGTCCTGGAGGAATGCCGGGCTGCTGCGGTTTAGGCATTTTTAAATTTTGTGACCTAGTGTAAGCAAAACACTATCTGAGGCAGGTCTCAATCAATTTACAGGTTTATTTTGCCAAATATATGGCTTATGGCCTGTGACACAGCCTTAGGAGGTCCTGCAAACATATGCCTAAGGTGGTTGGATTTTACGTTGGTTTTATACACTTTAGGAGACACAGAAATTACAGGCAAAGACATAAATCAGTACATATAAGATACACATAAGTTTGTCCTGGAAAGGTGGGATAGCTTGAAGCAGGGGTTTCCAGGTCATAGGTGGATTCAAAGCTTTCCTGACTGGCAACTGGTTGAAAGAGTTAAGCTCTGCCTAAAGAGTTGAATTCATCATAAAGAAATGCTTGAGTCTAGAAAATGGGGGGTTCTTGTCATGTAGATGAATCCTATGGGTAGTAAATAAAGTAGATGGTGAATGTTGATTATCAGACCTTAGAAAAAAATGTCAGACTCTTTGGAAAAGACTTAGTAAGGGGAGAAGATTCTCTATAGAATGCAAATTTCCCCCACAACAGGTAGCTTTGCAGGGCCACTTCAGAATATGTCAAAGAAATATTTTTAGGATAAAATATTTTGATTTTCTCCAGGGCCTATTATCTGTCACATTGGAGTATGGTATCTTATTGCTAAAAAGTATCTGTTTCATCAGTCCAGAGATCTCTGTTGTAATGATAATGCTGGTCAGTTGTGTCTGAACTCCAAAGGGAGGAGAGTATAATGAGGCACATCTAAACCCACCTGCCAGTCATGGCCTAATCTAGTTTTCCAAATTTCTTTGAAGTGCTTTCTGTCAAAAGAGGAGTCCATTCAGCAGGTTGGTGACCTACAACTTAATTTTTGGTTTTAACACACAGAAAAACAAAATCACTGCACAAATTCAATCTGAAATAGATTGGTAAAGAAAAATTAAGTGCTTCCTGAATATTCCTACATGTCAAAGAAAAAGAAATTATTAGAATTCAGATGAGAAATACCCCTCATACAAAAGATTAACGATTTTTTTTTTTTTTTTACTGTCTTAGTTTGGGTCCACCTGCAATAAGGATTCCTGTTTAGGCAGCAAATTTACGCTGGGAGAAAAGGAGGAAAGTGAGGAAGGGAACAGAAGATGAATTGTAAAAGACGCATCAACAACCCACCTGACTCAGGAGAACTGAAGATCAACCACCTGTGGAAACATGGACTAAATTCCTCCGGGCTGTTCCACCTGAGAGATGAGGAAGCTTAAGTATGTATACACCTCATCCTGTCCTCACTGATTGTGAGCTGTCTCTCTTGTTCTATTTCAAGCTGCTGTAACAGATTCCTTTTCACTGAGTAATTCATAAAGAACACAAATTTATTTTCTTACACTTCTGGAGAATGGAAAATTTAAGTTCAAGGCATGGGCAGGTTAATGTCTGCTTTCTTTGCTTTCAAGATGATGCCTTGAGTTTGGGGTCCTTCAAAGGAAGGAAGGCCATGTCTTAACATGACAGACAAGCAGAAGAGAGAGAGATCTCAGCCCCACAATTGCTGTTTATACTGGCATTAATGTATTCCACTAGAGGGCACCACACTCATGATCTAAACACATCCCAGTAGGCCCCACATGGCAATACCATTACACTGAGAATTAACTTTACAACAGATGGATTCTGGAGGACACAGTGAAACCATAGCACTTTCCTAAGAGATACACATTTCAGGTCATTTGGTCAGCAATGCATGCAGGCAGAGTTCTCTGCCCAAGACTGTAAAGAACATAAGACATGTATATTGCCATTGCAAGTGAGCAGAGGTACAGCAAAGAGAAAGCCCTAGAATACAGATAGAGACTCCTATATTCATCCTGGTACAGTTAACCCTTGAATAAATTGGGTTTGAAATTTGCAGATCCACTTGTATTTTCTTCTGTGTGTGTCACCTGTAAACAAGTACTTAATAAGTAGTAAATATATTTTCTCATTTTTATAGTTTACTTAATTACATTTTTTTCTTTAGCATAGTTTATTGGAATAATAGAGTATATGATATAAATAACTTAAAAAAGTGTTAATCAACTATTTATTTTATCATTAAGGCTAGCAGTCAAAAGTAAGCTATTAGTACTTAAGTTAGAAATGCAAAAGTTCTACACAGGTTTTCATCTGCACCTGTGGTCAGTGCCCCAACCTCCACATTGTTCAGGGGTCAACTGCTCTTTCAGTCTGTAGCTGCATCTCTCTGGAACAGGATCTTGGTAGGTGAGTTGTAAGTAAAGGAATCCAGAAAATAACATCTCAAACTATGCTGCATTCATATGAGGATTACATAAAACCAAAGGCATTTAGAAAGCAGCAAATGCACAAAAAGCCTTCTCCTAAACATCGCTTATCTGCCAAAAAGCAGATTCTCCAGAAGGAAACCAATTGTCAAAAAAATTATTCCTGAGAATTTTTATATCAGGGAAGATTAACACAAAACAGGAATCAAAAATAGAAGAGACTGGGAACTGATGCTTTATCCAGACAGGCTATTACCTGTTCTTTTGAAGATGCACTTCTGTTCTCATCTATTCTCTCCAGATTGCCTACACTTCCGAATTCCGTCTTCGCTGGAAAGGAAATATGAACTACTGGATCTTATTGAGTTATTTGGGTAATCACCCTGCTATGATATCCTGCTGCACTTTAAATGAATTTTGTTTGCCTTTTCTCTTATTAATCTTCCTTTTGTCAGTTTATTTTCAGCAAACATTTAGAGGACAAATGGAGTTTTCTTCCTTTCTCCCAATATAAGCAAGTTCCCTTAAAATTCAGGCGGCTTACAAAGCAGCAAGAAGGTTTGTGCACGGGCTATGGCACTGTGATTTGGCTCCCCTACTCAGGCATCAGTAAAATTTTGTGGAGCCCTAGGCTACAGCCCACTGATGCTAATATAGTTGGATCCACTTCCCCTGCTACTGAGCTAGGCTGGGACAGTTTTGGGCACATTAGATATGTGCGATATAATGATTGCAAATCATTTCCAGTTTCATCTGTATCAAACTGCTTTCTCCATGTACATAGGCATCATCTCTGTGGATCTGTAGTAAATTGCTTGATCTTATAGTGGTAAGAACAATGGCATAACACCATTACCGAATACTGACATGTATATATAGCATCATGTCAATAAATTTTATTTTTGATTTTTTTAGAAAGGAACAATGTTAAACTCACAGAAATGTTCCAAGTATAGGACAAAGTAACCCCTTCCCTAACCGGGATCATATGAGAGTCTTTTGGAGACCTGATAATCATACCGTCTAACATTTTATTATATATTTCCTACAAACAAGAATATTCTCCTAAATAATCCCCATACACCAATGAAATACATTACTCCATCAACTCCTGAGGAATATTTCAAATCGTCAAAAAAAAACTAAAAAATGTCTCTCATAATAAAATAGTTCCCAGTAGAAACACATTCTCTGGAGACAAATTTGTGCTACCCTGGTCTTACCTGGGACACCTGGGGACACTGAACTGGTGCTGAGTTACTGAGATGAGCCAGCCCTGCAGCTGTGCCCAGCCTGCCCCATCCTCTGCTCATTTGCATATTCCCAGAACACAACCTCCTGCCCTGAAGACTTCTTAATAGGCTGGTCACACTTCTTGCAGGAGTCAGACCCACTCAGGACACAGCATGGACATGAGGGTCCCCGCTCAGCTCCTGGGGCTTCTGCTGCTCTGGCTCCCAGGTAAGGAAGGAGAACACTAGCAGTTTACTCAGCCCAGGGGGCTCAGTACAGCCTGGCTATTCAGGGAAATTCTCTTACTACATGATTAATTGTGTGGACCATTTGTGTTTATGCTTCCAATCTCAGGTGCCAGATGTGCCATCCAGTTGACCCAGTCTCCATCCTCCCTGTCTGCATCTGTAGGAGACAGAGTCACCATCACTTGCCGGGCAAGTCAGGGCATTAGCAGTGCTTTAGCCTGGTATCAGCAGAAACCAGGGAAAGCTCCTAAGCTCCTGATCTATGATGCCTCCAGTTTGGAAAGTGGGGTCCCATCAAGGTTCAGCGGCAGTGGATCTGGGACAGATTTCACTCTCACCATCAGCAGCCTGCAGCCTGAAGATTTTGCAACTTATTACTGTCAACAGTTTAATAGTTACCCTCACACAGTGTTACAAACCCGAACATAAACCCCCAGGGAAGCAGATGTGTGAGACTGGGCTGCCCCAGCTGCTTCTCCTTATGCCTCCATTGGCTGAGAGTGTTCCTCAGATGCAGCCACACTCTGATGGTGTTGGTAGAGGAGGATATGAGATCACCTCTGCATCCCAATTTCTTTTTCTTTTCTCAGCCCCAGCTGCACAGACATAACAATGCCTCTGCTGATTTAATAAAGATAGAGATCATGACACCTGAAGAGTCTAGTTTATGGCTTTGGTTAGAATTCATATAACAGAGAAGAAGCCATTATAGATATCCTAAGCAGGAATAGTCTTAATAGATAGAATTGGAGTCTAAAGTATTGAAGTCTAAATAAAATGTACAGATAAATTTAATGTTTTATTTGTTAAGAAATTTTTGCCAAATGGGGCATACAGGAAAACTCAATGGTCTTCAATATGTTGGAAGAGCAAAGAGTTTTATAAAAAGGGAAATTATTACCTATTGTTCTTTGAGAAATTTTGTTGGCTGTAGTAAGGGTTGGGAGCTGGCAAGCTCAGACTGGTAAGCAGTGGTGGTCAAACTGAATCCTAGAATTATATTAAGTTATCTCAGAAGTTGTGGGTAAATTTGCTTTCAGGTTACAATAAGCCAAAGCAGTGAAGCTTGCAGAGAATTTTGTTACTGAAATGCCAGGGATTCAGTATAGATCCTGCGGCTCACCACACAGAAAGCCAATCACTAAGACAACAAGTGTTGTCAAAGAACAGGCTTTAATCAGGTGCTGCAGCCGAGGAGACGGGACACCATTCTCAAATGTATCTCCCTGACAAAATAAATTAGGGGTTTATATAGCAGGGAAGAAATGTGGAAAACAGGAATTAGAGAGGGGTAAGGAAGATAATTTAGTCAACAGGAAGCTGGAGGTCAGTTAGGCAATCATAATGGGTGAAGGGTCTGATGTCTCACTGTCCCCATTCAGTGATATATAACTTTCAGCTCCTTGATAGTATCTAGAGGCCTGATGGTTGGTTTCCTGAAAAAAGAACTCAGATTAACAAATGTAACTACCTTGAGTTTTAAGACTGGGGGAGTCAGTTTCTATGTTTATTCAAAAAATCATAAACATTAGTTCCATGGGATAATAGGGCCTATTTCAATTGCATTCTTCAGACAATATTTTGCACCCTGAGTGGTTTTCCCTCCTGGTTTCTTGGCTCTGTTGGGTATGTCAAGAATGACCGAATTCCTATGATTAACTTTTACACTACAACCTTTCAAAGCCAAGGATATAGTAGTCAGGAAGGTTGACAGTAGAAGCAGGATTCTCTGGTACTCCCTCAGAAAATAGAATGCATCTGCCACTGAAGTATGGGCTATCTAACCATGTGGTCCTCAGTCCTGTCTGAAAGCTTAAGGGTGGGGTTGCAGCTGCTCTCAGCTTCCTATAGCATCTTTCAGGTTTTTCCCAGGCACATGTGTTGACAAGGAAGAAAACGGTGGGAATCGCCATGTTTGGGTGAATCCAGTTTCTAATGGCTATGATTTGCATAGGAAAGCTTCCCAGCCTGGCTCTAAGAGCCAGGGCTTTCTGGCTAGACAAGAAGTGTTTCTAGAGCTGCTTTAAAGGAAACAAAACCTTCCCAAGGACCCCTTTTCCTATCTGCCTAAAATAATTTCTTAAAAACTCCTATAGCACTTGGGTTCCAGAGATGAGGACATGGACATCCTTTGGGGTGGGACATTATTCATTCCACCGACCATAAACATATTCCCCAAAATTGTCCTTCTCTAAAGTAAAATTTAAAAAATCACGAAGTATTTTTATGAATCAAGGGAGGTGGACAAAATCTTAGACTCAGGTTCCTCTAACTTGTGAGTTTTATCTGTTGGGGTATGCTCACTCCACTGTCTCTAATGTAGATTTATTGATGTGTAGATAGTTTTAGAGGATTTTTAAATTTTGTGACCCAGTATAAACAAAACAGTATCTGAGACAGGTCTCAATCAAATTACAGGGTTATTCTGCCAAAGATAAGGCTTATGGCCTGTGACACAGCTTTAGAAGGTCCTGTAAACATGTGCCCAAGGTGGTTGGATTACACATTGGTTTTAAGCACTTTAGGGAAACACAGAAATACAGGGAAAGACATAAATCAATACATATAAGATATACATTAGTTTGTCCTGGAAAGGTGGGATAGCTTGAAGCAGGGGCTTCCAGGTCATAGGTGGATTCAAAGCTTTCCTTACTGGCTACTGGTTGAAAGAGTTAAGGTCTGTCTAAAGAGTTGAATTCATCATAAAGAAATGCTTGAGTGTAGAAAAGGGGATGTGGAAGCCAAGGTTCTTGTCATGTAGATGAATCCTATCAGTAGCAGATAAAGTACACGGTGAATGTTGCTTATCAGAGCTTTAAAAAATGTCAGACTTTAAAAAAGACTTAGTAAGGGGAGGAGATTCTCTATAGAATGAAAATTTCCCCCACAACTGGCAGCTTTGCAGAACCACTTCAGAATATGATGAAGAAATATTTTTAAGGTAAAATATTTAGATTTTCTTCAGGGCCTATTATCTGTCATGTTGGAATATGGTATCTTAATGCTACAAAGCATCTGTTTTGTCAGTCCAAAGATCTCTGTTGTAATGACAATGTTGGTCAGTTGTGTCTGAACTCCAAAGTATAATGAGGCACATCTAAACCCACCTGCCAGTCATGGCCTAACCTAGTTTTTCAAATTTCTTTGAAGTGCTCTTTACAAAAGAGGAGTCCATTCAGCAGGTTGGTGGCTTACAACTTAATTTTTGGTTTTAACACACAGAAAAACAAAATCAGTTCACAAATTGAATGTAAAACAGATCGGTAAAAAAAAAAAATTAAGTGCCTCCTGAATATTCCTACATGTCAAAGAAAAAGAAATTATCAGAATTCAGATGAGAAATATCCCTCTTACAAAAGATTAACAATTTTTTTTTTAACTATCTTAGTTTGGGTCCACCCTCAATGAGGATCCCTGTTTAGGCAGCAAATTTACACTGGGAGGAAAGGAGGAAAGTGAGGAAGAGAACAGAAGATGAATGGAAAAAGACACATCAACAACCTACCTGACTCAGGATAACCAAAGATCAACCACATGTGGAAACATGGACTAAGTTCCTCTGGGCTATTCCACCTGAGAGATGAGGAAGCTGGGGTATGTATACACCTCATCGTGTCCTCACTGATTGTGCGCTGTCTCTCTTGTTCTATTTCAAGCTGCTATAACAGATTCATTGTCACTATGTAATTCATAAGGAACAGAAATTTATTTTCTTACAGTTCTGGAGAATGGGAAATTAAAGATCAAGACATGGGCAGGTTAAGGTCCGCTTTCTCCACTTTCAAGATGATGCCTGGAGTTAGAAATGCAAAAGTTCTACACAGGTTTTCATCTGCACCCATGGTCAGTGCCCAAACCTCCATGTTGTTCAAGGGTCAACTGCTCATTCAATCTGTAGCTGCATCTCTCTGGAACAGGATCTTGGCAGGTGGGTTGCAAGTAAAGGAATCCAGAAAATAACATCTCAAACTATGCTGCACTGGTATGATGATTATGTAAAACCAAAGACCTTTAGAAAGCACCAAATGCACAAAAAGACTTTTCCTAAATGTCCCTTATCTGCATAATAGCAGATTCTCCAGAAGGAAACCAATTGTCAAAAAAATTCTTCCTGAGAATTTTTACATCAGGGAATATTAACACAAAAGAGGAATCTAAAATACAAGAGACTGAAGTTGATGCTTTATCCAGACAGGCTATGACCTGTTCTTTTGAGGATGCACTTCTGTTCTCATCTATTCTCTCCAGGTTGCCTACACTTCTCAATTCCCTCTTCCTTAGAAAAGAAATACAAACAACTGTATCCCATTGAGATATCTGGGTAATCACCCTGCTATGATATTCTGCTGCACTTCAAATGAATTTTGTTTGCCTTTTCTCTTATTAATCTTTCTTTTGTCCATTCATTTTCAGCAAATATTTAGAGGACAAATGGAGCTTTCTTCCTTTCTCCCAATGTAAGCAAGTTCCCTTAAAATTCAGGCAGCTTAAAAAACAGCAGGAAGGTTTGTGCACAGCCTGCAGCACTGTGATTTGGCTCCCCTAGTCAGGCATCAGTAAAATTTTGTGGAGTCCTAGGTGGCAGCCCACTGATGCTGATGTAGTTGGATCCACTTTCCCTGCTACTAAGTCAGGCTGGGACATTTTTGGGCACATTAGAGATATGAGATATAACGAGTGCAAATCCGTGTCCAGTTTCATCTGGATCCAAGTGATTTCTCCATGTACATAGGCAACTGCTTGATAAGAGATTCAGTGTCTCTTTCCTAAAGCAGTTAACAGGGAGGCTGGTGTCTGGGTCAGGATGATTTCCCCAATCACTGATAAAAAGTAAAAGAGGAAAGTGTCATTGATGGTGCATGGCAGGGACATGCTCCATGCAGTGGTCACCCTCAGTAAGAGAGATGAACTTTGGGAAATAATATTGAATGGCAGAAAAGAAGGTAGACTATGAAGGTGCCCAAAACAAGAATAAGGTGCAGCCCATTTAGTGTCTGAGTACTATAGAGACCTGTCGCTCTTGATAATTGTGGATCTGTGACTGCTGCATGCATCAAGAAAACACGGTATCATCTTTGTGTATCTATAGTACATAGTTTGATCGCATACTGGTAAGAACAATGGCATAACACCATTACCTGATACTTACAAATGTATGTACCATCATGTCAATAAATTTTATTTTTAATTTTTTTTACATAGGAACAATGTTAAACTCACAGAAATGTTGCATGTATATGACAAATACCCCCTTCCCTAACCGGAATCATATAAGAGTCTTTTGAAGACTTGAGAATTGTACCGTCTAACATTTTACTATGTGTTTCCTACAAACAACAATATTCTCCTAAATAATCCCCATACACCAATGAAATACATTAGTCCATCAACTCCTGAGGAATATTTCAAATCGTCAAAAAGAAACCAAAAAATGTTACTCACAACAAAATAGTTCCCAGTAGAAACACATTCTCTGCAGACAAATTTGTGCTACCCTGGTCTTACCTGGGACACCTGGGGACACTGAACTGGTGCTGAGTTACTGAGATGAGCCAGCCCTGCAGCTGTGCCCAGCCTGCCCCATCCTCTGCTCATTTGCATATTCCCAGAACACAACCTCCTGCCTGAAGACTTCTTAATAGGCTGGTCACACTTCTTGCAGGAGTCAGACCCACTCAGGACACAGCATGGACATGATGGTCCCCGCTCAGCTCCTGGGGCTCCTGCTGCTCTGGTTCCCAGGTAAGAAAGGAGAACACTAGGAATTTACTCAGCCCAGTGTGCTGAGTACTGCTTTACTATTCAGGGAACTTCTCTTACAGCATGATTAATTGTGTGGACATTTGTTTTTATGTTTCCAATCTCAGGTTCCAGATGCGACATCCAGATGACCCAGTCTCCATCTTCCGTGTCTGCATCTGTAGGAGACAGAGTCACCATCACTTGTCGGGCGAGTCAGGGTATTAGCAGCTGGTTAGCCTGGTATCAGCAGAAACCAGGGAAAGCCCCTAAGCTCCTGATCTATGCTGCATCCAGTTTGCAAAGTGGGGTCCCATCAAGGTTCAGCGGCAGTGGATCTGGGACAGATTTCACTCTCACCATCAGCAGCCTGCAGCCTGAAGATTTTGCAACTTACTATTGTCAACAGGCTAACAGTTTCCCTTCCACAGTGTTACCAACCCGAACATAAACCCCCAGGGAAGCAGATGTGTGAAGCTGGGCTGCCCCAGCTGCTCCTCCTGATGCCTCCATTGGCTGAGAGTGTTGCTCAGATGCAGCCACACTCTGATGGTGTTGGTAGAGGGGTACGTGAAATCGCCTCTGCACCCTAATTCTTTTCTCTTTCTCAGCCCCAACTGCACAGACATAGCAATGCATCTCCTGATTTGATAAATACAGAGATCATGACACTTGAGGAGTCTAGTTTATGGCTTCAGCTTGAATTCATATAACACAGAAGAAGCCACTATAGATATTCTAAGCAGGAATCGTCTTAATACAGAGAATTAAAGTAAACTACTAAAGTCAAAATAAAATGTAGAGATGAATCTCTAAATTTAAGTTTTATTTGCAAAGAAATATTTGCCAGGTGGGGCATACAGGAAAACTCAGTGGTCTTCAAGATATTGGAAGAACGAAGAGAAAATTAGCATTTTATGAAAAAGGGAAAATGTTACCTGTGGCTCTTTGAGAAAGTTCATTGGCTCTAGGAAGGGTTGGGAGCTGGCAAGCTCAGACTGGTAAGCAGTGGTGGGCAAAATGAATCCTAGAATTATATCAAGTTATCTCAGAAGTTGTGGACAAATTTGATTTCAGGTTACAATAAGCCAAAGCAGTGAAGGTTGCAGAGAATTTTGTTACTGAAATGCCAGGGATTCAGTGAAGACCCTGCAGCTTACCCCACAGAAAGCCAATCACTAAGACAACAAGCATTGCCAAGGAACAGGCTTTAATCAGGTGCTGCAGCCGAGGAGATGCGATACCATTCTCAAATGTATCTCCCTGACCAACTGAAATTAGGAGTTTATATAGCAGGGAAGAAATGTGGGAAAACAGGAATTAGGGAGGGGTAAGGAAGATAATTTGGTCAACAGGAAGCAGGAGGTCAGTGAGGCAATCATAATGGGTGAAGGTTCTGATGTCTCACTGTCCCAATTCAGTGATATGTAAGTTTCAGCTCCTTGATAGTATCTGGGAGGCCTGTTCATTGGTTTACTGAAAAAACAAACAAACAAACAAACAAACAAACAAAAAACTCAGATAAGACAGATGTAACTATCTTGAGTTTTAAGACTGGGGGAGTCAATTTCTATGTTTATACAAAAAAACATAAACATTAGTTCCATGGGATAATAGGGCCTATTACAATTGCATTCTAGAAACAATATTTTGCACCCTGAGTGCCTTTCCCCACTGGTTTCTTTGCTCTGTTGGGTATGACAAGAATGACCAAATTCCTAAGATTAAGTTTCCCACTACAACCTTTCAAAGCCAAGGATATAGTAGTCATGAAAGCTGATATTAGAAGCAGGAATCTCTGATCCTCCCTCAGGCAACAGAATGCATCTTCCTCTGAAGTATGGGCTTTCTAACCATATGGTCCTCAGTCCTGTCTGGAAGCTTAGGGGTGGGGGTGCTGATGCTCTCAGCTTCCTACAGCATCTTTCCAGGTGTTTCTCTAGTCCTCATCTCTGTCCCTGTGTCTGTCTTAGGTACCAATGGAGAATATTGAGTCATCCTTTTCGGACTTCCAAATCTCATGGGAGGACTTCTTATTGGGCAACTCTATAAGAAACAAGAGAGACAAAATGAGAATTTATGTAAGTTAAAATGATTTTCCCCCATGAGGCCATTTAAATAAATTATACTTAAAGCCACATGTTGAAAACACATCCAGCTTTATTTTCTTATTAATGCAAATTTACATTTGCAAATATTTTCAATATTGTAAAGGTTGAAAACATAATTATTTGTCCATGGAATGATCAAACACCTCTATAATTAAATGGAGTAAACATTTTCTTAAAAATTTGTACTCACTGAAATAAAGCAATATATTTGAAATGTGTGAAGCTATGTTAGAAATTATTGGACTTAAACTCAACCTGTGCAGTTTGGTTTGGGATGTTGTTCACTCTTGTGACCTGCCAGAAGAATCTTGAGTCATGGGTAGTCACTGCTGTTCAGCCTTGTCCTCAGACAGTTGATATGTGTAGGCTGAAGACGAGCTCAGTGCCATGCAGAGAAACCACTCACCTGAACCCTTCCTTGATCAGCCAGATTACTGTGAACGTGAGCATCCATGAACATGAAAACAAATGTTTACTATTTTCTGTCACTGAGTTGTGTATTTAGCCAGTTACCAATCATTAATGCATAAAAGCTTCCTGATACAGTATTTACACCTCTACCTATATATACACACGTATTTTTTCTTAAATTAGTGGCATAAATGTAAATATTTAGTAATCAAATTATAAACTTAGAAAATTAATGACAAAATTAAAACTAATATTTCAATAAAAAATTAAAATTTACCATATTTATGGGAAAATGTGCATACATGTATGTAAGATACATACAAGTCAATATATTATTTGATAAAATGTTGGCTATATATATAGTACTCATACTTAAGTGTGTTTATTCTATTATATATGCAATATATGCCTATTTGTAAAATTATTATCTAAATTGAATACATTTAAATAATTTTTGTTACATTCCATAAAAAATTGTATTCTGGACCACACATAGTTCATACTCTTGCTATGGAAAATTTATTTGTAGCCTTTATTTTTAAAACTCTACCAAATGATTGTCCTTGTCCGAAAATATTTTCCAACCCAGTAGAGCTCCAAGGGTAGGACTAGAAGAAATTTTGACTAATGTTGAATATTAATCATTGCATCCTATGAAAGTCTCCATTATGTTCATGCCCACAATGATGATATGCCAAATAGAGTTCTCACAACAATGGATGCTGGATGGAGTCACATCAGTGCCATTGTCAAGGAAGCCCTGGAAATGTAAAAATCAAAACAGTGGGTAAACTGCAAGGCCAACGTCTGATGATCACATTGCAAAGAGAATAACATTTTAATAATATTGGCTGTTGGTTTTGACAGATCATCAGACCTTAAAAGAAATGCAACAGGATGATTACAGACAAAGTCATTGTGGAAGAGCTATGACTAGATGTTTTTAAAATGAGCCATAATCCAAAAAAAAAAAAATGCTTTCCAAGTGGATGCTAATCGAAATGCCATTAATGAGCAGGGGCTTTTAATAATGAGAATGATTCAACACATGGGCTTCAGTCAGTCATCTTTCCCAGCTTTCCCTGGGAGTCTCATGAACCAATGTTATGGAGGTCTCTGTGGGGACTCAATAATTTGAGTTTCCCCCAACCGAGATTTAGAGTGCTACTGGCTCTTCTGAACACCTAATTTGCCAAGAAGAATGACCCCTCCTGAACCCTTCACATTGTATCACACATCAGGGCTCAGACTAACATCTGATGTCAGGTGATTCTAGTGTCACTGGGTGCACCAGACTCAGATTTTGGACACAAAATTTCCTGAAGCAGCCAACAGTTGTGCCTCTTTTGAATGGCAGCTCCTTGCTTGCTGTAGGAAACTGATAGGGGCTGAGTATCTCAGAGCTAGAGCACCAGGCAGGACGCTGCGACCTTAACTAACCATTCTCACTTTGGTACCTACAAACACAATCAATAAAACTGGACAGGCCCAACAGATCCAAATCATTAAATGGAAATGATACAGTCAGAATCAGCCCTAACCAGGATCCCACAGGACCCATGTGCCCCATGAATAAATGGCAAGCTTGCTAGAAGGGAAGAAATGGCCCATAGGGGACAATTTAGCTTCTCCTTTGGCCACATAGAGCCAAAGATTCAGAGACATGCCTGTGTCAGTATGGCATTGGGCCCTGATGATTGTACAAAACACATGCCAGTGGATCCACTGGGTGCAGCCACCATCCAGCCAGGGGATGGCATCTTTTGACTGACACTGAACATGGCCATTCTGCCCAATGGGACAAACTACATGAAATGATAGTAGCCATGCAGGCTGCCCCCAACACTATATTTTGCTCCATTTCCACTAAATCATGGGCCATTGCCAACAGCCCAGCTGTCTGGTCAGGAAAATAGCAACTGAGTGACTGAACTATTAAAGGATCTCATGAGTGGAGAAAAGGACTATGGCAATAGCTTGCTTCCTGGACAGCTAAATATATGTCACTCTATTAGATGCTGGGGCTACCATGGCCACCCTTCAGAGGAATTTATGTCATGTTTTTGGATATTCCATGAGACTTCACTCTGACCAAGAAACAGCCTCACTGACCAATCAACATAACAATGGGCACACTCTCATGGAAACCAATGGACTTTCCATGCAATTACCAACACCCAACACTGGCTGCTGTACCTGGATAAACACCTCAGATATCCTAGAAATACAAGTAGGGGTGATCATAAAGCAGGCTCACTGGCTGCAGACAATAGGACATCAAAAGATCCCCCTTTCACCTCTTAACATCTTAGTCACTGCTTGGGGAGTTTTATCCTCCTACCAGTGGTACTAGCTTTTCATGGCCCAGTGAAATGTACTCTCACTATGGCTTCATAATCTGCATTGAGATTGTGTAAGTCAAGGTGCTTCATCAATCTGAAAACATAAACCTCTGCCTCCAGTTCAGGGGAAGTTGGTGGGCATATGAAGTATGCTAGCTTTGCTAAGGGGGATGGGATAACTGCAAGACCGTTCTGCAATGACCCTGGACTGACTTAGTTCTCTCCACTTTCTTGCTTATTTTAAGAGTTCTCAAGTACAATTGCAGAACGTGCTGGAATTGTAACATCCTGAGATAGACAGGAACCGAGCAGAACAACCTACCTGTCCTCTATACCAGTTTCCCATAGAATAGAATGTCCATTAGCACTTCAGCCCTGTGTGTCTTTTTACCCCAGGATACAAAACCCAGAGTGGCTGCTTTCCTGGGTTCCTGCACTGTGGTGTATGTGGGGTACACATATTCAACTCCATCAGCTCCACATAGCTTTCCTGTGTCTTGGGGGACTGACCCATAATGAGTCCAAGACTTTTGTGTTCCCTTGCTGCTTATCTGTAATAATAAACCCACTTCATGTAACTTGCTGTGGGGGGTGTTCTCTTCCCCCACGCTCAAGTACGTTGGTAACCAGTGCACAGTGAAGTTGCTTCAAACATGTCATTGACATAAAGACAGAACTGCAATGGAGGTTTCTGGAGGTAGGGATAGAGAAAATGGGTGGAGTATTGTTTAAGGGGTATACATATTAATTTTTATAAGATGAAAAGATTTTTACTGATTGTGTCAGTAATAATGGCAGAATATGTGAATATACTTAATGCCACTTCTCTGTACTCTCAAGTATGGTTAAGATAGACAATCTTATATTCTCTGTATTTACTGTAGTTAAATAACTAACGTCTTTATTATAGTATTGTTAGCTCAGAAGATATTGCTTTATTTTCTAATTTTCTGAGCAAATGTTCATAAATAATCACTTTGTGATGACATTGTTCACAAATTGTGTGTGTGTGTGTGTGTGTGTGTGTTGTAGACATGGGGTCTCCCTATGTTGCCCAGGCTTGCATCAAATTCTTGGTCTTACATGATCCTGATCCTTTCTCCTTGGTCACTGAAAGTGCTCAGATTACAGGTGTGAGCCCGAGCACCTGGCCAGAAGAAACAGTTTATAAGACATTTCATAGGGAACTTCTTCAAAACGTATATTTCATTGCAGCCACATCCAAAGCCAATCTCCTAAGCCATGTTTCTGTACACAAGTGCACTTCTCCCTCTGTGATGTCACATCCCCTCAGCATGAAGTAACACAGACACATAGGAGAACAAGGCAAGGAGTCAACCCAACTTTATGAGTGGAAATCACTGCAAAGATCTGGCATTAATAGGGTTTAGGTGTAGCAGCACTTCTCCACTAGCAAAACACTCTGATTTGTCTTCCTGGATTGTTTTCTCAAAGGTTTCCTAATATTTAATGCTAAAGCTGAGATTAGAAGCTTTTTATCCTGAGTCTAATTGAATGCTATTTCACTCAAAATGTATTGCCTTATGGAGTATGATAATAAATATTGAATAATGCCTGTTACTACTACCAACAGTCCCTTTAGATCTCCTCTTATCATCCTAAATATCATGACTTAGGAAAAGTGTTTGAAAGGGGGTTTAGACAATATTGATCCTGTTTTCAATATCCTAATACAAGTCAAACACCCACAAAAGTCAAGAGAATTGTAAGGAAAACATGACTTAATGATGATTAGCCATTCTGGTCACTGTTGAGTGAAGATTAAGAAAAATTCTTAAAAACAAGTAGCTGAAACATTGAGAACGCTCATCAATTCTGGGCTGAGATGTAAAATGGTACAACTACTTTGGAAAACAGTTTGGCGGAGTATTAAACACTTGCTGTAAGACCCAGTAACTGCACTCCTGGGTATTTGCCTAAAAGAAATAAAGAAATATTCATACAAAGCCATGTATAATACCATTCATGGTAGCTTTATCCATAATAGCCCAAAGTGGAAACAACCCACATATCTATCAGCAGGTGGTGGGATACATTGTGAAATTACTACACAGTTAAATAGTACCCAAAAGTGAAGAGTAACACATCATGAGGACACAGGGCGACATGAATGAGCCTAGGAAACAATTATGCTGCATGAAAGTCACCAGCCACGAAAGAACACGTGCTATATTCCATTTATGTAAAATTCTTAAAAAGAAAGTTAAATCTATACTAACAATAAGCTGACCAAGGATGGTCTGTTCTGTGAGGTGGAAAGCAAGTTGATTCCTGAAGAGCAGGACAAAACTTTCTGGAGTTATAGAAATGTGTGTGTATTGATTTTGGAGGCATTTACATGAGTGTACTTGTTCAACAGTACATTTAAAATCAGAGTATTTGATTGGAATCATTTTTTTTCAATAAAATTGGTTAACAGTGAATAGTGAGTAATTGCAAATCCAATTAGGTAATGTTGTCTTCACATCTTTTATTCTTGCAGTGTACTGAAAGCTACATGAGCCAAAAGTTATTTCTGGTAGATAATCTCAGCCTGACACTAAAGAACTGCGTATCTTCTAGCAAGAGCTCACTTTTCTAGGTATTTTTGGATTTTTCCAAGAATTTAAATGTGTTTCATAGGTTAAATCAAAACAGTAGGCTTTTAATACACATTTCTTATTTATATCAACTAAAAGTCTAAGTAATAAAAAGTTATTAAAAATTGGAAAATATTTAAATGCAAGGAAATGTTTTTTAAGTTAGGGAAAGAGATCCAACATACCTTATAGTTCATATACATTTTTCAGAAATTAAAATTACCTATCAAGAGTTCTTATCATAAAAACTGTAACACTTTTTACAACGTGTGTTCACTAAATGTGTAGATACACAGATGGATTCCATTTTTTTCTTATGATTTTTGTGTCTATGTTCATAAGAGATACCAGCCTTTAATATCCTTTTTTTGTTATGTCCTCATTAATTTTTGGACTGGAGGACATTATGACCTCCTATAATAATTCTGAGTATTTTTTTATTCCCTTGAAAGTTTGTGTAATTTTGATAAGTACCATGTCACTAACCACCAAATAAAATTTGGAGTTTTTTCTGGGTAACTTGTTATTACAGATTTCTTGTTACTTTTGAGGTAAGAGGTAGGCAGGACTTCACTCTGGACCAGATGTGAGGCTGGCCAAAACAGGAATAGGATTCTGAAAACACTTCTCCGTAAGACATACCCACCAGTACCATGACAGTTTACCATTGCCATAGCAACATCCAGAAGTCGCAGCGCCTTGCCATGGCAACACCTGGAAATTGCTGCCCTGCCATGGCAACACCCAGAAGTTGGGGCAACACGACCCATTTTCGAGCTATTTCTCGATAACCCACCCCTTAATTATCACATGATTAAAAGTGGGTATAAATGTGACTGTAAAACTGCACCTGGCTGCTACTCTTGGCCCTCTGCCTATGAATTATGCCTGCTCCACAGGCTTAGTCACAGAGCTGTAACACTGCTGCCCCATCAATAAAGCTGTTTTATTCAATCACCGGCTTACTCTAACGTTCTTTCCTGAGCAAAGCCAAGAACTTGCCTTGCATCAGGATTAAGCCAGCCACTCAACTCTAGAGATGGTGAGAGGCAGCGTTTGATGTGGCAGTGAGACAGCAGAAACAGCAGAGAAAGCAAGACAACAAGAGACAGCAAGAGATGGGATTTTGTGAGAAGATGGACATAGCGGTCAGCAATGAGCAGGACAGCTATTGGAGAATTGGGAAGACAGAGATCAGTGAAAGAGGGTGAGACGGTGATCAGTGCTACAGCGATCAAAGCTACAGAGTTGCTAACATTGCAGAGCTGTTAACACTAGCCAAAGGCTGTTTTAAGAGCCATCATCTTTCCTGACAGGCGGTGGAGCCCTGGGGATGGGCAAGTGGTCACAGAGCCACTGCTTCATGCAGGCCAGCCGCTCCGTGCTCCAGTTCCTCCGTAGGAGCCCAACCCACCCAAGCTGGGGAGCCTGGAGAGATCTTCACGCAGGCCCCACGTTAGAGACTGCTTGGCACCATTTTGGCTCCTGCACACCTGTAAGTGTCCCCTCTGCCCACCTGCCCTATATTGGAAGATCCAGGGAATAAGGCCTTTGACTCCATAGTCCATTTGAAGTCCTCCATAGCACACCTGACTACATCCTCCTTGCTCCTTCTCTTAGTCATTTCTCCTCTAATGCCATTTTATTTATCCATCAGCCATTTTATTTTATTTTCTGCCCTGATATATGTGTTTGCTTTGCAGTTTTGGCTTTGGCTCCCTGCTAATTGTGTTTGTGCAATTGTTTAAGGCAGGACACTTGGATGTAAGAATTCTCCTGTTCTGTTGGCCATAAGAAGCCAGAGTCACATTGTTCTGTGGTCCCAATCAGGCCTTTGGGGCTCACTGTTGGCCACCCCACTGAGGCTCCAGGATTTTCTGCACTGGTCAGCCCCTGGATATTCCAGGGTTTCCTGGCATTTGGTGTGGGGACACTCATAGGCTGATACTCGGGTACTCTGGGTTTTCAGCATTTAGTATTTTTGGCCACTCCCTGGATGCTCCAGGGTTTTCAGCATTGACATTCCTCCTAGGATTGTGGATTGGAGGCTTACCTTATGAGAATCTTGGTTTGCCTTTTCTTGTTTTCTGCCCTAAAGTTACCATTTTTCATAATGGCATTTTGTTTTCTTGTTGTCACTTTATTTATGTTTTTTCTTCTACACTTTACTAAATGAAAATACTGCTTTAAGGCCGGGCACAGTGGCTCACACCTGTAATCCCAGCACTTTCGGAGGCTGAGGTGGGCAGATTGTTTGAGGTCAGGAGTTCAAGACCAGCCTGACCAACATGGTGAAACCATGTCTCTACTAAAAATGCAAAAAAAAAAAAAAGGGGGCCATAAGTGGTGGTACACGCCTCTAATCCCAGCTACTTGGGAGGCTGAGTCACAAGAATTGCTTGAACCCAGGAGGTGAAGATTGCACCACTTTTCTCAAGTTAGTAGCCAAAAAGTTACTCATTTAGCCTCTCTTTAGTTTTTTACTCTAATAGGCTGTGTAATGACTTTCTCCTTTCCATTTACAATATTATGTTTTGTGTCCTTTTTTCTTTCCCTCTTCCTATACACCCTTCATCAAGTAGACACAAGTTTCAATTCAATTCTTTCTTGGGGGTAGTATGGCTCATGAGAAATGCAGACTCTTCTGGGTTTAAGGCCATTCGCCATTTTTATATGTAATACTGTGGAATGTATTGTGACATAATCCTCTGCTTCACAAACTGATCACTGTCAAACATCATCTCCCAAGCAATACAGAATTTTTCTGTTCCTCACTGGTATAATTCACATAGGAGTAGAAATCTCAAGTTTAAATTGTGGATTTGCACCTTACCACTTGCTGTATTCAAGAAGATGAATAATAGTAATACATCAGTAGGGCCAGGCACAGTGGCTCATGTTTGTAATCCCAGAACTTTGGGAGACCGAGGCGGGCAGATCACCAGAGGTCAGGAGTTCGAGACCAGCCTGACCAACATGGCAAAACTCCGTCTCTACTAAAAACACAAAATTTAGCTGGGTGTGATGGCACACGCCTGTAATCCCAGCTGCTTGGGAGGCTGAGGGAGGAGAATCGCTTGAACCTGGGAAACGGAGTGAGCCAAGATCATGCAACTGCACTCCAGCCTGGGTGACAGAGCAAGACTCCATCTCAACAACAACAACAAAAAAATCAGTAGCTTTGAATTTTTTTTATATTTATTTATTTATTTATTTATTTATTTATTTATTTATTTATTTTTGAGACAGAGTCTCGCTCTGTCACCCAGGCTGGAGTGCAGTGGCGCGATCTCGCTCATTGCAAGCCCTGCCTCCCGGGTTCATGCCATTCTCCTGCCTCAGCCTCCCAAGTAGCTGGGGCTACAGGTGCCCGCCAGCACGCCCAGCTAATTTTTTGTATTTTCAGTAGAGACGGGGTTTCACCGTGTTAGCCAGGATGGTCTTGATAGCTTTGAATTTTAAACATCTATTTGACAAGAAATTTACAGTTCCTTCTCTCTAAAATAATGTAATGATTCTCTCAGGAGTGAGCCTGGTTTGATGCCTCTCTCCCCAACACGATAGAAGTGTGGCACAAATCTTTGAAAAATTCAGTTTCCCCGTGGCAACAACAACTACCTGGGACTGAAAACTTCTTCTCTCGCTCTAGTCCTTTCTTCTACACCCACTTCCACCTCATCTGTGACTCATACAATACTTGTCAGGAAAGATTCTGGAAAAAGCAAAGAGACTTCCTTAGAGGTGTCAGAGATTCCTGTACCAGCATCTGTCCATCTCTAGAGGGGGTTGTAAGTATGAGGAAGAGCAGAGCTTGTCAATCTTCTACTTGCTTTCACTCCCACTGTATTTCCTAACAACAGCAACCACAGCAACAGCCATAACATCACAGGACAAACCTCTACTACTTCCAAGGCTTTTATTTCAGTAAATCTGCTCTACCTCTATCTCAGGCAGCTAGAAGTTTTGATACTCATACAAATACTACTGCAGCTTTCTGTTCATAATTGGAAAAGTAGACAAGACTCAGTGTAATGCAGGCATTCCTTATGCCAGTCAGCATTCAGTTTTTGGATCATCATTGCACACATATACACACCATGTGCCTAATATATATGTAAAAATCCATGAAGCAAGAGTCATAATAGCTAGCATTTGATACTGTATTGTATTTTCCTCTTATATCATCTTCTCCTTTTCGTCCTTAAAAAAAATCTGTTCAAGTCAGTCTAAATTAATTATTGGATGACAAGTAGATAAAATCTTTTATTTCATAACACATTGACCCAATGAATATGTTTCTTTGCAAGACATAGTCCTCACTTCCAAGATAACAAGCCTGACAAAATTATACTGGAGCAAGTCCACAAGTAATGATGGTAGCTTTTCCTTATTGTCAGTCCTGGGGCAAAAGTAAGACAAAAGATAACAAGGTAGAATAAAGATTATGTAAGAAAGAAGGACAGCAGCAGGACATGGGAAACTTCCATAGGGTAACATTTTGATAATGGATGATGAGAATTAATGCGTTAGACAGAGATGGGCGGGAATGATTGAAGGTCTGAGCATTTTAGTACAGATTAAGACCAAATCATTAGGATTTTAAGAGATGTGTACAGTTGGTGAAGAAAAAGCCCTAGAATTTAATTTGACTGTTGATAAAACATTCTTGGATTAGACTGAAGACTCTTTTCTGTGCTAAGTAAGTATATTTATGATAATGATGATGACTGTAGTGCTAAATATTTAATCAATAAAAACAAAATTAACTGCCGCATACATAATGTCCTGAATACTATTGTAAATGTTTTATCTTATTTTCTTTAAACTGTCTACAGCACTGTAAGGTAGGCACCAGTATTGTCACAGTTACACAGATATGGAAACTGAGACATAGGGAAGTTAAGTTACTTGATCAATTGCAAGCAATCGGCAAGCCATGGAGCATCTATGTCAGGGCTGCCAGGACATGTGACTGTAAACAGAAGTTTTTCACTTTTTAACTCAAAGAGGGTATGTGTCTGGGTTAATGGAAAGCTTCAGGACCCTCAGAAAACATTACTAACAAGCAAATGAAAGGTGTATCTGGAAGATTAAGTTCTAACAGACTCTTCATTTCCATCGATCCAATAATGCACTTAGGGAGATGACTGGGCATATTGAGGATAGGAAGACAGAAATGAAAACACAGCCTTTTATATTGTTCTTAACAGGCTTGTGCCAAACATCATCTGGGTGAATTTAGGTGATTGAGGAGAAGAAAGACATAGGAATGAAATTCTCTGAGCACAAGGGAGGAGTTCTACACTCAGACTGAGCCAACAGACTTTTCTGGCCTGACAACCAGGGCGGCGCAGGATGCTCAGTGCAGAGAGGAAGAAACAGGTGGTCTCTGCAGCTGGAAGCTCAGCTCCCACCCCAGCTGCTTTGCATGTCCCTCCCAGCTGCCCTACCTTCCAGAGCCCATATCAATGCCTGGGTCAGAGCTCTGGGGAGGAACTGCTCAGTTAGGACCCAGACGGAACCATGGAAGCCCCAGCGCAGCTTCTCTTCCTCCTGCTACTCTGGCTCCCAGGTGAGGGGAATATGAGGTGGTTTTGCACATCAGTGAAAACTCCTGCCACCTCTGCTCAGCAAGAAATATAATTAAAATTCAAAATAGATCAACAATTTTGGCTCTACTCAAAGACAGTGGGTTTGATTTTGATTACATGAGTGCATTTCTGTTTTATTTCCAATTTCAGATACCACCGGAGAAATTGTGTTGACACAGTCTCCAGCCACCCTGTCTTTGTCTCCAGGGGAAAGAGCCACCCTCTCCTGCAGGGCCAGTCAGAGTGTTAGCAGCTACTTAGCCTGGTACCAGCAGAAACCTGGCCAGGCTCCCAGGCTCCTCATCTATGATGCATCCAACAGGGCCACTGGCATCCCAGCCAGGTTCAGTGGCAGTGGGCCTGGGACAGACTTCACTCTCACCATCAGCAGCCTAGAGCCTGAAGATTTTGCAGTTTATTACTGTCAGCAGCGTAGCAACTGGCATCCCACAGTGATTCCACATGAAACAAAAACCCCAACAAGACCATCAGTGTTTACTAGATTATTATACCAGCTGCTTCCTTTACAGACAGCTAGTGGGGTGGCCACTCAGTGTTAGCATCTCAGCTCTATTTGGCCATTTTGGAGTTCAAGTTGTCAAGTCCAAAATTACTTATGTTAGTCCATTGCATCATACCATTTCAGTGTGGCTATTATGTTCAACTAAATGCATTTTAGAAGGCATCTCTGTTTATGGCATCACAAAGAGTTCAATAAATCTTCTGTGCAAAAATAAACAACAAACACACATTTAAATATAAAGCTGAAGTATCAAAACTATTTCAGCACTCTGAAAATTGGTGAAGTATAAAATAATTAAGGATGCATATTCTTTGTAGAAAAAAAAAGTACCAGTGCTTTGAGTAAGGACAGAAAATGTCTGTAGCCTTTTGCCTGTGACAGCAGCCTTCTACCCCCAGCTCAATCAGCATGAATTACAGAACTGGAGTTTTACCAATATGAGCGTAGCAAATAAAACTAGCAGCTTGCTGCCAAAGGGGGTGGACTTGAGTAAAGCCAAGGAGTGGAAAAAAATTCTTCAGTGTTTCCAGCTAAACATGCAGAACTCCATAGGAAATGAACAGAAAAATCTCACAGCTTTACAAGTCCAAGACAATGACCTGTTTGAGGCAAGTAGTACATCTGCTGATAGTAAATAGCAGATTCCTGGATAAGATAGGCCCATATTGCTGAAATAATCTCTGCACACATTCCTAGTGACCTAGAAGATATAGATATGAGTGATGAGAACAAGGAGTCTCCGGTGCAAAGTAAAACCAGAAGGAGGTAAGAACTAGCTGCATTTTGTATGCAGTTTGCTTTTTAAACTACACACAGATGGGTTGACAGAAGATAGATTTATAACCTCCAGATATTTGAGCAAAACGTCTCAAATCATTGGTGACCACATCACTATGCAGATACATGTGCAGTTCCTATAAATTCAAACTAAATATTAATATTAAGAATAAAAGGAAGCAGAGATATCAGTGGTCAAACACCACGTGAGATAGATTTTTCAATCTCATGCAATGAACATGCATTTAATACATCTAATCCACTTAACATTATAGCTCAGCCTATCCTATCCTAAATGTGCTGAAAACACTTACATTAGCTTACACTTGGGCAACATTATCTTACACAAAGCTTATCTTCCAATAAAGTGTTGAATACCTCATGTCATTTATTGAATACTATATTGAAAGAGAAAATAGAATAGTTGTATAAATACTAGAATTTCTATTTCTACTTGAATGCATATCACCTTCATACCATCTGAAAGTCAAAAAGTTATAACTCCAAGCATCATAAGTCAGGTACTATCAGTAAGTTCACCCAAGTAACTAAGAAGAAAATTAAAAAATGATCAGAAAAACAAAACAAATTCCAGGCCTGACATGGTGGCTCAAGCCTGTAATCCCAGTACTTTGGAGGCTGATGCAGAAGGATCACTGGATGCCAGGAGTTCGAGACCAGGCTGGGTGGGCAAAATATCTTACAATTTAAAAAAAAAAAATAGCAGAGAGTAATGGCATGCACCTATAGTCCCAGCTACCCAGGAGGATGAAGCTGGAGAACCACTGGACCCCAAGAGGTTGAGGCTGCAGCAAGCTATGATCACACCACCATACTCCAGCCTGGGTGAAAGAGTAAGACCCTATTTCTAAAAAAATAAATTAAAATTAAAAAACCCATAATCTAAAGAGAGGTACTGTATTATCAAAAATGTAAAATTGTCAGTTTAACAGCTCCTGGGAAAAAAATGAGAAGAATGACCAATATTAAAGGAACAAAAATAAAGCAACTACAATAATGACAACAGAAAATAGTCAACGAAAGCTGATTCTAACTTGCCGTAATTATCGGATTTAGTAAAGACTACAAAGATTTTCAAATAATTATTTTTAAAACTATGATCATTGACATAAAAAAGAAAATATTAAGAAGATTCGGCAAGTAGGGCCTCAAGAAAAGACATGGAAAATATAAAAAATGACCAAATTGGAACTCTAGAAATGAAAAGTAAAATAATCCAATTTAAATACGTATTAGCTAGGTATAATAACAATTTGAGATGGCAGAATAATCAGTTAACTTGAAAATAAAGGAATAGAACTTATTGAGTCTAAATAAAATGTTTAAAAAAAGGAGGAAGACGTCAGAGATTTATAGCTCAGAGTGAAGGATACCAACAAAAGTATAATGAGAGTCACAAAGGAGGAGAGACAGAGAAAGTGGCTGAAAAAAAAATCCTTGGAGAAATAATGACAAAAACTTTTCAAAAGTAATAAAAAATATTCTTAGATGAAAAAATTCAATAAAACCCTTTTAGATAATAGAAATTAATAACTGAACACATTATATTAAGATGTTGAAAGACAGAAAATCTTCACTGCATCAAGAATGAAAGGCCATTCGCCATTTTTAAATGTAGTACTGTGGAAAGTATTGTGACATAAGCCTCTGCTTCACAAACTGATCACTGTCAAACATCATCTCCCAACCAATACACAGAAACAACATATTGCTATTGGCTAAGTTTTCATTAGGACCAATAGAGATTAGAAGCAGTGAAATGACATATTTAGATGCTGAAAGGAGAAAAAAGTCTACTAGGAATTCTACATCCAGTGAAAATACCTTCACATCTAAAGAAAAAGCAAAAAAAAAATTTCTTTGATAAAAAAGTACATTCATTCATAACAGCTATGTCTTATAAGATATTTGAGAGAAAATCCTTCAGAATCCCAGGAAATGACATCAGACAGGACCTTGAGTCCACTGGAAGAAATGAAGGCCTCAAACATTGTAAGGAGCAATACCAAGGCTAAAAAGAGAAAAATACACTTAATGCTATTTATGTGAAGTTCAAGACAAGAAAACCTAAGTGATTGTGTTAGATGTCAGAATAACAGTTACTATGGCTGGGTGGGAGGGGCGAAAACTGACAAAGATTGTCCATGAGGGAAGCACAAGAGTATGTGAAATATTCTATCATTCCACCTGGACAATGAATTACACATAAACTTTATTCAGTTGCACATTCAAGATTTGTGCACTTTACCCTGGCTACTTTATCAATTGAAATAAAACTTAAAAAAAACAAACCTAGACTCTTTCCCACTTACCAGTAATCACAGCCAAGAGCCCAGACTAATTTGAAATATTATTATTATTATCAACACTTTTTTACCCTATCTTGACACTTACACTTCTTATTCAGCTACAGTTTCACAGCTCCACCTCTGGCCTATTCTTTTGGAAGACCCCATAGCCATAGGTCAGGTAACAAGTATAGAAGACGCATAAATGACAAGATTGATGAGTGTTTAGCAGAAAAAAACTTGTATGTATCACAGACTGTCCTATGCAGAGTGTACAATACATGTGAGTAGAGTCCCTCTAGCACAGAAAAGAAGTGTGAGCTAGACCTTCAGAATATGGTCCAGTTTTTAGAGTTCATCAGATCATCAGATGAACACAGATCAAGGTGTCCTCTCATCTGGGTATGAGAAAGTGAAATGACTGCAGGTTCCCACCAGATCAGTGGCCCATGGCTTTAGAGACATGTACATGAAACTCACATTTCTTCATATCCACAGTCACTTCCTGGCTTCAGCCATAGGAATGACGGCCTGGCTTTCCAGTTATTTAGGAACTCTGCACACAGGCTGTCAGTTACTAAAATGAAAATTAAAAACAATGACTTTGGTTAAATATGTATCAGTAGTTACATTCTGGAGGGAAAAATGAGCAGAGGGAATATATTTTAATACCAAATGAAAAGTCACAACCTTGTGACTCCTTTCTTTTCCCATATGATTCATTACGCTTGTGCTGAAACTTCAGACTATCAAATGAGCCCCATATGTTCATCCCTAAAGCTTTGTCCTTGTCCAACGTGAACCCACATTTGGGCCATCCACTGGCATCTGAGTACACTTGTGAGATGATCACTGTCCAGACAGGATTGCTGGGGCGACTCAACAGGCAGCTCCATGCTGAGTCTCCCCTTGAACTCCCAGCATCACTGACCCTGAAGGAGTGTCCCCCTGTCCTCCACAGCACCCAGAGCACAGCCTGCCCTGCCATGATTTCACTGCCCAACTCAAAACCTCATCATAGATTCCACCGGCTCAGAGACAAAGTCAGGTCCCAGGCAGAGGCAGGTATGGGGGCCTAAGAGAAACCATTTTTTCATCAATTTTCCTATTAGGAATTCCCAGGAATTTATAAGCTGAATTTCTGTACATAGTTACCATCTTAAAAAATAAAAGCTATTTGTATTGTGAGAAACATGAAACATGGAAAATAATTAAATCTCACAAGAGCACCATCTAGTCAGAGACTCCAAATTCAACTAATCCAATTCTGAGCTCCCTGCCTTATGGTCCATCTCCATGGTGTCTGTGTGCTCCACCCTTATCAAATATATGTTCAAATAATTATTTTAACCTATAATAAAAGACTTAAAAAGGAATTTGTAAAGACAATGATTCAACAAATAGAGGCTCTCAAAAAGAGACAAAACTATGAAAACAGACCTACTGGGAATCCGAAAAATGAAAGGTACAACAACTCAATTGAAAAATGTATTAGATAGACTCAACAGCAATTTAACATGACACGAGAGTCAGTGATCTGAAAAAGAAGTCAATAGAAATGACCTCATATAAAGAAGGGAAAAATTATAAAGAAGAATGAATAAAACCTCAGACATTATAGGTCCCTGTGAACAATACCAACAAATTTGTATTAGGAATCACAAAGGAGAAGACAGGAAGAGGCTAAAAACTGTGTTCTCATCTTTACGCCCATGTGTACCCCATGTTTAGCTCCCGCTTATAAGTGAGAACATGTGGTATTTGTTTTTTTGTTTCTGCATTAGTTCACTTAGGAAAATGACTTCCAGCTGCATCCAAGTTTCTGCAGGACCATGATTTTCTTCTTATTTATGGCTGCATAGGATTCCATGGTGTATCTATACACAGTTTTTTTTTTTATCCAATCCACGGTTGATGGGCACAATAGACACTGGGAACTACTAGAGGGGAGACAAAGGGAGGAAGGGCAGAGGCTGAAAAAATACCTATGGGGTACAGTGCTCACTACCTGTTTAATAAGTTCAGTCATACCCCAAATCCCAGCATCATGCAAAATAACTTTGTAACATATCTGTACATGTATGCTCTGATTTTAAAATAAAAATTGAAAAAGAAAAAAATGGAGAAATAATGAAAAACATTTTTCACAGTGATGAAACACCTTAATCTATACATGAAAGAAACTCAGTGAAACCCTTTTAGTATAAGCACAGTACAATTCATAACTATACACATTATAGTACCAGTGTTGAAAGACAAAGACCCAGAGAATTTGAAATGCATCACTAAAATACCGACTTACTTTATACTAAGAAGCAATATTAAAATCATTGGCTAAATTTTCATCATTACAAATGGAGGTGAGAAGACAGTGGAATGATATTTTTAAATACTGAGGGAGAAAAGTCAGCCACAAATTCTATATCCAGAAAAACAATCATTTAAATATAAAAGCAAGGTAGAAATATTCCTTCATACACAAAGATTAATTCATTAATAGCATATATGCCTTGTAAGAGATTCAAGAGAAAATTCTTCAGAATAACAGAAAATGACAGCAGACAGCAACTCAAATTGACAAGAAGGAATCAAGGCCTCAAAAAATGAAAAAAATTGGAAAGAAGCTACAAAAAATGTTTACTTTACCTGATATAAAGTTTAAGTCCATGAATAAAACAATTATAATATATGTCAGAATATCATTTACATTGATTGTGTTTTGAGCAGCAGTTTTTGACTGGGAAGGTGCATAATGAAAGCAGCGAGAGAATTGGAAACCTTCTGTATTTTGATGTGGATCATGACATGAAATGATCTGGATCTTGACATTCATTTGCACCCTTAAGAGTTGCACCCTTTGCACTGTGTGTTTTACCTTAGATAAAATAAAATAAAATAAAATAAAATAAACAAACCTAGACTCTTTTAAATAAACCTAAACAAAGAAATAAGAATCATCAAATATTTATGAAAGATCAAGCTTATTAAAAAGAAACATAAAACATGCCCGAGAAAGTCCTAAAGAACTAGAAGTCTAGTAGAGGAAACAGCAGGAAAATCTAAATACGTCCCTTCTGCCACTCAGGCAACACAGATTTTACCTCTATTGATTTCCTTAAAAACATAAAATATATTTATGTCGTTTTGCTCACAAGAGACGCCCCCACCTTCTCCTTGGCTCTTTCCACCCCACTGCACCCACCAGGGGATTTGCATACTGTCCCCTAGGGAGGACTTTCCTTGTGAGTCTGAGATAAAAGCTCAGCTCTACCCTTGCCTTGACTGATCAGGACTCCTCAGTTCACCTTCTCACAGTGAGGCTCCCTGCTCAGCTCCTGGGGCTGCTAATGCTCTGGGTCCCTGGTAAGGGCAGAAGGGAAATGAGGGAGGATGATGGGGTGGGAGGGTGAACTCTGTGGATCCCGCCACCTCCCATGTGTGTCCTGTCCTCGTGTTAGATGTGTCTTGTCCTCCAGGATGGGGCATATGATGTCTAGATCTGTGAGAGTGAGGAAGATTCCAGAAGGAGCAAGGACATGTACTTTAGTGAAAGCTGTGACACAGAAAGAGGGGGATGGGATAGGTGACTTCTAGAGGCCGGCTTTGCCTTGCAAATATTGGTTCTTTTTAAACCTGTATGTTTTGGGAGGATTAATCAAAATCACACACACAAAAATAATTGAGCAAAACATAAATAACAGACAGAAAATGATTAAAATGACTCACAATGTTTGCACATAACCTTGCACTTCTCTCTCATTATTTCATGATCCAATGGAGATGCTGCGAAGACCCAACCTCCACTCTCCCTGCCCATCACCCCTGGAGAGCCAGCCTCCATCTCCTGCAGGTCTAGTCACAGCCCCCTTCACAGTAATGGATACATCTATTTCAATTGGTACCTACAGAAGCCAGGCCAGCCTCCTTGGCTCCCAATCTATTTAGTTTCCAATCACGACCCTGGAGTCCCAGACAAGTTCAGTGGCAGTGGGTCGGGGACAGATTTCATGCTAAAATCAGGAGGATGGATGCTGAGGATGTTGGGGTTTATTGCTGCCAGCAAAGTACACATTATCCTCCCACAATGGTAGAGTCTTGAACACAAACCTCCCCACTTGCTGTGGCCTAGCTGCCCAGATGTGCTGTTTCTGTGGAGAGCAGGCACTGTGGATTCTCTTAGATGCCTAAAGAAGAAGATGTTGGAGAACTCAGAGGGCTTGGTGCAGCTGAGGGCTCATGACCATAAATTTCTCGGCTACACCTCAGGCATCACATTTTAAGGTCCCGTCAGCTGCAGCAGCCTTTGCATGACAGAGTCTGCAGTATGGAGGAGGTCCACGTGCCCTCTGAGCAATGAGACACAAGAGAAGAGAAGGCTCAATGAGAGCTCATTCTAATCCTCTCTTCCTTCCCTACGTTCATTCATCAACTAAATTCATTCTGCATAACAGGCACCTAATTGAGACTGATTACTGGCAACACAAAGCTAACACATTCTTTTGATTTGGTTTAGCAGTTACCAGAGTACATGTACATTGATAAGATTTGGTGATATTAAATCAGTTTCCCTCCCCTCCTCCACCTCCCCCCCTCTACTTTTTGTAAGGCAGACCCTTGACCAGAACACCAGCAAGCACTGTATTTTATCCTACTTTTTTCAGGGAGAACCCAAATAAAACTCTTCACAGTCTAGATTTTTTAATTACTAGATATGTTGTGGCAAATGTATGCAAAAATAAAGACCTAGTTGCTAAAGTGTTTGCACAGTCTCACTCACAGCATATTGAAGTACAAAAGTAGCTTTCTGAACTCCAAAGCTGGGTTTCAAAAATAAGGACAAAGTTCGAAAGAATAAAGGAACATATGTATGTTACTTAAACAGAATTTGAATGAATACAAGATAATATATAAGCTAACTTTTTACCCCATGAAAAATTACAATGTGAAGACTTTGAGCAGAGAGCAGCAAGTGAGAGACTGCTGGGTTGTGTTTGAGATATGAACCCAGATGGAAGTTCTCACGTATTTCCTGGGAAGAATCACAGAGTTGAGAAGCACCTGCCTGGCTTTCAAGGCAGTAACAATCTCAACAGAGTCATGTTATCAAATGGAAATGGCACATTCTTGATCAGGCTTAGTCAGGACCCCACAGGATCTGTGGCTCCATGAACAAATGGAGAGGTTGTTGAAGGGACCAAATGACTTGTAGGTGATAATTTGGATTTTCATTTACCCATGTCGAGCCCAAGATTCAGAGATTTCCATACGGCAGGAGTCACTGATGGCTGAGGAAAACACAAACTGACAGGTCCACTAGGTGTGGCCACCATTCAGCCAATGGATGGCCACTTTTTTAACTGAAACTTAGCATGGGATTTCAACCCAGTGGGTCAAACTACATTCAGTGGTGATGGCCATGCAGGCTGTTCCAACATCGTACCATGCCACATTTCCACTAAATCATGGGCCATTGCCAACAGCCTCAACATCTGTTCAGGAAAATGGCAACTGAGAGACTGGAGTTTTAAAGAATCCCTGGTGTGGAGGAAAGGACTATGGCCACAGCTTTCCACCTGCAGGAAAAAGAGATACGATGCTCAATTGGATGCCGGGACTACCAAGGTCACCCTTGAGAGGAACTTATGTTATATTTTTGGATACCCAATGACACTTCACACTGACCAAGGAGCATCTTTCACTGCCCAAGCAACATGACAGTAGGCACACTCTCATGGAACACGATGAACTTTCCATGCACCCTGCATCCACAGGCCAATGAATCTAGTGAATGCTAGAACAATGGACTCACACAGCAACATCTAGAAAGGACATCTAGAAAGTCTGCTAATGGGGTGGTACCCCATCTTACTAGAGCAATATGGGCATTAAATATCGCACTCCAGAACAAGGGAAATAATGAATGTTAAGGAACATAATGCTGAGTGGAAGCGAAGGTAGACCAGGCAGTTCCTTTATTAGTCTGGACCTGTGAAAGCTATTTCAGTGTTCCTAACCATTCTTTTTCTTTTTTTCCTTTAGAATGCATGCCCTGGGGTGATTTTCAATTCAGGCCATCATCTTACCCCAGACAGGCCCCCTAACTCTAATATGGGGATTATGTTTCCTCTAAATGCCTCTTTTCTACAAGATCCCACAGGATGGATGACAAGACTAAGAAATATCAGGGAGCTAGGGGCCCTCTTCTGGTGCCAGGGCCATCTTATCCTTCCTTTAGTGTTGGCGATATTATGAAATATGTCAAGTTTTTACAGGGCATAATCTCCCTTCCTGCAGTGGACAATCAGGACTGAAATGTCTGGGTCAAGTGACAAAGGAAATGGATTGTTCACAGAGCAAGGACAGCCAGGCCGCATTCTTACACCAACACAGCCTAACCCTTGTAGATGGGTAGGAGACACCTGAGACCCTGGGATGGGTGAGAGATGATGCACTAACCTGTCACACTGCATTTTGGCAAGAATGAGTCAGCAAAGGCCTAGAAGCATAACATCTTTGTTAGCTTCTTGCAAGTCACCGAGTGTAATCTTTCAAAATACTGAATCTGCCATTCTTGACCTCATTCTGTCACTAACTAGAGGTTTCCTTTCACTCTACCGAAGGTAAATGGCGCCAACATTCCTGATACCATGATGTACATCAACAGGACCCGAGCACTGGCCTACCAACTGAGGATGTGACACCTACCACATGGGAGAAAACTGGAGGCCCCCCGTTTAACTAAATTGACTCTGTGGCAAATGTCATGATCACAACTAAAAAAAACATTGGTGGACTGATATTTTGATGCACCATATTTCTTTGATTGCATAGATAAGAAATGTCCCAATGGCAAAGACAAAAACAAGGAGAGGACTAATGCTACCCTCTGTCTATGAACAATATTGTCTGAGAAAAACTTTGCTCCTTCAACTCTGCCATCAGTGAGACTTGGCTAATGAACACACCAATACCTGCATAACCATGACTGGGTGATTAAACAATAAAATGGGAGAAAAGGGGCTGTATGCACCCAAGGGCTACATATTTCTCTGTGAATGGTCTGGGAGTGAACAAAATGCAGGATGTGTGATGCCATCTCTGGATAACTGTGGGATGGTGAGATTCTGCATGTTGGGCATGCTGGGGTTGTCTCTGGATATTACTCCTTGGAATTAGGTGAACCATTGAGCCTGCAGCCCAAAGCTGTACCTCAGACTTACTAGGGACCTGCCAGAAGGTATAACAGATTATGGGTTTATGTCTTTTGTGATATTTTTGGTACTATGTATAGGAGTCAGTGCTCATGTAAAAAAGAGAAATGATAAGAAACGTGTCCCTGACCATGGCAGATATTGCTCCTCCTCCATAGCCACTGCCTTGGTAGCCCAGCAGACATCCGTTAACTCCATCGGGATGGATGTTTTAGATAACAGTGTTGCTCTAGACTTTTTTAAAATCCCAACTGGGAGGATTGTATACAATTTCCAACACTTCCTGTTGTATCTGGACAAACACCTCAAGTATCCTAGAAATTCAAGTAGAGGAGATCTGGAAACAGGCTCGTAATTGAAGAAAATGGGCCCACCTGAAGGATTCTTCTTTCACCCCTTTAGCAACTTCTTCTGTGGATCATGGGATCCTGGGCTACATAACTGCCTCAGTTGGGCCTGATCATCCTGCCTCTGGTAGTAGTTTTCATTGGCCCAGTGAAATCTATTCTGGCTCTGGCTCAATGATGTTGCTTTGACATTGTGTTCGTCAAGGGGCTTCATCAGTCAAACAAGACACACCTCTGCCACCAGTTCAGGGTTATTAGTAGGCATATAAAATGGAATGGCTTTCTAATGGGGGTGTCTGGGTTGGGGGTGACTCCAGTACAGTCCTCTAATGGTTCTCGACTCAGTTAGTTCTCCCCACTCTCTTTCTTACACTTCTCAAGAACAACTGTAGGATGTGCTGGAAATGTAACATTCTGAAATAGGGAGAGACTGGTCAGAAGAGCCTGCCCCTGTTCCAGCTTCTCCTAGTACTGTCCTCCAGTACTTTAGTCCTCCAGTACTTTAGCTCCATGTGTCCTGTGACACCAGGATTAAAAACCCAGAGCATCTTCTTTCTGGGGTTGCTGAGTTATGGTCCAAGTGGGGTACACACGGTCAAGGTTCCATCAGACCCACATGCCTGTGCCTAAGGGGACAGACCCACAATACATCCTAGGCTTCTGCAGTCCCTTGCTGGCCACCTATAAATACTACACCAGATTCTTGTAACTTGTTGTGTATGATTGTTCTGTCTCCCTGGACTCTGATAAGTTGGTAACCAGGGCACAGTGAACCTGCTTCAGAGTAGTCACTGTCATAGAGACAGAACTTGAATGAAGGTTGCCAGGAACTGGAAGCAGGGGAAATGGGGAGAGGGTTATCATTTAATTGAAATAGAGTTTCAGTTTTAGAAGATGGAAAGAGTTCTGGAGATTGCTATTATTGATGATAGCACAACAATGTGACTTACTTAATGCCATTGCCCTGTACACTTAAAAATGGCTAAGATGGGCAATGTTATGTTCTCTATATTTACCATAGTTGAAAAACTTAGCATTTTTATTATGATATTGATGGATTATAAGACATCATTCTATTTTCTAGTTTTCTGAGCAAATGTTAATAAATAATCTCTTATAGATGTCATTGTTCACACCACATCTTACCAAACATTCTTTTTTTTCTACAGACGGGGGGATCTCCCTATGTTTTCCAGGCTGGTCTTGGACTCCTGGCTTTCAGCTGTCCTCCATCCTTGACTTCGCAAACATCTAGGATAATGGGCATAAGCCCCTGCACCTTGCCTTAACTAACAATTTATCAGCTTTAACAGGGAACTTCCTTGAAAATGTATATTCCATTGCAGGCGCCTCTAAGGCCAGACAATCTCCTAAGCCATATTTCTGTACCCAAGTGCACTGCTCCCTCTGTGATGTCACATGCCCTCAGAATGAAGTCCCATAAGGAGAACAAGGCAAGGAGGCCACCAAATGATCTGAGTGGAAATTGTTGTGAAGGCCTGGCATTAAAAGAGCATCAGTGTTGCAGTTTTTCTTGACTAGCAAAACACTCTCTGACTTATTTTCCTGGATGTTTTTTTTTTTCCTTAAACTTTTCCTAATATTGAATACTAGGGTTGAGATGAGAACCTTTCTATCCTAAGTCTAGTTAAACACTATTTCATTGAAGACATATTGCCTTATGGAGTACGATAATAATAAATGTTGAAAACACTTATTACTACTCCCAACACACCTTGTATATATCCTGTTACCATCTTAAATATTATGGCTTGATAAAATTATTTGAAAAGGAGCTTGGATGGCATTGATTCTATTCTCAATATCCTGAAACACATCAACCACCAAAATTGACAAGAAAATAGTCAGAAAAACATAGCTTAATAATCACTAGCTATTCTGGTTACTGTTGAGTGACAATTAGGTGAAATCTTAAAAAAAAAATCAAAACAGCAGTTGGAGGGTGTGGAGCTATAATAAGTTATTGGTGGACATGTAAAATGTTTCAGCCACTTTGGAAAAAGTTGAACAGAGTATTAAACACTTACTGTAAGACCCAGCAACTACACACCTAGGTATTAGCCCAAAAGAAATAAAGAGATATGTTCATACAAAGTCTTGTTCAAGAACATTCATAGCAGCTTTATCCGTAATAGCCCAAAGTGGAAACAACTTACATGGCAATCAACAGGTGAAAGGATCCATTATAAAATTACCAAACAGTTAAATAACACTCAAAAATAAAAAGGAGCACATAACTGGAACACATGACATCTCAATGAATCTGAGAAGCAGTTATGCTACACAAAATTCACCAGATGCAAAAGAGCACATGCTATATTTCATTTACATGAAACCCTTAAAAAGAAATTGGAATCTGCACTGACAATAAGCAGATCAAGAATTCCCTGATCTGTGTGGTGGAAAGCAAGTGGATTCCAAAAGAGTGGGTCAAACTTTTGGGAGTTATAGAAATGTTCTATGTCTGGATTTTGGAGGTGGTTCTACAGATGTATTTATTTGTGACAGTTCATTGACAGTGTATTTTATTGTAATTATTTTTTTTCAGTAAACTTAGTTAACAGGGAACAAAGTAAGTGCAAGACCAATTGGGTAATGTTGTCTTTGCATCTTCTATCTGTAGTGTACTGAAAATTGTATGAGCCAGAATATCTGAGAGAAAATCTCAGCTCTGAAACAAGAACTGTGTAGCTCTTGGCAAGATCTCTCTTTTCTAAGGAGTTTGGATTTTTCTTCTATAGAATGAGAATTTAAATACCCTTCATAGATTAAATCAAAATGGTAGGCTTTTAATACACATTCATTATTCATTTCAACTAAAAGTCTAAGCAAAACAAAAAGTCATACAAAAATAAAAATAATATTTAAATAAGATGAAATATTCTTTTAAAAGTTAGGAAAATGGAACTGTCACATCTTCTGTTTCTTATCAGTTTTTTAGAACTTGTAATTACATATCAAGTGTTCTTAGCATAAAAACTGTAATACACTTAACCATGTGTGCTCACAAACGTATAGATATAAAAATGATTATATTTTCCTTCTTTCCCTATTTTTCAGAATATTTGTGTTTATGCTCACAAGAGATACCAGCATTTAATTTCTCCGTTTGTTAGGTCCTTGTTTATTTTTGGACTGGAGTATATGGTGATCTCATATGATAAGTTTGGGAGTATTTATTCTTTTTGAATCTCTTGAAAATTTGTGTAATTTTGATAAGGTATCAAGACACCAGTCAGGCAGATATAAAATTGGAAATTTCGTTCTGGGTAATTTATAATACAAATTTATTGTTACTTCTGTCAAGCTAGTTGCCATAAAAATACTCAGAATATCCATCTTTTGTATTTTTATCATCATAGGCTCTGCAATGATTTTCCCCTTTCCATTTATAGTGCTGTGTTTTGGGGCTTTATTCTTTTTACTTCCCTTTTCATCAACTTGAACCAGGCTTTGATTCTTTCTGGGAGGGCATATGTGGCACATGAGAAATGCTGGCTCTTGTGGATATGAGATCACTCACTGTTTTTGTATGTAATACTGTGGAAAGTGCTGTGACATAAACCTCTTCTTCACGAAATTGATTACTGTTCAAACATTCTTCCCCAACCAATATGGAATTTGCTGTGTTTTTAATGGTATAATTCACATAGGCATACAAACCCTGAATTGAAATAGTGGATGTGCCCTCTACCACCTGGTATATTTAAAGAAGTTAAATAATATTAACACGTAATGAGTAGCTTTGAATTTTAAAAATCTATTTGGCAAGGAATTCACAGTTCCTTCCATCTAAAATAACCTAATGATTCTTCCAGAAGTGATCCTGGTTTGATGCTTCTCTCCCCGTGGTGACAGAGGTTTGGCACATCATCACACTTATAAAGCCCCCCATTTACCTGTCTACAACCACTGTGCAGGCATGAACATTATTTTCCCTTGCTCTAGTCCTTTTTCTACACCCTAGTTTCACATAATTTGAGGCTCAAAACATTTCTCAGGTAAGATTCTGGATTGAGCTAACAAGATTTCTCCAGAGGTGTCAGAGATTCCTGTACAATCATTGATGCGTCTCTAGAGGGAGTTGTAAGTATGAGGAAGAGAAGAGCTTGTAAATCTTCAAGCTGCTTTTACTCCCACTGTACTAACAACAACTACTACAATCACAACATCCACAACAGCACAGGACGAGCTTCTACAGCTTCCAATGCATCTATCTCAGTAAATCTCCTCTACCTCTATCTCATGCTGCTAGAATTTTTGAGAGTCATGCAAGTACTGCTGTACCCTTTAGTTCATAATTTGAAAAGAAGGAAGCCTCAGTGCAACATAGGCAGTCCTTAAACCAGTCACCCTTTAGTTTCTGGATCATCATTATACACATAAACACAGCATGTATCATAAATATATATATATATATATATATATATGCACACACACACACACACACACACACACACACACACACACACATATATCCACGAGGCAATACTTACCACAGTCTGTGTTTTCTGTGGTATTATATTTTCCTCTTTTTCTCTTATTCTGGTTTTTTCCTTAAAAAACCTCCAACTAACTTAAGCAAATTAACAAGCAAAAAAAAAACTATTTTAAAAAGTGGACAAAGTATATGACCAAACACTTTTCAAAAAAGCATATAAACGGCCAAAAAGCATATGAAAAAGTGCTCAAAATCACTAATTATTAAAAAAATGCAAATCAAAACCACAGTGAGATACCATCTTACACCAGTTAAAATGGCCATTATTAAAAACTTAAAAATGACAGATGCTAGTGAGTTTATGGAGAAAAGAGAATGCTTATACACTGCTGGTGGGAATATAAATCAGTTCAGCCATTATAAGAAGCAGTTTGGCAATTTTGCAAAGAACTTAAAACAGAAATATCATTTGACCCAGCAATCTCTTTATTGGATATATACTCTAAGGAATATAAATCATTTTACCATAAAGACACATGCATGTGTATGTTCATCACTGCACTATTCCTAATAGCAAAGACATGGAAGCAACCTAAATGCCCATCAGTTGTAGATTGGATAAAGAAAATGTGGTACATATGCAACATGGAATGCTTAATATACAGCTATGAAAAATGAGATCATGTCTTTTGCAACACTGTGGATGGTGCTGGAGGCCATTATCCTAAGCAAACTAACACAAAGATTCAAGTTTATGCTAATCAAGGCTCCTATAGTAGAAGAAAAAAAATTGTTTTAAAGTAATCAGATTTAGCATTGCTAGTCAGACTTTTATGCTGATGGACCGTGGGAAATAATTCACAATGACAGAAAAGGGGGTAGAATATGGGGGTCCCCAAACAGAGCATAAAATGAATCCCATTAAAACTCAAGCATTAAAGAGACTTATAGCTCTGGACAATGCAGGAACTGTGGATGTCATATGCTTTAAGGAATCACAAAATCATCCTCTTTGTCAATCTGCAGTAAACCTCTTCAGCTTAGACTGGTAATAACATTGGTTTAGGGCCATTACAAAATGCTTTTGAGAACATTTTACTTGCTCATGACTAAGTGTTCTTTTTTACTTAAAAAAAGATCAATTTCATGCTTACAAAAATGTAGTATGTATGTCACAAAGTATCGCTCCCAACTGGAACAATTTCACAGTGTGTTGAAGACCTGATAGCCCCACTCTCTAAGACTTTATTAAGCACTCTCTACAAACAAGGATATTCTCCTACTTATTCCCAATACAGCATTGAAATATATTATTCCATCTAGTTCTCACAACCACTTCGAGTTTTGCCAATAAATGCTCAAAAATGTACTTGGTAACAAAATATCCTTTAGGAAGAAACATTCTCTGCAGGCAAATCTAGGTGCCCTGGTCTGACCTGGGACACTGGGGACACTGCCCCTGTGCTGAGTTACTGAGATGAGCCAGCCACGCAGCTGTATCCAGCCTGCCCCACCCCCTGCCGTTTTGCTTGTTCCCAGAGCACCACCCCCTGCCCTAAAGACTTCTTAATAGGCTGGTCACACCTGTGCAGGAGTCAGTCCCAGTCAGGACACAGCATGGACATGAGGGTCCCCGCTCAGCTCCTGGGGCTCCTGCTGCTCTGGCTCCCAGGTAAGGAAGGAGAACACTAGGAATTTTCTTAGCCCACTGTGCTCTGGCACTTCTGGGAAGTTCTCTTATACCATGATTCATGGTGTGGATATTTGTTTTTATGTTTCCAATCTCAGGTGTCAGATTTGACATCCAGATGACCCAGTCTCCATCTTTCCTGTCTGCATCTGTAGGAGACAGAGTCAGTATCATTTGCTGGGCAAGTGAGGGCATTAGCAGTAATTTAGCCTGGTATCTGCAGAAACCAGGGAAATCCCCTAAGCTCTTCCTCTATGATGCAAAAGATTTGCACCCTGGGGTCTCATCGAGGTTCAGTGGCAGGGGATCTGGGACGGATTTCACTCTCACCATCATCAGCCTGAAGCCTGAAGATTTTGCAGCTTATTACTGTAAACAGGACTTCAGTTACCCTCCCACAGGGTTACAAGCCTGAACATAAGCCCCTTAGTGAAACAAATGTATGAAGTTGGGTTGCACAGAGGCTCCACCTGGTGCCTCCATCTGCTGAAAGCATTTCTCAGATGTATACAAGTTTTTAAGCTTTTGGCACAAGGGATCAGGGAGTCTCCCCTGTTTTCTAACTCTCTTTCTTCATCCTCAGTCCCAGGAGCACAGACATGACAACGTCTCCCTGATTTAGTAATGATAGCAATTATGATACCTGAGGAATCTGTGTTGTTGCATCAGTCAGGGTTCATACATCAAAATAGAAACCACTCTACAGATTTCAAGAAGGAATTGTTTTAAAACAGGGAATTAGAGTCAAACATCCATACCTGGGGGTGTGGTAAACAGAGAAGCTGATACTAGAAATACGGGACTCTCTGGTGGTCCACCAGAAGCCTGAACGCATCTGACCCTGAATGTATGGGCTGCTTAAACATGTGGTCCTCTGCCCTGTCTAGGAAGTAGAGATGTTAGGGTGCTGATTCTCTTAGCTGCCTGTAGCACGTCACTCGGTGATTCTCCAGTCCTCACCTCAGTCCATGTGTCTACCTGCAGGTGTCAATGAATATTGAATCATCCTCCTCTGACTCTTACGTATGACATGAGGGCCCATTATTGAGCAACTCTACAAGAAACCATAGTGGGAAAAGGGTTTTTGTGAAATGTGTTTCCAGAAATGATGGTGATAATGAGGAATGGAGAGCTGACAACCAATTAAGGTCAATATTTCCCCAAATCTCAGAATTTTCCAGATTTGGGATGACCCAAGAATATCCTTGCATGTGCTTCCACGTCTTATTAGCAAGTTTGGGATTATTGCAAGAAAACTTCCTGTGTCATAAAGTAAACAGAAAAAGGAGAAAATTGTTTAGAATACCTAGCAATTCTTTGACAAAAAAATGAAACACTTTCTTGATAAAACAACCAAGACACCTAATTGTTCACAAAGTATATTTTTTCCTTAATGTGAAAACACTTTGCTAATCAAAATTTGTCCAGCTGCCAACTCAACTGCCTCCTCAGCATCACAATGAGCATGTTATGAATGCAAACTAACAAATGCATCTTGTACCTATTGTGTTACAATCTGCATTTTAACAAGTGTAGGGGTAATCTACTGAAATTTTCAGGAGCTATGTTCTAGAGGATTTTACCTCAGCTCAAAATGTATATTTTTTACAGAGGCCATTTATATTAAAACCACATGTTAAAGGCACACTCAGCTTTAATTCTAATTAGTGCAAAATTTCTTTCAAAGGCATTTTTAAGATTGTAAAAGTTAAAAAAAATTATTTTTTATCAATAGATCAAATACCTTGATAATTAAATGCAGTAAATGTTTTTAGAAACTTTAGTATTTACCAAAGGGAAAGAACAAATTAAAACTGTGTGTACCTGGGTTAGAGATTATTGTCCTTATAATAATTATTAGACTTAAGCTGAAAAGGCAAATAATGTAAGTCCAATAATTGGATTTAAATTATTTTCCTATTCAGTTTGGTTTGGGGATTGTATTCACTCCTGCTGCTTGCCACAGGCATGTTGTACCTTGGTTAGACCCTGCCTGGGTCCCAGATCAAACCCTATTCAAGTGCTGGTGATAATCTCAGTGCCTTGCAGCAGAACCACCCTTCTAAGCCCTTCCTTGATCAACCAGATGATTGTTATCATGAACAGGAAAATAAATGCTTAGTGTTATTAGCCACCGAGTTTTGAGTGGTTATATACCATATGTACATTTTTTTAATGACACAAATTACCATCATTATACACAAATATTATTTAGTTTCAGTTTCTTCTTAATATTTTTCTAAATGGATTACCAACTATTCATATCTATACCATCAATTTTTATAAAATGAATCTATCTGTATGGTTAGAAATGTAAATATTATATTGGTCAGGTTTTGCCCAGGTGATCAGGTCAGAAAAGGCTGTTAGCTCAGCCTGAGTTTAGAATTTCTGTCCTTGGTCACAGAATTTAATGCCTGTGTTCTCCTGTCTCGCCAGTCATCTGGAGTCACTGAGATGGTGTTTGGAAAAGGACTGTTAGGAACAAAATAGAAAACTGTGGCCCCATCTCTCTCTTTCTACCCAAAATGTGCCTAGTTGTCTCTCTTGGTGCATGATTGTGAGAGTATAAGGAAGAGATACAGTTGTGGCAGGAAAAAGACATTGTTCTCAGGATCCCAATGGGCCTCACATGTCCAGGAATGTTTCCACTCCAACCTTCTTGCCTCCCTTAACATAGCTGATTCCAGTTCCATACCAAAAAGCTGTCCTCTCCCAACTTAGTGGACTAGGCCAAAATCCTATCCATAAAAAGAAGAGCTCAACCATTTATCTCCTTTGGTGATGTCTCTCAAGGTTTTATTTTATTTTTTTCTTGAGACAGAGTCTCACTCTGTCACCCACGATGGGATGCAATGGCACAATGTCCGCTCACTGCAGCCTCTGCCTCCCAGGTTCAAGTGATTCTCCTACCTCAACCTCCTGAGTAGCTAGGACTTCAGGCACACACCACCATGCCTGGCTATTTTTTGTATATTTAGTAAAGATGGTGTATCACCATGTTGGCCAGGCTGGTCTCAAACTCCTAACCTCAAGCAATCCATCCTCCTTGGCCTCCCAAATTGCTGGGGTTACAGGTGTGAGCTACTGCCCCTGGCCTCTCAAGGTTTCTAAAGTGGAACTCTAACGTTCCTGATAAGAACCTGGTCATCTTGCAAGATTGCTGCAAGATCTGGCATTGCTCCAAAGAACCAAATGAGATCTAGCTGGCTGAAGACGAGATGGTCTCCAGCACTGACCTTTCACTGATTTTTCCTCATTATAATCTCATTGTAATACTAAAATATCCACCAAAGGCAGAGCTTATTCTCCATTTCCTGATCATGTTATATATGTTAGAGCATGACGCTCCACTGCACAAATGCAAAGAAAACTTTGCCTAAACATGCTTGTATGTCATTCCTTTTCCCCCTCAGCTTCCTTAAAATGGTAAGAGCTGGGCACTTCAGGGCATTGCCACTGGGATCTCTTACCCATAGGCTGCTCCCTTGCTTTGCTCATGCCACAAACCTATTAAACCTTGCCTGAGAAAATTTCTGTTGTGGTCTGGTGTTAATTTCTATTTACAAAAGGGGCAAGGGGCCAGGTGCAATGGCTCACTCCTGTAGTCCCTGCACTTTGGGAGACTGAGGCGGTGGGTCACCTGATGTCAGGAGTTTGAAATCAGCCTGACCAACATGGTGAAAGCCTGTCTCTACTAAATATGCAAAATTAGCTGGACGTGGTGGTGAGCACCTGCAATCCCAGCTACTCAGGAGGCTGAGGTAGCAGAATCACTTGAACCCAGGAAGTGAAGGTTGCAGTGAGCTGAGACCTCACCACTGCACTCCAGCCTGGGCAACAGGAGCAAAACTCTATCTCAAAATAAATAAATAAATAAATAAATAAATAAATAAATAAATAAAAGAAAAAACAAAATTGGGATCAAGAACTTGGGGTCCCAGCAGCAGCAAAAATTGCATCAGGTGGGAATGAAGAGCTGATTAGAATTTTCTTCCAAAAATGCCTTTTGCTTGATGCTTAGTGATTTTTACCAAGGGTCCTGAAGCTGCCTCAAAAAGTAACACTCAATTAACTCCAGCACTGCAGGTGCAAAGGTGACCACAGCTGCATGGATAAGCAGGACCCAGGCTCTGACCCTCAGGGTACCGATACAATTGCCTTGAAGACAGATGATGATGCGATCCAGGAAGGCAGGGGACAATTCCTTGGCTGATTCTCTAATCTCCACACCACTCATTCTACACAGCACATCTATCAAACTAGACTCAATTTCTCTTCTCCTTAATGGTTGTGAAAAACTCTGTTCACACTCCAGAACTTCATTTCCTATAAATCTGCTTCTTTCCTTTAAGCAGTTAAACTCTTTTGCCCTCTGGACATTTCTCTTGGTCTGAAGGAAACAATTTTATTAATGCTACACCAAGTTCTACCGGCATCTTCATCCATTCTGGAATTAGAGCTTCATGTACAGCCAGGCAAGATCCATGCAACAGTCCAGACGTTGTCTTGGCAGGCCCTGAAGTCAAACCCTTGGGGTTGGGGACAGAGCTTACTGCTTACAGACTGTGTGACATTAGTAAAGTGACTTAACCTCCCTTTACCTCAGTTTCTATACCTGCGTTGCTGTGACAATAGTAGGTTCTACCTCACAGGTCTGTTTACTATTTAAACAATGTAAAACATTTAGAATATTATCCAACAGATAATATATGCTGCTATTAATTTCAGTATACTTATTGCTATAATACTTAGCACTGTAATAGTCATCATTATCATAACTGGCCTAACTTAGCAGAAACTTATTGGAAATAGTGTTAAATCCAAGTTCATTACATCCCCAGATTTTTCCACTATCCAATTGACAACACTTTAAATCCCAAGGATTCTGTCTTGATCTATGCTAAATTGCTCAGATCTTCAATCACGCCCATGCCTATCTGTCCAATCCATTTCTTCTCACCATCCATTATCACAACCTATTATCCTATGATATGTTCAATTGTCATAAGGCTGTCCTGCTTTCTTGTGTAAGTCTTATTCTATCTTTTAAATCTTTTCTCTATTTCTCTAATACTTGTGCCATAACTCACAACCTAATCTTAGTTTCTTTGACATGCTTCTATGATAATGATGTAGATTATTTGATGTTGTTTATGTTTTACTTGCTGGATTCCTATGGAAACAAATTCCTTTTAGCTCAGGCCCTTCTAAAACCTCAGAGATAGAAGGTGAAAAAAAGCTAAGTGAACATGTATGAAGAAGAGTGATTTGGGAAACTGAAATGTCACTTCACCTTTTTCTAAAGTCATCTATTTTCTCTAGCAAGAGTTTTCAAGTTGTATTTGATTTTTTGTTTTTTAGATAAGCCATGTGTGACTTTGTCCAACACTTTTCATCTAAAGCCTTTTTTTCTCCAAAAGCCCATGTCAGATTAACTATATCCAGTAAAGTCTGGTAGGCCTTTCTCTGATGTTCTCCCTGTATATACCCAAAAGTCCACACATGAGACTCCACCAGATTTAACAGCCTTGGCCTGGCAGAACCAGCAGGACAATGGAGGGGATCCAAGTGCCCCCCTGAGTAACCAGACGTGACAGCAGATAAAGCTGAGTGAAAGCACATCCTAATCCTTCCTGCCTTCCCTACATTTTTTGGTCAATTGAACCTATTCAGTATAACAACTTTATATTTAAGACTGGTTCATGCCAAACCAAAACTAACACCTTTTCTGGATTTTATTTTGATTAAATAGTTCCTGGTGTACATGTACCTGGGTTAGTTTAGGTGTATAAAGACTGTTTCTCTTTCTTTTCCCAGCTTCACACTTCCACTTTTTCTTTGCACCTGTCTCTCTCCAGGAAAGGGGGTGGAATGACCCCTTTTTATACCACTGTTGCAGAGAGTAGCCAGGTAAAAATGTTGACATTCTCAGCTTTCAGCTACTAAATAGATGTTGTTAAATCTACTTAAAAACAAAAGTCCTGTGTGAAATGTCTGATCAGTCAGACACAGCAAGATGAAGTAAAAGGAGAGATTTCTGAATTCTCAATCTGAGTTTTAAAAATGAAGAAACAAGTCTGGAAGCATTTAGAAAGTATACATTTGTATGCCATATTCAATAGAATTTTGAAAAATATAAGATAATATAAGGCAACTTTTTGCCTAATAGAAATGAGAATAGTAGGATTTGGGGCAGCAGCAGTGAAAGCAAGCAGTGAAAGCAGATGTCAGCTTTTGGTGCAAACCAAGCTCTGTTGCTCATGTTTGTTGGGGTTCCTATGACAGTGGGGTTTGGGTTTAGCTACAAACCCAGATAGAAACTAATAAGTATCTCTTAGAAAGAATCAAGTGTTGAATAGACTCCTGCCTGAACTTCAAGGCTATGCCCTGATGTCGCTGCAAGCTCATGGGGTAACTTGTGCATCACACAGGGCTTTAGGACTTTAGTGACTCAAGGGTTAGGGAAATTACTGTGAAATCATGTCACACCTTCCTAGTCAACCCAGAAGGACACAGATGAGTTTCCAAATGTTGATTTTCCCATATCATATATCTGGGGATGATATGAGAAAAAATGATGATTTGGGAGGCACCAGAATTTCATATCCAGACAAACAAACCTTCATAAGTGAAGAAGAAATAAAATTCTTTACAGACAAGCAAATGCTGAGCTATTTTGTTACCACCAGGCCTGCCTTACAAGAGCTCCTGATGGAAGTGCTAAATATGGAAAGGAAAAACCGGTACCAGCCACTGCAAAAGCATACCAAAAAGACCAATGACACTATGAAAAAACTGTATCAACTAATGTGCAAAATAATCAACTACCATCATGATGACAGGATCAAATCCACACATAACAATATTAACCATAAATGTAAATGGGCTAAGTGCCCCAATTAAAAGACACAGACTGGCAAACTGGATAAAGAGTCAAGACCTATTGGTGTGCTATATTCAGGAGACCCATCTCACATGCAAAGACATACATAGGCTCAAAATAAAGGGATGGAGGAATACTTACCAAGGAGACTGAAAGAAAAAAAAGCAAGGGTTGCAACCCTAGTCTCTGATAAAACAGACTTTAAACCAACAAAAATAAAAAAACAAAGAAGAATTTTACTTAATGGTAAAGGTATCAATGCAGCAAGAAGAACTAACTATCCCAAATATATATGCCCCCAACACAGGGGCACCCAGATTCAAAAAGCAAGTTCTTAGAGATGTACAAAGAGACTTAGACCTCCACACAATAATAGTGGAAGACTTTAACACCCCACTGTCAAAATTAGACAGATCAATGAGACAGAAAATTAACAATGATATTCAGGACTTGAACTCAGCTCTGGACTAAGTGGACCTAATACATATACACAGAACTCTTCACCCTAAATCAACAGAATATACATTCTTCTCAGCACCACATAGCCCTTATTCTAAAATTGACCACATAATTGGAAGTAAAACACTCCTCAGTAAATGCAAAAAAATAACAATCATAACAGTCTCTCAGACCACAGTGCAATCAAATCAGAACTCAGGATTAAGAAACTCACTCAAAACCGCACCACTACATGGAAACTGAACAACCCTCTCCTGAATGACTACTTGATAAATAATGAAATTAAGGCAGAAATAAATAAGTTCTTTGAAACCAATGAGAACAAAGACATAATGTATCAGAATCTCTGGGACACAGCTAAAGCAGTGTTAAGAGAGAAATTTATAGCACTAAATGCCCACATCAGAAAGTGGGAAAGTGATCAGTGATAGACTGGATAAAGAAAATGTGGCACATATATACCATGGAATACTATGCAGCCATAGAAAAGAATGAGTTCATGTTCTTTTCAGGGACATGGATGAAGCTGGAAACCATCATTCTCAGCAAACTAACACAGGAACAGAAAACCAAACACTGCATGTTCTCACTCATAAATGGGAGTTGAACAATGAGAATACATGGACACAGGGAGGGGAACATCACACACCGGGGCCTGTCAGGAGGAGGGAGGCAAAGAAAGGGAGAGTATTAGGACAAATACCTAATGCATGTGGGGCTTAAAACCTAGATGACAGGTTGATGGGTGCAGCAAGCCACCATAGCCCACGTATACCTATGTAACAAACCTGCATCTTCTGCACATGTACCCTAGAACTTAAAGTATAATAATAATAAATAAAAAAAGGAATGCCAACTTTGTGATATAAGAAAAATGCATATCAAGAACATAACAATGTGTATCAAATGAATATGAATAAATGCACAAGACATGATCACACCTATGTGGAAAGTGAAGGGTAAAAACTGAACAAATGATAGTCAGAGCTTGCAATGCTTGATACTAACTGATTTTTATATTCCAGTAATAAATATATAGAACCATATGCTTTATATATGCCACATTTAAAGGAATGCTCTAATAATATTTGGATCCAAGACAGAATCAAGTTTGATGTTATATAATGATAGAAATAATTAAAGTTTTATTTAACAAACAAAACAATTCCATATTATATTTATATTTGGAGACTCATAACAATTGCCCTCATTCTGCAAACGTTTCTAGAGGTGGCAGGCCAGTGGTGCTCACAGCAGTGTCTAGCATGCAGTATCTGTTCTATTGTTCATGAAAATATTCTCACATAGTCTAGCAGTGGGCGGCAGCAATTGGGTATTGACATTATTTCCCTGAGTCTTATTTAGCAGACTCCTTAATAATTCATTTTTCCACTATTAAATATAAATTTCGAGGATATTTAGAGATAATTGGCTTATGATCATTACAATTAAGTAACCTTGAAGACATGTTAGAAATCACAAAAATTAGGATATTTTGCAAATGTTATACTTCACCAACAGGAGCTGGGTTATCCTAAAACATCTCTTATAAAGTATGCCTCCCCAGATGTTCCCAGGGGTGACAGGACTAGTCACTGCCAGTAGATGCAGGATAGATTTCACACTCAGTACAAGTACCTGATATTTGACTAAACTAAAGATGCCAGAACACCCTAGCAGAACCCTCTCCCCAGTGAGTCACAGAACTGTATAATCTACCTCCACAGAGAACAGGCAGAACCTAGACTTGCTTCTAACCCATACGGTATGGCAGAGGTTGTGAGATGTCTTTCCAATCATTGTATTGTATTCTATAAGCCTCTGTCATAGCAGACTGGAAAGAGACACTCTCTGAAACCTTCTGCTGGCCTTGAACAAGCAAACAGCCATGTGGGCATTGCCTGTGTAAGCATCACATGGCAGGGAATTGTCCACAGCCTCTAGGACCTGAGAGCAGCCTTGAACCAAGAGCCAGTTAGAAATTGAAGCCTTAAGAAATAGAGGTGTTAAGGAATGAGCTCTGCAACTACCTGAAAGAGCTCTAAAGTATCTGTGTTCTCAGGGGAGTCTCAGGTGAGAATGAAGCCCAGTCTACACTGTGGCACAGTCTTGTGAAATCCAGTGGGCAGGACCCAACAAAGCCATGTGCCGACTGCTGACTCAGAAATTAAGAGATGATAAATGGGTGTGGTCTTAAGCTGATAAATTTGTGGTAATTTGTTACCTGGCCACAACAAACTTAACACACATTTTAAGAAAAAATAGTAGACCTAAGAGCAGCCATGTCACTGACATTGACTGCAGATGGGCACAGGCTTATTCTCATTGTGACCTTAGGGTTTCCAGGCACTGCGAGAGAGAGGAAAGTTTCGATGTGCAAGCCCTTTCCAAGACTCCACTTGTGTCAAATCTGCTATTATCCTATTAGCTAGAGCAAGACACATGGGCAACACCAGAGTCCATTTAGAATGATGCCAACCAAAGGATGAGTACAGGGAAGGGATTTATTGCAGCCAATTGTTCAAGTAGTTTATCCACAAATTTTTTGTGATTATTTGCTGAGAAACACCCTGAAAAAAGGGAAACCTCTTTAAAAGGTTTAAAATTTTTAGGTTGTAGCTTCATTCATTGTAGCGTTCTGCTGAACATCCAAGTATAAATAACTGAGAACTCCTTCAAACTATTATTTCTGTGATGGTTTATCTTCCCCATACCTTTATCGGTAGTTTTGGTCCTGCAATGTGCTGGCCAAGTTTACTCTGCAGAGCTGACCATTTACAAAATGTGGCTGACACATCATCGCACCTTGAATGTGGACCTTAACTAGTGGTGATCTATGAGAATCTGTTTCTGCAAAAGAATTTACTTGTCACCCCTTTGAGCTTTATCCTGTCTGAATCCACACACTTCTGTATTGTTCCATGGCTAATCCGTATCTTGTCTCTATTAACTCACTCTTGCCATAAGTGACTAAGATCACCTAACACAGAAATAATAAATATATCCAGTTCTGAACATTCAAATTATTTAAAAAAACATGGGGACATTATAGAAAGAAATTGTATAACTATTTTAAGTATAAAGAAAATGAAGTTTTTGTATTTTGGAACGAAACTGTGTGAAAGCTGTGTATGCAGGTTTCAGCACGAGGGTGGGCCCCTGCCTTTCCTGTGACTGAGCATATTGCCTTTCTCACACCTGCAGGCATCCAGGGAAGTGACTGGATGGGCTGAGCTGAGATGCACTGTTCAGCCACCCTGGGGAGACCTTGATTATATAAGATGCATTTCAGAGGATAACAATAACTGCTGACAGCAATAAATGACAGCAGTTCAGCTTAGTCATTACCAACGGTCTGTGTGGAATTTCTCCCAAACAACCCACAATGAATAGACTTGAACCCCCGAGTTGATCTGGGAACAAACCTAATAGAGGTTGGAGAACAGGACCCATCTCCCTGACCCATGTAAACTGATACCAAGTGTTGTCCAACCTGTACATCGAACCAGCTTCTAGATAAGTTAAAGAAGTCACATCAGACCCTCCAGTCACAACTGAACCAGAGGCTACAGCCAGCCCAATATGGAAGAACCGCAGAGCTGACCCTCAGAATTATAAGGAGCAATACAGTCAGCCCTCTGTCCATGGGATCTGCATCTATGGATTCAACTAAACCTGGATCAAAAATATTTAGAAAAAACATCCACAAAATTCCAAAAAGCAAAACTTGACTTTGCCATGTGCTGAGTACCACTTGAATGAATCCACACAAGTTAAGTCATGTATTAGTATTATAAGTAGGCTAGAGGTGGTGTGAAGTGTACAGGAGGATATGTGTATGTTATATACAAATATTGCTTATTTTACATAAAGGTTTTGAGTCTCCAAAAATTGGAATGTCTGCAGGGTGTCCTGGAACCTATTTCCCATGCATACTGAGGGAAGACTGTACATGCTCATTTTATGGCATTGTGTTTGGAGCTGGTTTGTTTTGCAAGAAGAGCTAACTAATACAATCTGTTTTTGTGAACAGGAGGCAATAGAGTTAAGTGATAGGGTAGTCACATTTATTGCATTTTTTTTGTGATTGCAAAGCCTATTTGCTTGTTTTTTAAGGCAGATAAGAATCCTCATACCTGATTATCATGGACTTTGGATGTCTTTCTTAACTCTCTGGCAAATGCAAAATGCAGCTGAGAAAACAATTCCTTTCTTCAATTTCCTCTCATTCTTTCTGACTATGAAGAGCAGCACACTGCTATTCATACTTCTCATTACTCAGAATAATCCATGTTGTACATTCAGTGGGTTGTTTTCAATGTGTATAGGTTATGAGTGTTGATTATGTCTTTGAGAGTTTCTTACTCATTAAATTTTCATTCATTCATTCATTCAGTAAAGTATAAATTGAGCAATTATGCTGGACCAGGAATGTGTGTAGGCTGCATCCCTGAGAAAGTCAGTGTCTGACTCTCATTTACCTATATCTTTTCTGGTGAAAAAAAAAAGGCCATGTTTAATTAAACATAAATCAACAGGAAGATTCTAGAAAAGGATAAGGATCATAAAGGAAAAAAAAATGGCAAGGGAAGAGGAAGTGGTTAATAAGGAAATGGAGTCAGTTAGTTGGGGAGGCAGAGGCTGCTTCCTCTGAGGAGGTGACTGGCCTGGATGAGGAGAAGAACTGACCTGAAGAGAAGTTTCTGAAGGGCATCGAGGTTCATGACAATCAAGGCTCTTAGGAGGAACACAGTATGAACACGGGAAGGACATAGAAAGTCACTATGAGGAGAGTGACTTAACCAAGTGAAAAAAGAGAAAGTCTGAGAGGGGGCAGGTCAGAGCTGTTTTCTCCCAGTATCTTAAAGATCACCACATATGACGGATGTGAAATGAAGGACGCCTTCATTTTCTGTTTGAGGAGCAAATGCTTTCTAAGTACAGCAGGACATTCTGTGAATTTTTTAAAGCAAAGTACTCCCATGGTCATATTTATTTTTTAGCAGAGTAATGACTCCAGTTGGGCTGTGAGAAGGAGAAGAGATACTCATCTGGGCAAAGTGAACCCTGGCATAAACTAGTCTGGGGGCAGTGAAGATTATTGGAGACATAAGCAGATGATATCATATTTTTAAATTAATGTCATTTATACTCCTTTATGTGAGAAGAGTCAGATTAGGAGTGGCCTGGCAGCTTTGGACTTAATCTATTAGATAGATTCTGATTTACTGATGTTAAATGTATTAGCAGCCAAGAAAATCAGGATAAAATAAAAGGAGTTTGTTATTTTTGTTCAATTCTAGATTGAGATGCTAATAAACATGCAGATTAAGTGGCCAGGTTTGCAAGTGAGTGGAGTTTGAGCTCAGAGGAAAGAAAATACACATAGGTATTCAGCAGCGCTTACAGGGTAATTTATGTATTAAAGCCACATGTATGCATATGCACCTGCACATATTTATGCGTGTGTATGCACATATATTAACATATGCATAGAAGTGTTTTTCAAAAAATAAAAGGCATAAAATCAATAATCACAGCTCCCACCTTATGAAACTACATAAAGAGGAGCAATTTAAATCTGAAGTAGAACGTGAGCAAAATATATAATAAATATTAGGGCAGAAACCAATAAAACTGCAAACAGAAAAAGCAACACTAAACACCAAGCAAATCAAAGGCTGATTCTTTGGAAAGAACAGTGTTGTATAAGTTCCATATATTTGAAGAATTCGGGGTTATACTTTCAATATTGATTTCTAGTTTGATCCTTCCGTGGTCAGAGAACACACTTACTGTGATTTTAATTATTGCAATTGTGTTGAAACGTTATGTGGGCAGAATATGTCCTATCTTGGTATATGTTCTGTGGGCACTTGGAAGAAAGAAATGTGAACTTCTATTGTTATGGGTTGGAGTGTTCTATAAATGCCAGTTAGATCCCATGGGTTGATGATATTGTTGAGTTCTTCTCTATCCTGGCCGATTTTCTGTCGAGTTGTCCTATCAAAGATTAAGAAGGGGTTTTGAAATCTCCAAGTGTAATTGTTCTGTTAGTTTCTGCCACATGCACTGTATTGCTCTGTTGCTTGGTGTCTACGCACTTAGAACTGCTCTGTCTTCTTTCCAAAATGACTTTCTTCATTATGTAATGTAACTTTCTATCCCTGGTAAAATTCTTTGGCTCTATAGTCTACTTTGTCTGTTAATAGTATTTGCTAATGATTCTTTCTTTTGATTAATGTTTGCATAGTATACCATTTTCCTTCCTATATATTCAATCTACTTATACTGCTGTATTTGATGTGAGTGTCTTATAGACAATATACAGTTGGAACATTTCTTTTTGATTCACCAACTGTTGTCTTTTTAAAAATTTCATAATTTACGTATTTAATATATCAGTAATTATTGATATATTAAGATTTAAGTCTGCACTCTACTTTTTTGCTGTATCTTTTTTTGCTTCTCTGTTTTCTTTTTGCTGCCTTCCTTTGGGTTACTTGAACATTTTTACAATTTCATTTTAATTTTACCTAATTTTGGGGTATCTCTTTTTATAGTGATTTTTAAATTGGTTGTCATGGTATATTGCCTTTATATGCACAGCTTCTCATAGTACATTGGTGTCAATATATTACCATTTAAAATAAATATAGACTTTTACCTTCTTTTATATCATTTTTCCTCCCCCATTGTAAATAGGTGGTTTTTTAAAAGTAATTTCTCTGCAAATATTGGGAACAAAACTGTGTTACAACTTTGATACAAATATCACATATGATTTAGAAATGCATTATATTCATCTCTCTTCTCATTTTCATAGCCTTTTGTCCCTAAATTATTTAATATCCCCTCTTGATCTTTAGTTTTACCTTCCTAGGAATCATTTTGGCTATGCTTAAAGTGGATCTGCTAGCAGCCAATACTCTTAGTTTTTCTACAGCTGAGGACTTCTCAATTTGACCTTCATTTCTAAATAATACTTTTACTGGAAATAGAATTTTAGGGTAGCAGATCTTTAAATACTAGAAGATGTGTCATAATTGACACCAGAAGACAAGGTAAAAATATTTCCAAGAACAGAGGACAAGCATGCACTTGGTGAGGTGAAAGACATCTCTTCCTCATGCATTAGTTTCCAACGCTGCTGTTTAAATCGCCACGGTCTTATTGGCTTCACACAACATAAGTGTATTACCCTGTAGTTCTGGGGGTCAGAAGTCTCACTGAGCTAATGTTAAGGTGTCAGTAGGGCTGTAATTCTTCTAGAGGCTCCAGAGGAGAGAACTGGATCCTCTGCTTCTTATCTTCCAGGTGCTCCCACATTTCTGGTTCCATGGCCCCTTCCTTCTTCAAACCACATCCTTCCCCATTGTCCCAGCTCCTCTCTGACTGCAAGCCTCCTCCTCTATTTTAAGGACCTTGGGGGTTTTATTTATTTAATCTGGATAACCAGGTTGCTTATTCTCAAAGTCCTTAACTTCCATCTGTCAAGTTCTTTTTTCACTATGTAAGGAAGAATCCTTATGATAAGGCTCCGATGACTGGAGGAACACCAGGGTTCTTGGTCTCACGCCAGTTTGGATAAAATGACACAAACATGAGTGGAGTGGTTTTAAGGAGAGAAAAGTTTAATACACAAGTACGAAGGAAGATGAAAATAGCTTCCCCATACAGAGACAGAGGGACAGGGGATTCGAACAAAGGGAAAACCCCATGTGCTGCGGAAAAGTGGCTCCTTATATAAGGAGGCTGGAGAAGGTGGTGTCTGATTTGCATAGGGCTCAGGGGATTGGTATGACCAGGCATGTCATTCAGGTAGCCTGCAGAAAAAACTGGCCCTCCCACCCTAGCCTTTTAATATGCAATTGCAGGGCACCATAATGTTCTACACACATGGGGATATATAGGGACAGCCATGTTGCCAGGCCTATGTGGGGACAAGGAAGAAGATGGTGGGAATCACCATGTTTGGGTGAACCCAGTTTCTAATGGCGGGCATTTACATATGAAAGCTTGCCAGCCTGGATCTAAGAGCCAGTGTTTTCCTGCTAGACAAGAAATCTTTCTAGAGCTGCTTTAAACATAACAAAACCTTCACAAGCACCCCTTTTCCTCTCTATCTGCCTACAATAATTTCTTAATAACTCCTATAACACTTGGGTTCCAGAGATGAGGACATGGACATCTCTTGGGGTGGGGACATTATTCATCCCACCAACAATAAACATATTCCCCAAAATTGTCCTTCTCTAAAGTAAAATTTAAAAAATCACAAAGTATTTTTATGAATCAAGAGAGGTGGACAAAATCTTAGACTCAGGTTCCTGTAACTTGTGAGTTTTATCTGTTGGAGTGTGCTCACTCCACTGTTGCTAATGTAGATTTATTGATGTGTAGATAATTTTAGAGGATTTTTAAATTTTGTGACCCAGTGTAAACAAAACAGTATCTGAGAAAGGTCTCAATCAAGTTATAGATTTATTTTGCCAAAGATAAGGCTTATGGCCTGTGACACAACATTAGGAGGCTCCGCAAACACGTGCCCAAGGTGGTTGGATTACACATTGGTTTTATACGCCTTAGGGAGACACAGAAATTCAGGCAAAGACATAAATCAATACATATCAGATATACATAAGTTTGTCTTGGAAAGGTGGGATATCTTGAAGCAGGGGCTTCCAGGTCATAGGTGGATTCAAAGCTTTCCTGATGGGCCACTAGTTGAAAGAGTTAAAGTCTGCCTAAGGAGTTGAATTCATCATAAAGAAATGCTTGAGTTTAGATAATGGGGTGTGGAAGCCAAGATTCTTGTCACATAGATGAATCCTGTGGGTAGCAGATAAAGTAGATGGTGAATGTTGCTTATCAGACCTTTAAAAAAAGTCAGACTCTTTGGAAAAGACATAGTAATGGGAGGAGTTTCTCTGCAGAATGCAAATTTCCCCCCACAACAGGCAGCTTTGCAGGGCCACTGCAGAATATGTCAAAGAAATAATTTTAGGATAAAATATTTAGATTTTCTTTAGGGGCTATTATCTGTCATGTTGGAGTATGGTATCTTATTGCTATAAAGCATCTGTTTTGTCAGTCCAAAGATCTCTGTAGTAGTGATAATGCTGGTCAGTTGTGTCTGAACTCCAAAGGGAGAAGAGCATAATGAGGCACATCTAAACCTACCTGCCAGTCATGGCCTAACCTAGTTTTTCAGATTTCTTTGAAGTTCTCTCTGCCAAAAGAGGAGTCCATTCACCTGGTTGGTGGCCTACAACTTAATTTTTGGTTTTAACACACAGAAAAAAAAAATCATGGCATAAATCCAATCTAAAATAAATTGGTAAAGAAAAATTAAGTGCTTCCTGAATATTCCAAATGTCAAAGAAAATGAAATGATAAGAATTCAGATGAGAAATACCCCTCATACAAAAGAATAATGATTTTTTTTTTTAAACTGTCTTAGTTTGGGTCCACCAGCAATGAGGATTCCTGTTTAGGCAGCAAATTTACACTGGGAGGAAAGGAGGAAAGTGAGGGAGGGAACAGAAGATGAATGGTAAAAGACACATCAACAACCCACCTGACTCAGGATAACTGAAGGTCAACCACATGTGAAAACATAGATTAAATTCCTCTGGGCTATTCCACCTGAGAGATGAGGAAGCTGGGGTATGTATACACCTCATCGTGTCCTCACTGATTGTGAGCTGTCTCTCTTGTTCTCTTTCAAGCTGCTATAACAGATTCCTTGTCACTGTGTAATTCATAAATAACAGAAATGTATTTCCTCACACTTCTGGAGAATAGGAAATTTAAGATCAAGGCATAGGCAGGATAAGGTCTGCTTTCTCTGCTTTCAAGATGATGCCTGGAGGGTTGAGTCCTTCAAAGCCAGGAAGGCCATCTCTTATCATGACAGACAAGCAGAAGAGAGAGAGAGAGAGATCCCAGTCCCATAATCCCTGTTTATATTGGCATTAATGTATTCCACTAGAGGGCACCACACCCATGACCTAAACACACCCCAATAGGCCCCACCTGGCAATACCGTTACACTGAGAATTAACTTCACAACAGATTGATTCTAGAGGACACAGTCAAACCATAACAGTTTCATAAGAGATACACATTCCAGGCCATTTGGCCAGCAATGCATGAAGGCAGAGCTCTTTGCCCAAGACTGTAAAGGACATAAGACATATATATGGTCATTGGAAGTGAGCAGAGGTACAGCAAAGGGGAAAGCCCTACACTACAGATGGGGACTGCTACATTCATCATGGTACAGTTAACCCTTGAATAAATTAGGTTTGAAATTTGCAGACCCACCTATATTTTCTTCTATGTGTGTCACCTGTGAGCAAGCTCTTAGTAAGTTGTAAACATATTTTCTAATTTTTATGGTTTTCTCAATAACATTTTTTCTTTAGCATACTTTATTGGAAGAATAGAGTATATAATATAAATAACTTTTAAAAACTGTTAATCAACTGTTTATTTTATCACTGGGTCTTCCAGTCAAAAGTAAGCTATTAGTTCTTAGTTAGGAAAGCAAAAGTTCTACACAGGTTTTCAACTGCACCAGTGGTCAGTGCCCCAACCTCCACGTTGTTCAGGGGTCAACTGCTCTTTCAATCTGTAGCTGCATCTCTCTGGAACAGGATTTTGGCATGTGGGTTGCAAGTAAAAGAATCCAGAAAATAATATCCCAAAGTATGCTGCATTGGTATGATGATTATATAAAACCAAAGGCATTGAGAAAGCAGCAAATGCACAAAAAGGCTTCTCCTAAATATCCCTTATCTGACTAAAAGCAGATTCACCAGAAGGAAACCAATTGTCAAGAAGATTCTTCCTGAGAATTTGTATATCAAGGAAGATTAACACAAAACAGGAATTAAAAATAGAAGAGACTGGAAGTTGATACTTTATCCAGGCAGGCTGTTACCTGTTCTTTTGAGGATGCACTTCTATTCTCATCTATTTTCTCTAGGTTGCCTACACTTCCCAATTCTATAGAAAGGAAATATAAACACCTGAATCTCATTGAGTTATCTGGGTAATCACCCTGCTGTGATATTCCACTGCACTTTAAGTGAATTTTGTTTGCCTTTTCTCTTATTAATCTTTCTTTTGTCAGTTTATTTTCAGCAAACATTTAGAGGATAAATGGAACTTTCTTCCTTTCTCCCAATATAAGCAAGTTCCCTTAAAATTCAGATCGCTTGCAAAGCAGCAGGAAGGTTTGTGCATGGGCTACAGCACTGTGATTTTGCTCCCCTAGTCAGGCATCAGTAAAATTTTGTGGAGCCCTAGACTGTAGCCCACTGATGCTGATGTAGTTGGATCCAATTCCCCTGCTACTGAGCCAGGCTGGGACATTTTTGGCACATTAGAGATGTGAGATATAACGAGTGAAAATCGTGTCCAGTTTCATCTGGATCCAACTGATTTCTCCATGTACATGGGAAATTGCTTGATAAGAGATTGACTGTCTCTTTCCTAAAAATGGTAACAAGCAGGCTGGTGTCTGGGTCATGATGATGTCCCCAGTCACTGATAAAATGTAAAAGAGGAAAGTGTCATTGATGGTGCATGGCAGGGACATGCTCTGTGCAGTGGCCGACCTCACTAAGAGAGATAAACTTTAGGAAAAGATACTCAATGACAGAAAAGAAGGTAGACTATGAAGGTGCCCAAAACAAGAATACGGTGCAGCGCATTTAGTCTCTGGTATTAAAAAGACCTGTAGCTCTTGATAATGGTGGATGTGTGAGTGCTGCATGCATTGAGGAAACACGGTATCATCTCTGTGTATCTGTAGTAAATTGCTTGATCTTATAGTGGTAAGAACAATGGCATAATACCATTACCTAATACTTACAAATATATATAGCATCATGTCAATAAATTTTATTTTTAATTTTTTTTTAGAAAGAAACAATGTTAAACTCACAGTAATGTTGCAAATGTAGCACAAAGTACCCCCTTGCCTAACCGGAATCATGTGAGAGTCCTTTGAAGACCTGAGAATAGTACCGTTTAACATTTTACTATGTATTTCCTACAAACAAGAATATTCTCCTAAATAATCCCCATACACCAATGAAACACATTACTCCTTCGACTCCTGAGGAATATTTCAAATTGTCAAAAAATACCTAAAAAATACTTCTCATAACAAAATAGTCCAAAGTAGAACACATCACTGCAGACAAATTTGTGCTACCCTGGTCTTTTCTGGGACACCTGGGGACACTGAGCTGGTGCTGAGTTACTGAGATGAACCAGCCCTGCAGCTGTGCCCAGCCTGCCTTGCCCCCTGCTAATTTGCATGTTCCCAGAGCACATCCTCCTACCCTGAAGACTTATTAATGCGCTGGTCACACTTCATGCAGGAGTCAGACCCAGTCAGGACACAGCATGGACATGAGGGTGCCCGCTCAGCGCCTGGGGCTCCTGCTGCTCTGGTTCCCAGGTAAGGAAGGAGAACCCTAGCAGTTTACTCAGCCCAGTGTGTTCCGTACAGCCTGGCTCTTGAGGGAAGTTCTCTTACAACATGATTAATTGTATGGACATTTGTGTTTATATTTCCAATCTCAGGTGCCAGATGTGCCATCCGGATGACCCAGTCTCCATTCTCCCTGTCTGCATCTGTAGGAGACAGAGTCACCATCACTTGCTGGGCCAGTCAGGGCATTAGCAGTTATTTAGCCTGGTATCAGCAAAAACCAGCAAAAGCCCCTAAGCTCTTCATCTATTATGCATCCAGTTTGCAAAGTGGGGTCCCATCAAGGTTCAGCGGCAGTGGATCTGGGACGGATTACACTCTCACCATCAGCAGCCTGCAGCCTGAAGATTTTGCAACTTATTACTGTCAACAGTATTATAGTACCCCTCCCACAGTGTTACACACCCAAACAAAAACCCCCAGGGAAAGAGATGTGTGAGGCTGGGCTGCCCCAGCTGCTCCTCCTGATGTCTCCATCGGCTAAGAGTGTTCCTCAGATGCAGCCACACTCTGATGGTGTTGGTAGAGGGGGATGTGAAGTCACCTCTGCATCCCAATTTCTTTTTCTTTCTTAGCACCAGGTGCACAGACATAACAGTTCCTCTCCTGATTTAAAAAAGGCAGGGATCATGACACCTGAGGAGTCTAGTTTATGGCTTCACTTGGAATTCAAGTAACAGAGAAGAAGCCACTATAGATATTCTAAGCAGGAATTGTCTTGATACAGAGAAATAGAGTATAAACCATGGAAGTCTAAATAAAAATATAGAGATGAATCTCAAATTTCATGTTTTATTTGCTAAGAAATATTTGCTAAATGGGGCATACAGAAAAACTCAATGGTCTTCAATATGTTGAAAGAACAAAGAGAAGCTTAGAGTTTCATGAAAAAAGGAAAATGTTACCTATTGCTCTTTGAGAAAGTTTATTGGCTCCAGAAAGTTTTGGGAGCTGGCAAGCTCAGAATGGTAAGCACTGATGGACAAACTGAATCCTAGAATTATGTTAAATTATTCAGAAGTTGGAGGTGAATTTGATTTCAGGTTACAAGAGGCCAAAGCAGTGAAGCTTGCAGAGAATCTTGTTACTGAAGTGCGAGGGATTTGGTGTAGATCCTGCTGCTCACCACATATAAAACCAATCAGTAAGACAACAAGTATTGCCAAGAAACAGGCTTTAATCAGGTGCTGCAGCTGAGGAAATGGGACCCCATTCTCAAATGTATCTCCCTGACAAACTAAAATTAGGGGGTTATATAGCAGGGAAGAAATGTGGGCAAACAGGAATTAGAGAGGGGTAATGAAGTTAATTTTGTCAACAGGGAGCAGAAGGTCAGTGAGGCAATCACAGTGTGTGAAGGGTCTGACGTCTCACTGTCCTGATTCAGTGATATGTAAGTTTCAGCTCTCTGATAGTATCTGGAGGCCTCTTGGTGGCTTTCCTGAAAAAAGAACTCAGATAAGACAAATGTAACTATCTTGAGTTTTAAGACTGGGGAAGTCAATTTCTATGTTTATTCAAAAAACCATAAACATTACTTCCATGGGATAATAGGGCCTATTTCAATTGCATTCTTCAGACAATATTTTACACCCTGAGTGTCTTTCCCCACTGGTTTCTTGGCTCTGTTGGGTATGTCAAGAATGACCCAATTCCTACAATTAACGTTCACACTGCAACCTTTCAAAGCCAAGGATATAGTAGTCACGAAAGCTGATAATAGAAGCAGGATTCTCTGGTGCTTCCTCAGAAAACAGAATCCATCTGCCCCTAAAGTATGGGCTATCTAACCATGTGGCCCTCAGTCCTGTCTGGAAGCTTAGGGGCGGGGGTGCTGATGCTCTCAGCTTCCTACAGCATCTTTCCAGGTGTTTCTCCAGTCCTCATCCCTGTCCCTGTGTCTAGACGTCTTAGGTACCAATGGAGAATATTGAGTCATCCTTTTCTGACTTCCAAATCTCATGGAAGGACCTCTTATTGGGCAACTCTATGGGACAAAAGAGAGGCAAAAAGGGATATTTATGTAAGTTAAAATGAATTTTCTCCCATGAGGCCATTTAAGTATATTATATTTAAAGCCACGTGTTGAAAACACATCCAGCTTCAGTTTCTTATTAATGCAAATTTACATTTGCAAATATTTTCAATACTGTAAGTTGGAATCATAGTTATTTGTCCATGGATGATCAAACACCTCTATAATTAAGTGGAGTGAACATTTTCTTAAAAATTTGTACTCACTGAAATAAAGGAATATATTTAAAATGTGTGAAGCTATGTTAGAAATTATTGGACTTAAACTCAACTGTGCAGTTTGGTTTGGGATGTTGTTCACTCTTGTGACCTGCCAGAAGAATCTTGAGTCATGGGTAGTCACTGCCGTTCAGCCTTGTCCTGAGACAATTAATATGTATAGGCTGAAGACCAGCTCAGTGCCATGCAGAGAAACCACTTACCTGAGCCCTTCCTTGATCGGCCAGATGATTGTGAACATGAGCACCCATGAACATGAAAACATGTTTATTGTTTTCTGTCACTGAGTTGTGTATTTAGCCAGTTACCAATCATTAATGCATAAAAGCTTCCTGATACAGTATTTACACCTCTACCTATATATACACACATGTATTTTTTCTTAAATTGGTGGTATAAATGTGAATATTTAGTAATCAAATTATAAAGTTATTAAAAGAAAATTAATGACAAAATTAAAACTAATATTTCAATAAAAAATTAAAATTTACCTTATTTGTGGAAAAATGTGCATAAATGTATGTAAGATATGTACAAGTAAATATATATTTGTTAAAATGGCTACAATATATATAGTATTTATGTTTAATTGTGTTTCTTCTATTATATATGCAATATAAGCCTATTTGTAAAATTATTATCTACATTGAATACATTTAAATAATTTTTGTTACATTCCATAAAAAATTGTATTCTGGACCACAAATAGTTCATACTCTTGCTACAGAAAATTTATTGGTAGCCTTTATTTTTAAAACTCTACCAAATGGTTGTCCTTACACGAAAATATTTTTCCAACCCAGTAGAGCTCCAAGGGTAGGACTAGAAGAAATTTTGACTAACGTTGAATATTAACCATTGCATCCTATGAAAATCTCCATTAAGTTCATGCCCACAATGATGATATGCCAAATAGAGTCCTCACAACAATGGATGCTGGATGGAGTCACATCAGTGCCATTGTCAAGGAAGCCCTGGAAATGTAAAAATCCTAACCGTGGGTAATCTGTAAGGTTACATCTGATGATCCCATTGCAAAGAGAAGAGGATTTTAATAATATTGGCTGTTGGTTTTGACAGATCATCAGGCCTTAAAAGAAACACAACAGGATGATTGCAGACAAAGCCATTCTGGAAGAGCTATGATGAGATGTTTCAAAAATGAGCCACAATCCAAAAAAATGCTTTCCAAGTGAGTATTAATCAAAATGCCATTAATGAGCAGGGGGCTTTTAATAATGAGGATGATTCAACACATGGACTTCAGTCAGTCAGCTTTCCCAGCTTCCCCAGGGAGTATCATGAACCAATGTTATGGAGGTCCCTGTGGGGACTCAATAATATGACTTTCAACTAACTGAGACCTACAGGGCTACCGGCTTTTCTGAACATCTAATTTGTCAAGAAGAACCCCTAACATTGTATGATACATCAGGGCTCAGACTAACAGCTTGTATTAGGTGATACTAGTGGACCTCAGGTAACATAAGGAAAGCACTGGTTATTTTCCTATATATGAATTTGCCATTCTTATCGGTTATGTTTCTGCATAAAATATTATTTGAGGATTTTCCAAGTGCTTTCATCAGAATCAGGAAATTCTTCCATAAAATGGCTTTGGATCAAGCAAGTTATTTACCTCAAAAAAGAAGAGCGAAGTGTAGCTTATGATCTTGTCTTGTGCACAGGTGCAACTTTCCCTATAGACAGGGAAAAACCCATTATTAGTCAAGCAAAGCTGTCACACAAACCCTTGTGCTGTTGAATTACTATACCATCAGAAGTGGTGGAGGCTCTGAAACATTAACTGTGATGGGTGCTTTTACTCCCTTAAACAGAATATATATATCTTGAAAATGAGCTGTAGACTTACCATTGTTAACGCCAACTGAACAGCTTGAAATACTCTATTTCTGTTTTCTCAGGGCTGTGGTTTTCTGGTTGATGGTTCTTTTTTTTTTTTAAGACGGACTCTCACTCTGCTGCCAGGCTGGAGTGCAATGGCGCCATCTCGGCTTCACCGTAACCTCTGCCTCCCAGGTTTAAGCTATTCTCCTGCCTCAGCCTCCCGAGTAGCTGGGACTACAGGGGGTACACCACCTGTAGCCCAGCTAATTTTTGTATTTTTACTACAAACGGGGTTTCAACATGTGGGCCAGGAAGGTCTTGATCTCTTGACCTCGTGATCTGCCTGCCTCTGCCTCCCAAAGTGCTGGGATTACAGGCATGAGCCACCACGCCTGGCCTGGTTGATGATTCTTAATCCAAAGAGTTGACATGACAATTATCCCAAGAAATTGTAAGAAATGATATAAGCATGTGAACATTTAGACTTAATACAATACTGGATAAGTTGTCCACACAGGGTGTTAGTTTGTTTGCTGGGGCCATAGGTCTAGTTCATATAAAGCAAGAGCAAATAGAATTGATTTTACATATCTTAGAGAGGAAGTACAGAAAATATGCACCCTAGGGGACCTTCTGGAATGTTTCTATTTATTGCCATTTCCACTGGTAAAACTCAGAGAAGACGTCAACAGTCATCAGGTAGAAGTTCTAGGGATCACAGTCATGTGAAGCATTACTTGCACTTGGATCGCCAGTGAGGCAAAGGGAAGATGAAACGCATAGTGGGATATGGAGGTGGAAACATTCCTGGTCAGCTTAAACGTGGAAAAGTGTATTTATTTTTTCTCTTTAGATTTATCACTGAATCAGTTGGATCTGAGAAAAGCGATTATGACTGGTTAGGTAGAAAGGTGTTTATTATCATGAATTAAATGGATTGAAAACATTTGGAGAAACCAGTGGCAGCTTAGGGATCTCCAAGTACTCCCTTTGCTATTCCCTCACCCTGCCCACCCCTTGTTTTCCACAGTGAAGGAAGATACTCTCATTTTGATAGAAACATGGCAAGTGAAGATACTGTGCCCACAAGACTGTGCTGCCTGGCTGTGACCCAGACCAGGAAATTGAGTACATTTGAGTGAGATCAGGCACTTCCCCTCCCTCATCTCAATCCAAAAGCACTCTGTAGTAACACATCTGATGGGCATTCTTCACCACCTATGGGACTTAGGAAGCCAAGGACATGAGGAATAGCCTTTCCAGACTCTACCATAGAGAAATTATTGCCAGAAACTAGAGAATAAAATAAATACAGAAGAAGCTGGTGACAATAACGAAATGAGCCATTCATATATGTATGTTAAATAATTTAGTCTTTTCAATACACCCTTTCTTTAAAAAAATCAAAGTGCTATTTTTAGCCACCTTTATAATATAGACCACATATTAAATAATATGTACACAGATTAATGGCTCATGAGAGAAGATCATTTTTTCCTGGACGGTGTTGGGCTGAACAGATTGGAGATTCCCCACATTTTGGGGAGCACAATGCTACGTGGGGAGCATGATGTTCTTTGTAAAGAAAATATTTATTTTAGATTGTAGCCTGTTGTGGTTGATACTAGTAATGCCTGGAAATTCAAGTGTACAAAGATGTGCATTTATGATAGAAAGCCACAGGATGGACTTGGGCAGAAATAAACCCTGTAGCCTTGAAAACAGATGAATCTATGTGAGACTGACATGAAGATGTAATCAGCACAGGCAGGTCTGCAGAGAAAGGGGTCAGTTTTCTAGTAGTCAATAGCAGAGCGGCTGTCCTTCTGGGGGCAGTAGTGAGAAGAGCTGCTCTGTTTTCTGCAGGAGACAGCTTGAATGTGGAGTCTCAGGCAGCAGGAGCTCCTCCCCAGCCTGCACCAGCAGTGCCATTCTTGGAATTGTTCTAGAGGCTTTGCCAGGAGCATGTTCCTTAAGGCTTTTCAGAGGAGGACTTGTCTATGCTGAGCTCTGGAAACAAAACGTCCCTCCATTCAGGGCCCAGACCCACTATCCATTTCCTGGGCATCTGCTGCTCTGTGATTCCGTAGACCCCCCTCAGGTCACTCATGATCCTCAGCAATGGGCAGTTCACTTCTCTCAGCCCAGGGGGAACATGGAAGAGGGTCCTGAGCTTTATGACCCTCAGGCCCTGGAGTGAGGAGGGCCATGAGGTGGTGCACCCAGTGCTCATTTTCAATGTTCATGTTCAATTTATTGAAGTTTAAAACTGTACCATATACTAGCAACCAAAGTTGTATCTCTTTATATATAAACATGCATCACATATTTATTCATAAATACGTAGTATATACAAATATATAAATACAACTTATTTCTTAAATATGTATTCAATATGTAAAGTTCACAATAGAAATTCATATTACAGATACATATAATTTTATGCTTATTTGTGTAGCGTGTGTTTCTTTTCTTACCAAGCAGAATAGAGTCTGGCTGAGTAAAGACTTTAAGGACATTTGCTGACTGTCTGTTTTTGGCTCCAGCAGGGTCCCAGTCATTTAGCACGAGGGAGGGCAGAGCTGACAGCAGCCAGCCCAGGATCCCAGCACCAGCCCTAAGGTCTGGGTCTCTGAGACTTTTACTCTTGCCAGGCTGGGGGATATATGCTTAATGCAGCTCCCCTGAATTTGTGAGCAGTTTCCTTCCCTGAAGCCCCTGCCAGGCAGCCATGTGGCCAGGGCCTGTGGTTCCTCTCAGATTCTCAGCCCTGTGGCTCAGGAGAGCAGCTGCTTCCTCCACAGCCCAGGGCCAGTGCCTGGCAGCTCTCAGGCACTGCCAGCCTGACCTTAGCCCTGGGCTAAGGACCCTATTCCAAATGTCTCCTCATTTATTGCAGTATCTGAAAGTCTGTCTTGTTCTTAAACTCAAAGTCCACATTTCCACAATTGCTAAAGCTAGCATTTGCCATCTGAAAATTTAGAAATGTGAATTCATTGTCACTCTCAGAAACTGCCCTCTTCCAACTCTACCAGACAGAGTTGCCCATATGTTCTCTTCTCTCCACACAACTTTACTTAGAATTATAGTGAAATGTAACATGTGGTAAAGCTCTTACCTCCTGTACAGAAACCATCCTCTTCTCCTTTGGTACCTAGGGCATGAGCTCTAGCCTGCTGGGCATGGTGAGGACAGTGAGCCTCTCCCAGCCCGGGACAGGAGCAGGGATTAAGGCACATGTGATTAGCTCCACAGTGCAATGTCAGGGGAGTAAAGGAGGGACAGGAACTCTGGGTAGAATTTGATCCTTCATAAGAAGATGGAAGGTGAAGAGCTTTGCTTCACCTTCTAAAATCAATGACTTTATTTTAGATTTGGAAGCAGGGACACATGTTTCATTGCTCTGACTCCTTCCACATCTCCTCTTTCTCTTACAATAGCTCTGACTCAGTCTGTCCCTCTCAGATTGTGTCCTGAAAATCTAATTTTCCCTCCTAATATGAAAACAAACTAACAAAACCCTCTTCTTCCTATCATGTGCTGTGAGTTCTGACCCCTAAACTCCGTGATACCCAGATCGTATAAGAGATAATCATGGGATTTTCCCAAGAGAATTTCTAGCTAAAAAGAATTTTTGTACGAGCTCTTCTCTCAGAAAAAAAATTTTCTCTGTCTCTTGTCTGACACCAGATAACAAGGTGGAAATATTTCCAAGAACAGAGGACAGCCATGCACTCAGTGAGCTGAAAGACACCTCTTCCCCTTGCATTAGTTTCCAACGCTGCTGTTTAAATTGCCACAGTCTTATTGGCTTCACACAACATAAATGTATTACCCTGTAGTTCTGCAGGTCAGAAGTCTCACTGAGCTAATGCTAAGGTGTCAGTAGGGCTGTAATCCTTCTGGAGGCTCCAGAGGAGAGAACTGGATTCTCTGCTTCTTATCTTCAATGTGCTCCCATATTTCTGGTTCCATGGCCCCTTCCTTCCTCAAACAACATCCGTCCCCATTGTCCCAGCTCCTCCCTGACTGCAATCTTCCTCCTCTATTTTAAGGACCTTTGTGATTGTATTGATTTCATCTGGATAACCAGGAAGCTTATTCTCAAAGTCCTTAACTTACATCTATCAAGGTCATTTTTTGCTATCTATCATAAGGTAGAATCCTTATGATATGGCTCCAATGACTGGAGGAACAGCAGGGTTCTTTCTGTCTCACACTGCTTTGGATAAAATGCCACAGAAAGATGTGTAGTGGTTTTAAGGAGAGAAAAGTTTAATACGTAAGAAGGAAGGAATAATAAAATGGCTAAACAGCTACCCTGTACAGAGACAGAGGGACAGGGGATTCCAACAAAGAGAAAAGTCCATCTGTGGTGGAAAAGTGGCTGCTTATATGAGGAGAATGAAGGAGGTGGTGTCTGATTTGCAAAGGGCTCAAGGGATTGGTTTGACCAGGCATGTTATTCACATAGCCTGAGCAAAAACTGGCCCTCCCACCCTAGCCTTTCAATATGCACATGTAGGGCATCATAATGTTCTACGCACATGGGGATATGTGGGGGCAGCCATGTTGCCAGGCACATGTAGGGGCAAGGAAGAAGAAGGTAGGAATAGCCATGTTAGGGTGGACCCAGTTTCTAATGGCCTTCATTTGCATATCAAATCTTGCCAGCCTGGCTCTAAGAGCCGGAGCTTTCCTATTAGACAAGAAACATGTCTGGAGTTGCTTTAAAAGAAACAAAATCTTACCAAGGATGCCTTTTCCTCTCTATCTGCCTAAAATAATTTCTTAATAACTCCTATAAAACTTGGGTTCCAGAGACGAGGACCTGGATATCTTTTGGGGTGGGGACATTATTCATTCCACCAAAAATTAATATATTCTCCAAAATTGTCCTTCTTTAAAGTAAAATTTAAAAAATAACAAAGTATTTTTATGAAGCAAGAGAGCGGTACAAAATCTGAGACTTAGAGTCTGACTTATAAATCCTCTAACTTGTGAGTTTTAGCTGTTGGGGTATGCTCACTCCACTCCTTTATCTCACTCCTTTATCTGCTTAAAAGCAGCTTCTCCAGAAGGAAACTGATTGTCAAGAAAATTCTTCCTGGGAAATTTTATATCAGGGAAGATTAACACAAAATAGGAATCAAAAATAGAAGAGATTAGAAGTTGATGTTTTATCCAGACAGGCCTGTTCTTTTGAGGATGCACTTCTATCCTCATCTATTCTCTCCAGGTTGCCTACACTTCCCAATTACCTCTTCGCTAGAAAGGAAGTATGAAAAACTGGATCTCATTGAGTTATCTGAGTAATCACACCGCTATGATATCCCACTGCACTTTAAGTGAATTTTGCTTGCCTTTTCTCTTATTAGTCTTTCTTTTGTCAGTTCATTTTCAGCAAACATTTAGAGGACAAATGGAGCTTTCTTCCTTTCTCCCAATATAAGCAAGTTCCCTTAAAATTCAGGTGGCTTACAAAACAGCAGGAAGGTTTGTGCTTGGGCTACAGCACTGTGATTTGTCTCCCCTAGTCAGGCATCAGTAAAATTTTGTGGAGTCCTAGGCTGCAGCCCACTGATGCTGATGTAGTTGGATCCACGTCCCCTGCTACTAAGCCAGGCTGGGACATTTTTGGCACAGTAGAGATGTGAGATATAATGAGTGCAAATCCATGTCCAGGTTCATATGGATCCAGCTGATTTCTCCATGTAAGTTGGCAATTGCTTGATAAGGGATTGTCTCTTTCCTAAAGATGTTAACAGGGAGGCTGGTGTCTGGGTCAGGATGATGTCCCTGATAAAACGTAAAAGAAGAAAGTGGCATTGTTGGTGCATGACAGGGACATGCTCCATGCAGTGGTCACCCTCAATAAGAGAGAAGAACTTTGGAAAGTAATACTCAATGACAGAAAAGAAGGTAGACAATGAAGGTGCCCAAAACAAGAATAAGGTGAAGTGAATTTAGTCTCTGGGTATTAAAGAGACCTGTAGCTCTTGATAATGGTGGATGTGTGAGTGCTGCATGCATTGAGGAAACTCGGTATCATCTCTCTGTATCTGTAGTAAATTGCTTGATCTTATAGTGATAAGAACAATGGCATAACACCATTACCTAATACTTACAAATATGTATAGCATCATGTCAATAAATTTTATTTTTAATATTTTTAGAAAGGAACAATGTTAAAGCTCACAGAAATGTTGCAAGTATAGGACAAAGTACCTCCTTCCCTAACCCGAATCATATGAGAGTCTTTTGAAGTCCTGAGAATCATACTGTTTAACATTTTACTATGTATTTCCTACAAACAAGATATTCTAAATAATCCCCATACACCAATGAAATACATTACTCCGTCGACTCCTGAGGAATATTTCAAATTTTCAAAAAAATACATAAAAAATGTTTCTCATAACAAACTACTCTCCAGTAGAAACACATTCACTGCAGACAAATTTGTGCTACCCTGGTCTTTCCTGGGACACCTGGGGACACTGAGCTGGTGCTGAGTTACTGAGATGAGCCAGCTCTGCAGCTGTGCCCAGTCAGCCCCATCCCCTGCTCATTTGCATGTTCCCAGAGCACAACCTCCTGCACTGAAGCCTTATTAATAGGCTGGCCACACTTCATGCAGGAGTCAGACCCAGTCAGGACACAGCATGGACATGAGGGTCCCCGCTCAGCTCCTGGGGCTCCTGCTGCTCTGGCTCCCAGGTAAGGAAGGAGAACACTAGGAATTTACTCAGCCAATGTGCTCAGTACAGCCTGGCCCTTCAGGGAAATTCTCTTACTACATGATTAATTGTATGGATATTTGTTTTTATGTTTCCAATCTCAGGTGCCAGATGTGCCATCTGGATGACCCAGTCTCCATCCTTACTCTCTGCATCTACAGGAGACAGAGTCACCATCAGTTGTCGGATGAGTCAGGGCATTAGCAGTTATTTAGCCTGGTATCAGCAAAAACCAGGGAAAGCCCCTGAGCTCCTGATCTATGCTGCATCCACTTTGCAAAGTGGGGTCCCATCAAGGTTCAGTGGCAGTGGATCTGGGACAGATTTCACTCTCACCATCAGCTGCCTGCAGTCTGAAGATTTTGCAACTTATTACTGTCAACAGTATTATAGTTTCCCTCCCACAGTGTTACACACCCGAACAAAAACCCCCAGGGAAGCAGATGTGTAAGGCTGGGCTGCCCCAGCTGCTCCTCCTGATTCCTTCATTGCCTGAGAGTGTTCCTCAGATGCAGCCACACTCTGATGGTATTGGTAGAGGGGGACCTGAAATCACCTCTGCAACCCAATTCCTTTTGCTTTGTAAGCCCCAGCTGCACAGACATAGCAATGCCTCTCCTGATGTAATAAAGGCAGAGATCTTGACACCTAAGGAGTCTAGTTTAGGGCTTTGGTTGGAATTCAAATAACAGAGAAGAAACCACTATAGATATTCTAAGCAGGAATTGTCTTAATACAGAAAATTAGAGTCTAAACTACTGAAGTCTAAATAAAATGTAGAGCAGAATCTCTAAATTTAATGTTTTATTTGCAAAGAAATGTTTGCCAAATTGGACACACAGGAAAACTCAGTGGTCTTCAATATATTGGAAGTACGAAGAGAAGGTTAGTGTTTTATGAAAAAGGGAAAATATTACCTTTTGCATTTTGAGAAAGTTCACTGGCACTAGTAAGGGTTGGGAGCTGGCAAGCTCAGACTGGGAAGCAGTGGTGGACAAAGTGAATCCTAGAATTATATCAAGTTATCTCAGAAGTTGCAGTTAAATGTGAATTCAGGTTACAAGAAGCCAAAGCAGTGAAGGTTGCAGAGAATTTTCTTACTAAAATGCCAGGGATTCAGTGTACACCCTGCTGCTCACCACACAGAAAGTCAATCTCTAAAACAAGTATTGCCAAGAAACAGGCTTTAATCAGGTACTGCAGCCGTGGAGATGGGACACCATTTGCGAATGTATCTCCCTGATCAACTACAATTAAGAGTTTATATAACAGGGACGAAATGTGGGAAAACAGGAATTTGGGGGGTGGGTAAGGAAGATAATTTGGTCAACAGGAAGCAAGAGGTCAGTTATGCAATCATAATGGGTGAAGGTTCTGATGTCTCAGTGTCCGGATTCAGTGATATGTATGTTTCAGCTCCTTGATAGTATCTGGGAGCCCTGATGGTTGGTTTACTGAAAAAAGAACTCAGATAAGACAAATGTAACTATCTTGAGTTTTAAGACTGGGGGAGTCAATTTCTGTTTATTCAAAAAACCATAAACCTTAGTTCCATGGGATAACAGGGCCTATTTCAATTGCATTCTAGAAACAATATTTTACACCCTGAGTGCCTTTCCCCACTGGGTTTCTTGGCTCTTTTGGGTATAACAAGAATGAACCAATGCCTATGATTAACGTTCAGACCACAACCTTTCAAAGCCAAGGATATAGTAGTCAGGAAAGTTGATATTAGAAGCAGGATTGAATGGCGCTCACTCAGAAAACAGAAAGCATCTGCCCTTGAAGTATGGGCTATCTAACCATGTGGTCCTCAGTCCTGTCTGGAAGTTTAGGGGTGGGAGTGTTGATGTTCTCAGCTTCCTGCAGCATCCTTCTAGGTGTTTCTCCAGCCCTCACCTCTGTTCCTGTGTCTGCCTTAGGTACCAATGGAGAATATTGAGTCATCCTTTTCTGATTTCCAAATCTCATGGGAGGACCTCTTGTTGGGCAACTTTATAGGACACAAGAGAGGCAAAAAGGGATATTTACATAAGTTAAAATGATTTTCCCCCACTGAGGCCATTAAAATATATATATATATTTAAAGCCACATGTTGAAAACACATCCAGCTTTATTTTCTTACTAATGCAAATTTACATTTGCAAATCTTTTCAGAATTGTAAAGGTTGAAAGCATAATTATTTGTCCATGGAATGATCAAACACCTCTACAATTAAATGGAGTAAACATTTTCTTCAAAATTTGTACTCATTGAAATAAAGGAATATATTTAAAATATGTGAAGCTATGTTAGAAATTATTGGACTTAAATTCAACTGTGCAGTTTGGTTTGGGATGTTGTTCACTCCTGTGACCTGCCATAAGAATATTGTGTCATGTGTAGTCACTGCTGTTCAGCCTCGTCCTCAGACAATTCATATCTGTAGGCTGAAGATGAGCTCAGTGCCCTGCAGAGAAACCACTCAGCTGAGCCCTTTCTTGATCAGCCAGATGATTGTGAACGTGAACATCCATGAACACGAAAACAAATGTTTACTGTTATCAGCCACTGAGTTGTGTATTTAACCAGTTACCAATCATTATGCATAAAGCCTTCCTGATACAGTATTTACACCTCTACCTACACACACGATTTTTTCTTAAGTTGGTGGTATAAATGTGAACATTTAGTATTAAATTATGAAGTTATTAAGAGAAAATTAATGACAAAATTAAAACTAGTATTCAATAAAAAATTAAAATTTACCTTATTTGTGGAAAATGTGCATATATGTGTATAAGATACATAAAAGCTACCTATATTTATCTGATGAAATGTTGGCTACAAATATACATGTATAGTATTTATATTTAAGTACGTTTATTTATTATATATGCATATTTATACAATTATTTAAATTAAATACATTTAAATAATTTTTGTTATATTCCATTAAAAAAGGGTATGCTGGCTACATATAGTTCATACTGTTGCTACAGAAAATTTCTTTTAGCCTTTATTTTTAAAACTCTATGAAATGATTGTCCTTATCTAAAATATTTTTCGAACCCAGTAGAGCTCCAAGGGTAGGACTAGAGTAAATTTTGACTAAAGTTGAATATTAACCATAGCATCCTATGAAAGTCTCCATTATGTTCACACCCACAGTGATGATTTGTCAAATAGAGTTCTCACAAATAGATGCTGGATGGCGTCACATCAGTGCCATTGTCAAGAAATCCCTGGAAATGTAAAATTCGTAACAGTGGTTAACCTGCAAGGATTACATCTGATGATAACATTGCAAAGAGAACAGCAATGTAATAATATTGGCTGTTGCTTTTGACAGATCATCAGCCCTTAAAAGAAATGCAACAGGATGATTTCAGACAAAGTGATTCAGAAAGAACTATGACTAGACGTTTCAAAAATGAGCCAAAATAAAAACATGCTTTCCAAGTGAATATTAATCGAAATGCCGTTAATGAGTAGGAGGCTTTTAATAATGAGGATGATTCAACAGATGGACTTCAGTCAATCACCTTTCCCAGGTTTCCAAGGTGTCTCCTGAACCAAGGTTATGGAGGTCCCTGTGGGGACTCAATAATATGAGTTTCAACTAACTGAGACATACAGGGCTACTGGCTCTTCTGAACACCTATTTTGTCAAGAAGAATAACGTCTCTTGAACCCCTAACATTGCGCCACACATCAGGGCCCAGACTAACAGCTGGTGTCGGGTGATACTAGTAGACCTCATGTAACGTGAGGAGGGCACTGGTTATTTTCCTATATATGAATTTGCCTTCCTTTTTGGTTATATTTCTGCATAAAATATTATTTGAGGATTTTCCAAGAGCTTTCATCAGAGTCAGGAAGTTCTTCTGTAATATAGCTTTGGATCAAGCAACTTATTAACCTCAAAAAAAGTGAAGTGAAGTGTAGCTCATGCTCTTGTCATGTGCTTTCCCTATGGACAGAGAAAAACCCATTATTAGTCAAGCAAAGCTGGCACACAAACCCTTCTGCTATTGAATTGCTGTCCTGTCAGATATGGTGGAGGCTCTGAAACAGTAACTGTATGAATGGTGCTGTCACTCCCATAAACAGAATATTTATATCTTGAAAATGAGCTGTAGACTCATCATTGTTATGCCAAATGAACAGCTTGAAATACTCTATTTCTATTTATTCAGGGCTGTGGTTTTCTGGTTGACGGCTCTTAATCCAAAGAGTTGATGTGAAATTATTCCATGAAATTGGAAGAAATGATATGATAAGCATGTGACCATTTACATTTATTAAAATACTGGATAAATTGTCAAGACAGGACATTAGGATGTGTGCTGGGGCCATAGATATAGTCCATAAAAGCAAGAGCAAACATAATTGATTTTACATATTTTAGAGAGGAAGTACAGAAAATATGGAACCTAGGGGACCTTCTGGAATGTTTCTATTTATTGCCATTTCCACTGGTAAAACTCAGAGAAGATTTCAACCGTCATCAGGATGAAGTTCTAGGGATCACAGTCATGTGAAGCATTCCCTGTACTTGGATCACCAGTGAGGCAAAGAGAAGATGAAACGCATAGTGGGATATGGAGGTGCAAACACCAGGGACAGCATCCTGGTCAGCTCAAACATGGAGAAGTGTATTTATTTTTTCTCTATAGGTTTATCACTGAATCAGTTGGATCTGAGAAAAGTCATTATGACTGGTTAGGCAGAAAGGTGTTTATTATCATGAATGAAATGGATTGAAAACATTTGGGGAAACCAGAGTGGCAGCTCAGGCAACTCCAAGTACTCCTTTTGCTATTACTTGACCCTCCCCGCCCCCACCCCTATGTTTTCCACAGTCAAGAAAGATACTTTCATTTTGATAGAAACATGGCAAGTGATGATATTGTGCCCAGAGGACTGTGTTGCCTGGCTGTGACCTAGACCAAGAAAATGATCACATTTGAGTGAGTTCAGCCATTTCTCCTCCCTCATCTCAATCCAAAAGCACTCTGTAGTAGCACAGTTGATGGGCATTCTTCACCACATCTGGGACTTAGGAAGCCAAGGACATGAGGAGTAGCCTTTCCAGACTCTACCATAGAGAAAGTATTGCCAGAAACTAGAGAATAAAATAAATATGAAAGAAGCTGGTGACAATAACGAAATGAGTCATGTTAAATAATTTAATCTTTTCTTTACACCCTTTTGCCAAAAGAATTCAAAGTGCTATTTTTACCAATCTTTATAGTTTAGCCCACAAATTAAATAATAAGTAGACAGATTAACGGCTCATGAGAGAAGATCCTTTTATCCTACATGGTGTTGGGCTGAACAGATTGGACTTTCCCCACATTTTGGGGAGCACAATTCTACGTGGGGAGCATGATGTTCTTTGTAAAGGAAATCTTTATGTGAGGTTCTAGCATGTTGCTGTTGATACTAGTAATGACTAGAAATTCAAGTGTAGAAAGATGTGTAGTTATGATAGAAAGCCACAGGGTGGACTTGGGCAGAAATAGCCCCTGAATCCATGAAAACAGATGAATCTACATGAGACTGAAATGAAGATGTAATCAACACAGTCAGGTCTGCAGAGAAAGGGGTCAGGTCTCTAGCAGTTGATAGCGGAGCAGCTGTCCTTCGGGGGGCAGTAGTGAGAAGAGCTGCTCTCTTTCCTGCAGGAGACAGCTTGAATGTGGAGTCTCAGGCAGCAGGAGCTCCTCCCCAGCCTGCGCCAGCAGTGCCATTCTTGGAATTGTTCCAGAGGCTTTGCCTGGAGCCTGTTGCTTAAGGCTTTTCAACAATTTCTAAGGAATTTAATATCCTCTAGTAAATCCCTTTATGCTTCACGGATTTGACATTTGCAACAGGGAATATAAACAGCTTACAGTGACATCATTCACAGCCTCCTTTTTTCTTGCTAAATATAATGCTTTCCAGGTGGACTTGCCAGAGGAAGCTGATGTGAACAATAATCCATGTCACCAAAAACGCAAGACAAATAAGCTCAGAAAAGCCACTGGGTTCTCACCTAGCTTCACTGTCCCCTAGGACAAAATGGGAGAGTGTAACACTCTTAGCTCCACCATCAGAGAGAGAAGGTGAAGTGTGACATTCTCAGCGTAGTAAGTGAATATTTACAGACATTTAAATACTAACACCTTTAACACCAAAATACAGGCAAAAGTAGAAAAAAAAATAAATTGGACTACATAAAAATTTAAAATGGGCATCAAAAGATAAAACCTACACAGTGAAAATGCAACATGTGGAATAGAAGAAAATATTTGAAAATCATATCTGATAAGGGGTTAATAATATCTACTATACAAAAATAAATTCTACTTGTCAACAGTAAAAATAAAATAACTGATTAAAAATGAGAAAAGTATATGAATAGACATTTCCCTAAAGAAGATACTTTGGGGATATTTAGATAACTAGCATAGGAAACGATGCTCAATATTATTAATCCTTAGAAAAATTAAAACAAAACCCACCTGATGCCTGTTAGAATGTTTTTTTCCAACAGAGGGTGACCAGTCTTGGTGAGAATTTAGGGAACTGGAACTCCTGTGGACACTGTCGTGGTGATGTAAATGGCCCACCTGCTGTGGGAAACAAGATGGCAATTCCTCGAAGGATTAAAAATAGAAATACTATATAATTCAGCAATTCCACTTTTGGACATATACCCAAGTAATGGAAGACATTAAATTGAGGAGATATTTGTATATCCACATTCAGAAGCAAATTATTCACAGTAGCCAAATGTAGAAGCAACTCAAATGTTCACAAAGGAGGGAACTGGTAATCCAAATGTGGTAATATACATACTATTCCATATTATTTAGTTTTAAAAAGGGAAATTCTGACACATGCTACAACATGGATGGAACTAGAGGACATTACACTAAGTGAAATAACCCAGTCTCAAAAATACTGAGTTTTGATTTCACTGTGGTATTTGCAGAACAGTTTCCATTTAGTCACGAATTAACCCAGTCTCCTTCCTTTTCTTGATTGTAGTTTTCAGGAATAACTGTAGAATGTTCTGGAACTGTAACATTCTGAGATAGGGCATGATTGGCCAGAACAGCCTGGGTTCTGTTTCTGTCCCTACTAGAAACAGGAATTCCTTCAACACTGTAGCCCAGTGTGTCATGTGATTCTAAGACATAAAACCCAGGGTGGGCTGCATTCCAGGGTCCCTCAGCTGCGGTCCTTTTGTGTTATGCAAGGTCTAGAGTCAATCAGGCCCAGGCAGCTTTGTGCTCTCTCTTGCTGACTCTGTAAGTAGTAATCCACTTCATGTAACTGGTTGTGCATGGGTGTTCTGTCTCACTAGATTTGGGTGAGTTGGCAACCAGTGCACAGCAAACCTTCTTGGCAAAATTGGCACACTAAGAAGGTTTGATTTGAGAGAACCATGGCTTATTGGTGAAGTTGGAGGAACAATACTCTCCAGTACCTGGCCCAGGACAGAGACATCAGCCTGGGGATGCCAGGCCTGGACATGCAGATGGATGTTTAATAAGGAGGGAGGATAAATGGGACATGGTGAGAGGCAGTGTTTGATGTGGTGGTGAGACAGCAGAAACAGTGGAGAAGCAAGACAGCAAGAGACAGCAAGAGATGGCATTTTGTGAGAAGATGGACATAGCGATCAGCAATGGGCGAGACAGCTATTGGAGAAGTGGCAAGTCAGCGATCAGTGAGAGAGGGCGAGATCGGCGCTACAGCGATTAAAGCTACATAGTTGCTAACATTGCAGAGCTGTTAAGACTGGCCAAAGGCTGTTTGAAGAGCCATCGTCTTTCCTGACAGGCAGTGGAGCTGAGCAGATAGGTAAGTGGCCACAGAGCCACTGCTTCATGCAGGCCAGCCGCTCCATGCACCAGTTCACCCGTGGGAGCTCAACCCACCCAAGCTGGGGAGCCTGGAGAGATCTTCATGCAGGCCTCATGTTAGAGACTGCTTGGCACCATTTTGGCTCCTGCACACCTGTAAGTGTCCCATCTACCCACCTTCCCTATATCAGATGATCCAGGAAATAAGGCCTTTGGCTAAATAGTCCATTTGAAGTCCCCCATAGCACACCTGACTACATCCTCATTGATCTTTCTCTTAGTCATTTCTCCTCTAATGACATTTTATTTATCCATCAGCCATTTTATCTTATTTTCTGCCCCGATATATGTGTTTGCTTTGCAGTTTTTTCTTTGGGTCCCTACTAATTATGTTTGTGCAATTGTTTAAGGCAGGACACTTGGATGTAAGAATTCTCCTGTTCTGTTGACTCTAAGAAGCCAGAGTCACATTGTTCTATGGCCCCAACCGGGCCTTTGGGGCTCATTGTTGGCCACCCCACTGAGGCTCCAGGATTTTCTGCACTGGTCAGCCCCTGGATACTCCAGGGTTTCCTGGCATTTGGTGTGGGACATTCATAGGCTGATACTCGTGTACTCTGGGTTTTCAGCATTTAGTACTGTTGGCCACTCCCTGGATGCTCCAAGGTTTTTAGCATTGACATTCGTCCGAGGATTGTGGATTGGAGCCTCACCCTATGGAAATCTTGGTTTGCCTTTTCTTGTTTTCTGCCCTAAGGTTATCATTTTCCATAACAGCCTTGTGTTTTCCTTCTGTCACTTTATTTACACTTTTTCCTCTACGCTTTACTTAATAAAAATACAGCTTTAAGGCTGGGCATGGTGGCCCATGCCTGTAATCCCAGCACTTTGGGAGGCCAAGGTGGGAGGATCATTTGAGGTCAGGAGTTGAAGACCAGTCTGGCAAACATAGTAAAACCTCGTCTCTACTAAAAATACAAAAATTAGCCAGGCACAGTGGCATGTACCTGTAACCCTAGCGACTCAGGAGGCTGAGGCAGGAGAATGGCTGAAACCCAGGAGGTGGAGGTTGCAGTGAGCCAAGATCATGCTATTGCACTCCAGCCTGGGTGACAAAGCGAGACTCTATCTCAAAAAAAAAAAAACAAGTAAAACAAAAAATTTTGCCTGTGATACAATAATGAGTTTCTTTTAAAACTTCTGAGATTAGTGTCTTAGAGATTTAACTGTTGTGTTTTGCTGCTTTCAGCTTGTTCTCCCTTTAAAAAGGCCTGGGATCATTGCTGTCTCCTTTTCCTTTTTCATCAGCTCCTGTGATGTTTTCATCTCAACACTTTGGGAGGCTGAGATGGGCGGATCACTTAGGCCAGGAGTTTGAAATCATCCTTGCCAACATAGCAAAACCATATCTTTACTAATATTACAAAATTAGCTGGGCATGGTGGTACATGCGTGTAATCCCAGCCACTCAGGAGGCTGAGGCATGAAAATGGTACATGCGTGTAATCCCAGCCACTCAGGAGGCTGAGGCATGAAAATAGCTTGAAAACTGGAGGCAGAGGTTCCAGTGAGCCCAGCCAAGATTGTGCCACTGCACTCTAGCCTGGGCAACAGAGCGAGACTCCATCTCAAAGAAAAAACAACAACAACAACAAAACAACAACAACAACAACAAAATGATCCCCCAAGAATCAATAATAACCAGAATAAGGAGCCATTATCAGATATTCTTAATTACTCTTAATTACTGTTAGGCTTCAGGAAGCCACTAGTTGGGTACAGCTGCCCAGGATTAAAACTGTTTCTTACAAGGTCCTACAGCCACAAAAGGTGGACACCACAACCTCCATTTATAAAACAGAAAACTTAAGGGTGTTGTTTTGCAAACACATAGATTAATAACATGGTTCTGTAGGTGGACCTAGGAGCATTAATTTTTCCCTCTCTTCCAATTATAATTTTCTTGTTTAACATCCTAGTAAAGTTTATGTCTTCTAAATTTCATGTAAAGATGATACGGTCTGTCATAAGTCTTCCAACCCATTCTGTCTTCTGACCCCACAAATGAATGCATCGTGCCATTGGGCCCCTTAGTTCAGGTACCAAAGATTTTTACTCCTCAAAGGCTAGGGAAGGCCTGCCCCCATAAAGTCAGCAGGAAGCACTTACAGAAAAGGGACTCTGCTCTTCTGCAGTCCCCTTAAGATTAAGGAGGAGTATCTAATCTCTGAGGGAGCAATGAGATAGGAGGTAGGTGGGACTCAACCCAGGACCAGATTGAAGACTGGCTGACACAAGGAAGAGACACTGGAAGCACCTGTCCATAACACATGCCCACCATTGCCATATCAGTTTACCATTGCCATGGCAACACCTGAAAGTTATTGCTCATTTTCTAGCTATTTCTGAATAACCCACTCCTTTATTAGCATGTCATTAAAAGTGGGGATAAATATGAGTGCAAAACTGCCCCTACGCTACTGCTCTTGGCACGCCTATGTGGTAGCTCTGTTTCACAAGAACAGTCACAAAGCTGTAACACTGCCACCTCAGTAAAGCTGTTTTCTTCTACCACCAGCTTACGCTGCATTCCTTCCTGAGTGAAGCCAAGAACCTGCCCTGCACCACTTTTGTCAAGTCAGTTGACATCAAATTACTCATAATATCCTCTCTTTATTTTTTGACTCCTGTAGGCTGTGTAATGACTTCTTCCTTTCCGTTTATGATATTGTGTTTTGTGTCATTTTTCTTTCCCTCTTCTTTTTTTTTGAGACAGATTCTTGTTCTGTCACCCAGGCTGGAGTGCAGTGGTGCAATGTTGGCTCACTGCAACCTCCGACTCCCCAGTTCATGCCATTCTCCTGCCTCAGCCTCCCGAGTAGCTGGGACTCCACCACGCCCAGCTAACTTTTTTGTATTTTTAATGGAAATGGGGTTTCACCATGTTAGCCAGGATGGTTTTGATCTCCTGACCTCGTGGTCCACCTGCCTTGGCCTCCCAAATCTTTCCCTCTTCTTTATACACCCTTCATCAAGTAGTCACAGGTTTCAATTCAGTTCTTTCTTGGTGGTAGTATGCCTCATGAAAAAAGCTGATTCTTCTGTGTTTGAGGCCATTCACCATGTTTATATGTAATACTGTAAAAAGTCCTGTGACATAAGCCTCTGCTTCACAAACTGACCGCTGTCAAACATCATCTCCCCACCAATAGAGAATTTTTTTGTTCCTCACTAGTATAATTCACATAGGAGTAGAAATCTCAAGTTTAAAGTGTGGATTTGCACTTTACCACTTGTTGTATTCAAGAAGATGAATAATATTAATACATCAGTAGGGCCAGGCGCAGTGGCTCAATCCTACAATTCCAGCACTTTGGGAAGCCGAGGCAGGCAGATCACCTGAGGTCAGGAGTTTGAGACCAGCCGGGCCAACATGGCAAAACCCCGTCTCTACTAAAAATATGAAAATTAGCTGGGTATGTTGGCACACACCTGTAATCCCAGCTACTTGGGAGGCTGAGGCAGGAGAATTGCTTTAAATGGAGAGATGGAGGTTGCAGCGAGCCAAGATTGTGCCACTGCACTCCAGCCTGGGTGACAGAGTGAGATTCTATCTCCAAAAAAAAAAAAAAAAAAAAAAAATCAGTAGCTTTGAATTTTAAACATCTATTTGACAAGAAATTCACAGTTCTTTCTCTCTTAAATAACATAATAATTCTTTCAGTAATGAGCCTGGTTTGATGCCTCTCTCCCCAACATGATACAAGTATCACATAAATCTATGAAAAATTCAATTTCCCTGTTCCTACAACTGTCTGGGATGGAAAACTTCTTCCCTTGCTCTAGTCCTTTCTTCTACACCTAGTTTCACCTAATCTGTGACTCAAAACAATACTTGTCAGGAAACATTCTGGAAAGAGCAAAAGGCTTCTAAGAGGTGTCAGAGATTCCTGGACCAACATCTGTCCATCTCTAGAGGGGGTTGTGAGTATGAGGAAGAGCAGAGCTTGTAAATCTTCTCCTTGCTTTCACTCCCACTGTATTTCCTAACAACAACCACAACCACATAATATCATAGAACAAGCATCTACTACTTCCAAGGCTTTGGTCTCAGTAAATCTTCTCTACCTCTATCACAGCATCTAGAAGGTTTGATACTCATACAAATAGTGCTGTAGCTTTCTTTTCATAACTGGAAAAGTGGGCAAGACTCAGTGTAATGCAGGCATTCCTTAAGCTACTTAGCATTCAGTTTTTAGATTATCATTGCACACATATACCCAGCATATGTCTAATATACATGTAAAAATCCATGAAGCAAGTGTTATATTAGCTTGTGTTTTCTATTGTATTAAATTTTTCTCTTATATCGTCTTCTCCTTTTTGTCATTAAAAATCTGTTCAAGTCAGTCTAAATTAATTATTGGATCATAAGTAGATAAAATCTTTTATTTCATAACACATTGACCCAATGAATATGTTTCTTTGCAAGACACAGTCCTCATTTCCAAGACAACAAGCCTGAAAAAATTATACTGGAGCAAGTCTACAAGTAATGATGGTAGTTTTTCCTTATTGTCAGTCCTGGGGCAAGAATAACATAAAAGATAACAAGGTAGAATAAAGATTACATAAGAAAGAAGGACAGCAACAGGACATGGGAACTGTTTATAGGGTAACATTTAAATAATGGATGATGAGAAGTAATGCGTTAGACAGGGATGGATGGGAATGATTGAAGGTCTGAGTACTTTAGCACAGATTAAGATCAAATCATTAGGATTTTAAGAGTTGTGTACAGTTACTGAAGAAAATGCCTTAGAATTTAATTTGACTGTGGATAAAACATTCTTGGATTAGATTTAAGACTAATTTCCATGGTAAGTATATTTATAATGATGATGACTGTAGTGCTGAACATTTAAACAATGAAAACAAAATTAATTGCCACACACATAATGTCCTGAATACTACTGTAAATGTTTTATCTTATTTTCTTTAAACTGTCTACAGCACTGTAAGGCAGGTACCACTATTGTCACAGTTACACAGATATGGAAACCGAGACACAGGGAAGTTAAGTTACTTGATTAATTTCAAGCAATCGGGAAGCCATGGAGCATCTATGTCAGGGCTGCCAGGACATGTGACTGTAAACAGAAGTTTTTAACTCAAAGAGGGTATGTATCTGGGTTAATGGAAAGCTTCAGGACCCTCAGAAAACATTACTAATAAGCAAATGAAAGGTGTATCTGGGCCGGGCGCGGTGGCTCATGCCTGTAATCCCAGCACTTTGGGAGGCCAAGGCGGGTGGATCACCAGGTCAGGAGATCGAGACCATCCTGGCTAACACGGTGAAACCCCGTCTCTACTAAAAATACAAAAAATTAGTTGGGCATGGTGGCAGGCGCCTGTAGTCCCAGCCACTCGGGAGGCTGAGGCAGGAGAATGGCGTGAACCTGGGAGGCAGAGCTTGCAGTGAGTGGAGATCGCACCACTGCCCTCTAGCCTGGAAGACAGAGTGAGACTCCGTCTCAAAAAAAAAAAAAAAAAAAAAAAAAAAAAAAAAAAAAATGTGTATCTGGAAGATTAAGTTCTAACAGACTCTTCATTTCCATCGATCCAATAATGCACTTAGGGAGATGACTGGGCATATTGAGGACAGGAAGAGAGAAATGAAAACACAGCCTTTTATATTGTTCTTAACAGACTTGTGCCAAACATTATACGGGTGTATTTAGGTGATTGAAGAGAAGAAAGGCACAGGAGTGAAATTCTGTGAGCACAAGGGAGGAGTTCTACACTCAGACTGAGCCAACAGACTTTTCTGACCTGACAACCAAGGCGGCGCAGGATGCTCAGTGCAGAGAGGAAGAAGCAGGTGGTATCTGCAGCTGGAAGCCCAGCTCCCACCCCAGCTGCTTTGCATGTCCCTCCCAGCTGCCCTACCTTCCAGGGCCCATATCAATGCCTGGGTCAGAGCCCTGGGGAGGAACTGCTCAGTTAGGACCCAGATGGAACCATGGAAGCCCCAGCACAGCTTCTTCTTCCTCCTGCTACTCTGGCTCCCAGGTGAGGGGAATATGAGGTGGTTTTGCACATCAGTGAAAACTCCATCAGGAGTTTTCTCTGCTCAGCAAGAAATATAATTAAAATTCAAAGTAGATGAACAATTTTGGCTCTACTCAAAGACAGCTGGTTTGATCTAGATTACATGAGTGCATTTCTGTTTTATTTCCAATCTCAGATACCACCGGAGAAATTGTAATGACACAGTCTCCAGCCACCCTGTCTTTGTCTCCAGGGGAAAGAGCCACCCTCTCCTGCAGGGCCAGTCAGAGTGTTAGCAGCAGCTACTTATCCTGGTACCAGCAGAAACCTGGGCAGGCTCCCAGGCTCCTCATCTATGGTGCATCCACCAGGGCCACTGGCATCCCAGCCAGGTTCAGTGGCAGTGGGTCTGGGACAGACTTCACTCTCACCATCAGCAGCCTGCAGCCTGAAGATTTTGCAGTTTATTACTGTCAGCAGGATTATAACTTACCTCCCACAGTGATTCAACATGAAACAAAAACCTCAACAAGACCATCAGTGTTTACTAGATTTTACCAGCTGCTTCCTTTACAGACAGCTAATGTGGTGGCCACTCAGTTTTAGCGTCTCTGCTCTATTTGGACATTTTGCAGTTCTAAAAAAAAATCATTGAATAATTTGGACTTTGATTCTTGGACTCTTTTCAACTGAGGCACCAGAATCCCAGGTTTCCAGAAATAGTGACTCACTGTATGAATCCTTATATAGCCTCAGTGGTTCTTAACTTTCCCAGTAGAGGTAGCTCAGTGCATGCTACACTGCTCCATTTGAATTTTGCAACATTCTAAGTAGTAGAAAATTCTATTTATTTATCCAAATAGTTGACTCAGTAAAAGCTGTTCATGTGAAGATACTACCATGGCTGAATAAATCCCATTCTTTTTCTTTCTTCAGGCTATCAACATTTCAGTGGCAAATGGTTATTATGGAAACATTTGCCATTTAAAAGTGAACTAAATTATTTCTTCAATTTTCGCTGTGATGCAGTAGACTGTAAAAAGATTAAAGTTTGTTAAAATAAAGTACATATTCGATAAGGAAGAAACAGATTATTCCTAATGACGTCTGCAATGACCTAGTAGAAAGAGTGATAGAAGCAGTTGTTTTCATTATTTTTGTCCAAAACTTCCTTTCAAATGGGATTTCATTGATCATATTCATTTATTACCACCTATAAGACATGTTGACATTATGTAACATCTGATGTGAAGCGCTGAGGATACATCTGTCTGTATTATTCTTGCCAAAAATTAATGGTGTGAATTAAATCAGTAGTAAACATCATATACAAACCCAACTAGGAGGACATTCTTCAACATACCTGGACAGTAAACTTCAAATGTTTGAAGGCCATGAAAGAGAAACAAAAGTGAAAAACTATCACAGATTTAAAGATATTAAGGACAGGATAACCAAATAAAATACAGAAACCTGAATTTTATCTTGTAACATAAAAAAAGTCATCAACGGGAAAAATCAGTGAAATCCATATGGTATTTTAAATGAGTTAACAAATAACATTATATCTATGTTCATTTCATGGTTATGATACTTATGCTGTGGTTATTTATGATGCTGACATTAGAGCAAGCTGAAAGAGGCACATATGGGAATCATTTTTACTATATTTTTCAAATTTTAGGTCTAAAAGTATTTCCCCTCTCTCCTGCATCCTGGGATTGCCTCCAATTAACTACCTGCTTACAAGCCTTTTCTTTATTTTCTTTTTGCCTTTTTTTCTTTACATGTAAAACATGAGTCTATCTGGAGCTTATTTTAAACCACAGTATGAGGACTGACATTGACCTGTTTTTTTAAATGAAATAACTAGCTGTCCCAACCCTGCTTGTTGGATAACACTGCTCTGTTTCAGGAGTACCCCCACTGTCATACACCCGTGGGTCCATACCCCTGGGCTCTCCATCTGGGCACTCCCCTGCCTATGGCACCTCCTTCCTGAGGGCCGGCCTCACCCAGGGCCCAGCTGCCCTCTCCATGGCCTGTGTCTTCCTTTCCTGATGCCTCAGATTTCCCCCATTCTCTGGCACTCTTTCCATCCTCCTGGCCTCACTCTGCACCTCCCCTGAGGTGCAGGACTGCCCTGCCCCAGCCCCCAGCTTCCTCACTCCCAAAGCCTTGTGCCACTGAAGCACGAGCTCCAGAGTGCACCTGGATGGCAGCTTCTCTCCTGGCCAACAAACGCCTGGTGCTGGCTGCCCTCCCAGCATCTCCCCTCAACTCCTCAGCTCCACCCCAGGGCCTTAACACACACATGCATAGCACACACACATACAAACATATGCACACACAGACATGCACACAAATGTACATACGGACTTACACAGACACATACAAATGTGCACACACTCGTGCATACACAGATGTGTTCATGCAAACACACACGTGCACGCTCACAGGCACGTACACATGTGTAGGTTATGCTAAGAAATCCATTTTGTGTGGAAGACACTCAGGCTCAAATATGTGTCCAAAGTCACACAGCTATGGAGCAGCAGAACTCAGGTCTCTAGTGCACACAGCCCTGACTTACCGCAGTTCCACTTAACAGTTTTCAACTTTATAGTGATGCAAAAGCCATCCACAGTCAGCAGAAACCCTCGTGTGAGTCCCACACGGCCAGTTTTTCGCTTTCAGTACAGCAGTCAATGATTACATGAGGTATCCGACACTTGACTACAAAACAGGCTTCGTGTTGATGCTTCTGCCCACCGCAGGCTCAGGGCAGTGTTCTCAGCAGGCCAAGGTGGGCCCCCCTACGCTGTGCTATTCGGTAGTCAGGTGGACTCAGTCATTTTCCACTCGCAGCGGCCTTATCGGGCCGCAGCCAGGGGTAAGTTGAGCAGTGTCTGTACTTTTAGCTCCACCCTGGGTATTTTTAAGTGGCAGATTTACAACAAAAAATAAAAATAAAAATGAAAAAAATACAGCGTTCCAAATAGTAGGGGCATAAAAGGAGAGAATGTACGTTGCGGTCAGCCCATGCCTGGGAGCATAAGCACTTCAGAGGCATCACCAGGCGTGACTGGCTGTTCTTCCTGCTCTTCCTGGCAGCAGCGGCCTGGGCCTGAGAGGGATCGCCCTGGCCACAGCTGTAGGCAAGGCTGCTGGGAGCCGGGAGCCGCCGCGCTCCGCGGTAGCGAGTCTGCGGCGCCACCTCGTGGGTGCTGCGTGGAACTCCCCGTGGTGCGGGCCGGGAAGGCCGGGTCCCCACAAAGCCGGAGCCCGAGCACAGCGGTGCGAGCTCGCCCCAGGGCATCCCACAGCACCTGGAGACGGGGGCTGGTCCCCCAAAACCCTCAGGAGTGAGAGGAAGGAGGTCCCCAGCCTGCTGAGAGCTGTCCTCTGAGCACGCACTCGCGCACACTCACAGGTGCATGTGTGCATCCTCAGGCACCCTGACGCGTTCACATGCATGTACACGCGTGTGCACACGCACAGTCTTTCACAAGCGTATGACGCGTTCACACGAGTGTGACGCGTTCACAGGCACGCACACTCCCTCTCCCTCAAGCCTGGAAGGCGCACTGGGCTCATAGGGGTGGAAACCTCTACCGCGGCAGAGGCACAGCACCAGGGCCAGGATGCTCGCTTTTATTTCAGACGTGAAAACCGAGGCCCGAAAGAGACAGCCAGTGTCCAACCCTGTCCAACGTCTCTGCTGATTGCGCCTCCTGTGTGCGGCCGGGGCCGGTGTGAGGGCAGCGGGCCCACCGCACGCCTGGCCCACCCCAGGGCCTCGAGCCACTTCCTCAGGAGCTGCTGGCAGCTGCAGCGACGGCGCGCTCAGAGCCCGAGGGTCCCATGGAGCCAGGCTTCCCAGCACACAGGCGCGGTGGAGCCTCGGGGTGGGCATACACCCCGTGAGCTCGCGGGGGCTGGGCACTGCGGGTCCTCGGGTGGGGACTCTGGAGTTCAGTCTTGAAGGACACAGTCACCGAGGGTCAGGGAACCAGGAAGGTAGGGAGGGTAGGGAGGGTGGGGAGGGGTGCCTAGGCCTAGTGGGAGAAGCATGTGAAAGTTCCCTAAGAGGGCTGGGGGTGAACAAGCGCTCGGCCCGGCCTCTCCCGGTAGACTGCTCTGGTGCCCCGGAGCCTCCCTTCTCCAAGGCCCCATGGACGCCCCCAGAGGGGTGACGCCCTCGCCCACGCTGAGCTCTGAGTGCTGCACGAGAACTCCCAGAGCCGTGTGCACACGCACTCCCCGTGTTATAACTGGCATTAAGTGCACTCACATTGTCGCATATCCCCTACCACCGTCCATCTCCAGAACTTCTTCATCTTCGCAAAAGGAAACCATACCCATTGAACACCAACTTCCTCCTTTTGTTAACCATTGCTCTTTCTGTATTTGAATTTGCCCATAATGGGCCCCTCATGTAAGTGAAATCGCAATGTATTTGTCCTTTTGTGGCTGGCTTATTCCATCTAGCACAATGTCCTCAAGGTTCATGCCTGTTGGCACACCTCTCAGAATTTCCCTCCTGGCTGGGTAATATCATAGGCTCACGCCTATTATCCTAGCTGTTAGGGAGGCAGAGGTAGGAAGATAGCTTGAACCCAGGAGTTCGAGACCTGCCTGGGCAATATAGCGAGACCGCATTTTCCACAAAAAGAAAGAAAAAAAAGAATCTCCTTCCTGGTAAAGATTCAGTAACAGTCTACTGTATGCATAACCACATTTCGCTTGCCCATCCACTCACCCATAGACCCTCAGAATGCTTCTACCTTTTGACTCTTGTGAATCACGCTGCTTTGAACATGGGTGTGCAAATATCTGTGAGAGTGCCTGCTCTCAAAAAAATCCACATTCTTGGCACCATGAAGAATCACCTCTCACAGACACCAGGGAAAAGCAAGTCTGTCTGAGAGCAGAGGGTGAGGAGGGGAAAGCCGGGCTGCGGATCACAGTGGGTGGAGGAAAGCCCACCCTTGTGTTCCCATGTGTGGGAGGAGAGAGGAGAGATGCCCTCTAGTGAAGGAACTCTTGTAGCAGCCAGCTCCATTCCTGCTTGGCCTGCAGAGGGCCAGCTCAGGAGCCCAGACCAGGAAGAAGTCAAATGACTGACAAGATCCATCAGGAAGCAGAAGTGTGCTGTGTCTCATCGGCAACAACAAACAGAGCTAGGACCAGCCACCCACCCCCCAACCTAGGGGAAATGCATCCACCACACAACTACCACCGCTGCGCTCATGACACTCTCAGAGACAGGCACGGGAGCTCCTGGCAAGGCACAACCAGGGCAAGTGACAGTTTGCCAGTCCTGGGCAAGCAGACACTTATCCTCTCTCCAGTCCCCAATCCCACCAGCCTGCACAAGCAGAGAAACATCCTGCATAAATTAAAAGATTATCCGGATCATCAAAAGATCTGAGCAAACAAAACGACTGAGACAAAAAACAAACAAAACAAAACAAACAAAAAACAGAACAACAACAACAGAAGAACACTCATTTTTACAGAGAGATTTGAGCCCATCCCAACAGAGTACAATGCTCTTTCCAAGCTCATGGATGGCGTTTGGGAAAATTTAGCTGTGCTAAAGGAGCAGGAAGCCTCAGCCCCTTTCCCAAGAATTGCTGTTACACAAATCACATTCTCTCACCAGGGTGCAACAAAATTAGAAACATGCAATAACAAAGACCATGTTAAAAGTGCATTTTGGGGCCGGGCACGGTGGCTCATGCCTGTAATCGCAGCACTTTGAGAGGCTGAAGCGGGTGGATCACCCCAGGTCAGGAGATCGAGACCAGCCTGGGCAACATGACGAAACCCTGTCTCTACTAAAAATACAAAAAATTAGCCAGGCATAGTGGCAAGAGCCTGTAAACCCAGCTACTAGGGAGGCTGAGGCAACAAAATCACCTAAACTTAGGAGGCAGAGGTTGCAGTGAGATGAGATTGTGCTACTGCACTCCAGCCTGAGCGACAGAGTGAAACTCTGTCTCAAAAAAGAAGAAAAAGTGTGTTTTGGAAACAAAGTTAGTTTTCACAATGAAAATTATGAAATGCCTGGAACTCAATAGCAATAGGGTATTACATATTAAAATTATGAAACTCAACAAAATTGACATTTAGGGAGAGATTTATATCCTCAGATTAATTTGTCAGAAACAGGATAAAAGGAGAAAGCTGATGATAATTTGAGTAAAAGAGAAAATAAAAACTAAAATGAAAAACTTTTCAGAAACAAACTACAATAAGTGTGTGACCTATCAAAATATCTGGATGTGTCCAAAGCAGTTCTCAGGGGAAATGTTATAGCTGGAAGTGTTTGTTAATATGCTTCAACAGAAGACATATAAAATTATATAAACTAAGTAAACATACAAGAAGCTTTTTTAAGAGAAACAAGAAATAAATGTATTTAATTTTAAAACAGCCATAATAAAAGTAGACTTGATAAATAAAACCGAAAACCACTTCTTTGAAAAGACCGTTAAAAAAACCTCTGAGAAGTCAAGCAAAAGAGAAAGAAAAGGCACAAATTTTAAAATGTTAGATTTAGAAAAATGGCATAATAACCAACGTGGAGAAGCTGCTTCAAATCAAGGAGACGGGAGGCCAGCTTCATTCCATGGGAGGCCAGCTTCATTCCAGTAGGTTCTGTTTCACCTGGATGAAATGGAAGATTTTCTTGGAATGTATAAATTGGCTTAGCAGGAGGCAGAAAACCTGAATAAACAGAACAAACAGAAATGGTAAGCAGGTGCTCAAGGGGCTCCATCAGCCTCCAGGGATGGGCTGCTGTGTTAGGGAGGGCCAGAGCACAGGGGAAGTGGAGTGTAATTCTTTCTACAAGATTAGCAAGCTGAACTTGAATCTCACACACGCACACACACCACAGTGACATGGAAAGAATCCACAGGACACTTATGAGAGGTAAAAATAGAAAGTTTCTGCACAAAACAATCGTGTGTGTTTAAAAGATACCATGTGGCAGAAAATAGTGATCTATGTTTGCCAGTGTCTAGGAAGAAACCTTGAAGGCGCACGCCAGACTGGCGGCTGGGTTGGCTAGGGAGGAGACGATGGGGTGGGAGCAGCTAAGGACGACACACACTCTTTTAACTCTGTTCCTGCGTTGTCGGGACGTTTACAAACTGAAGATATATATTTTTAATTAATTATTTTTTTTTTAAATTTTACTTTAAGTTCTGGGATACATGTGCAGAACATGTAGGTTTATTACATAGGTATACATGTGCCATGGTGGTTTGCTGCACCTATCAATTTGTCATCTAGGTTTTAAGCCCTGCATGCATTAGGTATTTGTCATAATGCTCTCCTTTCCCTTGCCCCCAACCCCTGGATAGAACCTGGTGTGTGATGTTCCCCTCCCTGTGTCTACGTGTTCTCATTGTTCAGCTCCCACTTATGAGTGAGAACATGAGGTACAAACTGCAGATATTTATACATTACTTTAAAGTAATTAAGTTAAACTAAACTAAATGTAAGCCAACTACATGTAAATAAATAAAACCAATAATTAATAACAAGATAAAAGTAATTAATACTTAAATAATTACTAATTTATTTCTCAGCTAAAAATTAAAAATTTAGAAAATGTGGAAATGTGTTTCATAATAGGAGGATATTTAAAATGAAAGGGCATTTCTGTAGTCAAAGGGGTAGGAGACTCACCCAAACAAGACACAACCTCAAAACCAAAAGGAAAACTATCAGGTTTGATTATACGAATACTGAAAACCTCTGAATACATGAAAGGCAAATTCTATATCCCATGAAACTACCCTTCAGAAATGAAGAGAGAAATAAAGACATTCTCAGAGGAAGAGAATATAGGAATTTGTCACTGGTCAATTTAGAAATGCTAAAAAATGGCTACGGAAATATGTTCTGTCATTTCCACAATACAAAAAATTAAAACAAAAAAATCAAAATAAAAAAAATGGCTATAGAAAGTTCTTATGCAGAAGGGATGAATATGGGACTATGGGAGGAGGGACAAAGGAAAGATGAGAAATGTGGATACATACGCGAGACAATCCACAGTTCTTAAAATCACATTTGACGACTGAAACAAAAACTATACCACCACCTAATACTCAAGCCAGTGATTTATACAAGTGGAAAAGGTAAAGAGACATAAATGCAAGGCAGGTTTCCACACTTTGAAGTGGTAAATACTGGTACCAGTAGACTACTATATTACAATACACATATTGTAACATCCAGAGCAAACACTTTAAGACTATACAAAGAGATACACGCAACAACATTATACAGAAATAGATCAAGATGGAGGGAAAGAAAAAGGAAACAAAAAAGCAAATAATAAAAACATCAGACATAAGCAATTATGTAACAATAAGCACCTTAAATGTAAATGGTCTAAATAAACCAAAAGACAGATTGATGGAGAGCCTATAATAAACACATGGCCCAACTAAATACTGTTCATAAGAAACTTCAAACTCACTTAAGGACCTAAGTAGGTTGAAAGTAAAAGAATGGAGAAAGATATCCTGTGAAATCATTAATTTTTTAAGGAAGCAGGAGTGAATATATTAATATCTCATGAAGTAGACTTCAAGCAAAATAATGTACCAGAGCTGGAGAGGGTCTTCGCTGAATTTTAAGATCTAAAATTTCCTATGCTGCCTTGACATCTTTGAGCCTCACAGGGCCCCAAAGGCCTAGCCGTGGGTTTTCCTGTTTCTACCAGACACCCCCTACCCTGCCACCCAACAGGAAAGGCTCCCCACCTGGCTAGTTCTTTTATCAGCCAGAACAGTTGCACCTCAGCCTAAGAAGTTTCACTTCACCTGTCTGCGAGCCCATGAATTTATTCAAACAAGCCAATTGCATTCCCCCTTGGGAACCATTGGTCATTGTGTGCTCTTGTTACTACCAAGCCCGCCTGCTTCCTCAGCCCGCAGCCCTCACTCCGCTACAGAGTGCGGTGCCCATCTGACCCTGTGTGGCATGCAGTGTCCTCCTCTGAGCTGTGGGTATATGCGACTAAAACACTGCTGTCAATCTCATCCATCCACGCCAGGTGTCGTGTTCAGCCATCTCCTACACTTTAGGGCAGGGACCCCTCCTTCACCAATGGGGTGAAAAGGAAGTGACCATAACAACTGCTTAATGACAAAAGGATTAACCCACCAAGAAGACATCTACTTCAACATCCTCCTCTTAGCAACTGTTAAAACTAGGCAGAGGCCGGGCACAGTGGCTCATGCCTGTAATCCCAGAACTCTGGGAGGCAAAAACAAAGGATAGCTTGAGGCCAGGAGTTCGAGCCTGGGCAACATAGCAAGGCCTCATCTCTCCAAAAAATTTTAAATTTAGCCAGGTGTGGCGGCACACACCTATAGTACCAGCTACTCAGGAAGTTAAGCCAGGGGAAGTACTTGACCCTAGGAAGTCAAGGCTGCAGTGAGTCATGTTCGTGCCACCGCACTCTAGTGTAAGTGACAGAGTGAAACTAGGCAGAAAAGGAGCAAGGATTTACAAAAGATCTGAACAGTCAACCAGCAAAATCTGACATCCGTATAATACCCCACTCCCCAACAGCAAAACACACACATTTTTAAAGCCAATAGAAATCTACCAAGATGAGGTACACTTGGGGCAATAAAAGAACTCACAGCAAATCTCGCTGTGTGCCCCTCTGCGCCGGCGCCGTGCCCCTCTCTGCGCCTTCTTTTCTCACCATGGGGAAGCGTCTGGGGGCCTCTTGAGGGACCCCCTAGATGCTTCTACTCAGAGCCCCAAAAGCCGGGGAGCCTCCACTCCTCTGTCTGCAGCCTCCCCTGTCGGTTCTCGCTACCCAGGGTTCAGTGGCCTGGGGGTGACGGAGGGGGTCGCCTCTGCCAAGGCCCCTCCCGGCGCCTCCCTGGCTCATCCAGCCCACCTTCCTCCCACGCTGGCTCACGCAAAGTGCTCTGGTCACCAGGAGCCCTTCCTGACCAGCCCCAGCCCCTTCTTGGCCTTCGCCCACCTGGCCTCCCCTGGAGCCCTGACCTGGGTGCCGGGCCTGCTGGGTCCAGAGCCCACCCGGCCCTGAACAACCCCGAGTCTCAGCCACCCTTGGTTCTTACCCTTTCACAGCTGGGGAGTGGAGCCTGGGCCTGCGCCTCTCCGAGCCAGAGCCGGCGCCAGCGCCTCTCCGCGCCTGCGCCGCCGCTGCGCGCCTCGCCGCCACTGTCTGCCTCTCCGCCGCTGTCCGTCTCTCCGCCGCGCTGCCGCTGTCCGCCTCTCCGCCGCTGTCCGCCTCTCCGCCGCTGTCCGCCTCTCCGCCGCGCCGCCGCTGTCCGCCTCTCCGCCACTGTCCGCCTCTCCGCCGCTGGCCGCCTCTCCGCCGCGCTGCCGCTGTCTGCCTCTCCGCCGCTGTCCGTCTCTCCGCTGCGCTGCCGCTGTCCGCCTCTCCGCCGCTGTCCGCCTCTCCACCGCGCCGCCGCTGGCCGCCTCTCCGCCGCTGGCCGCCTCTCCGCCGCTGGCCGCCTCTCCGCCACGCCGGCGCCAGCGCTGTGTGCCTTTGCGAGGGCGGAGCTGCGTTCTCCTCAGCACAGACCCGGAGAGCATTGCGAGGGCGGAGCTGAGTTCTCCTCTGCACAGACTTCGGAGATACAGCGAAGGCAGAGCAATGTTCTCCTCAGCAGAGACCCGGGCAGGCGGGCTGGTGGCACCGCGAGGGCGGAGCTGCGTTCTGCTCTGCACAGACCTTGGGGGCACTGCCTCGCTTTGGGACAACTCGGGGCCGCATGGACGGTGAATAAAATCCTTCCTGTTTGCAGCCCTGTTTGTGGTTGGTGGCAGCGATGGACACTGCAGCCAGCCAGAGCGTAGAAAGACGTCGGGGTAAGTGCGCTATCCAGGCTGCACTGTGGGTGGCCTGGGACGGGTTGGGAGCCCTATCTCAGGCGTCACTGCCCGTCTTGGGTGGCCGGTTGGGTGTGCTATCTGGGGCTGTGCTGCCTGCACCGGGCGGGGGGGGGGGGTGGTTTGGGGGCCAAACCGGGGCTGCACTGCCTTTGGTGGGGAGCCGGTTGGGGGCACTATCCCAGACTGTATTGCTGGCAACAGTGAGGTGGGCTAAGTGTGCTATCCGGGGCTGCACTGTGCGGCTGTCGGGGGGGTGGCAGTTTCGGGTTGAGGGCGCTATGGGGTGCTGTAATGCCCATGGTGTGGGGAGGCAGGGCAGTTTGGGTATGTTGGGTGTGCTATTGGGGGGGTGACACTGCTGGTGGTAGGGGGCAGGGTGGGTTGGGGGCCATATCAGGGGCTGCACTGATGGCTTTAGCTAGGATTTCTGGTACTATGTTAAACAACAGTGGTGACAGGGGGCATCCTTATCATGTTCCAGATCTTAGAGGAAAAGCTTTCCATTTTTCCCCATTCCATATGATTCTAGCTGTGGGTGTCTTTCCTGTAGTTTTTATTATGTTGCGGTATGTTTCTTCTGTGCCCGTTTCTTTGAGGATTTATAGCATGAAGGGATGTTGAATTTCATCAAATGCTTTTTCGGTTTCAGTTGACGTGATGATACTGTTTTTGTCGTTTATTTGGTTGATATGATGTATCACATTGTATGTTGAGTGACCCTTGGGTCCCAGGGATACATCCCACTTGATCATGATGAATTATCTTTTTAATGTATTACTGAATTTGATTCACTGGTATTTTGTTGAGGATTTTTGCATCCATATTAGAGATCCTGGCCTGTAGTTTCCTTCTTTGATGCTTTTGTCTGATTTTGGTATCACAGTAATAATGGTCTCATAGAATAAGTTTGGAAGTATTCCCTCCTGTTTTTCAAAATAGTTTGAGCAGGATTCGTACTAGGTCTTTAAATTGTTTGGTGTGAAGCCATCAGCAGTGAAGACATCAGTTCCTGGGCTTTTCTTTACTGGGAGACTTTTTCTGATGGCTTCAATCTCATTACTTGTTACCAATCTGTTCTGGTCTTGGATGTTTTCATTGTTTAACCAAAGTAGGTTGTATGCATCTAGGAATTTGCCAATTTCTACTAGGCTTTCCAATTTATTGGCATATAGTAGCCAGTTATGATCCTTTGAATTTCTGAAGTATTAGTTGTAATGTCTCCTTTTTTTAATCTGTTGATTTTATTTATTTGAATCTTGTCTCTTTTCTTAGCCTGGTTAAAAGTTTGTCAATTTTGTTTAGCTTTCCAGAAAACCAACTTTTCGTTTAATCTTGTCTGTTTTTTATTTCAATTTTGTTTGTGCTATGATCTTATTTATTTTCTTATTTTCAGTTTAGTTTGTTCTTTACTAGTTCTTTAAGATGTATTGTTTATTTGAAGGTTTTCTTTTGTTTGGATGGTAGGCACTTATAGCTGTAAATCTCTGCCTTTGTACTGCTTTCTGCATAACAAGTTTTGGTATACTGTGTTTTCATTACCCTTTGTTTCATGAAATTTTTGAATTTCTGTCTTAGTATCTTCATTGACCCACTAGTCATTTATTCAGGAGGGTGGTGTTTAACTTCCATGTGATTGTATTGTTTCCAAAATTGCTTTTCTTATTGATACCTAGTTTTATTCCTTTGTAGTGAAAGAAGATGGCCACGGAGACAGACAGCAGCGTGGTCAGAGTGGTAGGAGCTGGCCATCAGCGAGAGCTGCTCCATGCCTGGCTGCTGGGTCCTAGAGCCTGTGGCCCACTGGCTTGCCTCACTGTGGTTGGTGGTGGTGGTGACAGAGACTACAGGACGACCAGAGTGGTAGGACAGGGGCTATCCAGGGCTGTACCTTTCGCAGTGTGGGGTGGGTTGAGGGCGCTATCCAGGGTGTCATTGCCTGCATTAGGGGTACTGGTTGGTAGCACTGTACAGGGCTGCACTGCCCATGGCAGGGAGGGTGGGTTATGGGTGCTCTCTGGGGCTGCAATGCCCATGGAGGAGGACAGGTTAGGGCACTATCGGTTATACGCTACTGGCGGCATTGGGGGACGGAGGTGGGGGGCGCTATTGAGGGCAGGACTAGCCGTGGAGCGGGGGCGAGTTCGGTGCTATCAGGGGCTGCACTGCTGGTGTCGGTCAACAGAGTTGGCATCCAAGGAAGGAGTGGTTCTCCTCTCCCTGACTCCACACTCCAGAGGGCGACCCACTCTTGGTCATACTGGAGTGCAGCAGGGCACGCAGCATTTGCGTGGGAATCCTGAGCATGGCAGAGCCCCCACACCCACCGTGGTTCCTGGGCCTGTGTACTGTGGGTCTGTGCCTCAGAGGCTGCCAGGCACCCCTGGGGACACCACGGGGGACAGGGCCCTGTGCGTGGAGGCGTCCGGAACAGGAATTGGCACCTGGGTGTGGAGGGCTGGCTGGGTCTGAATTTTTCTGCTTCTCCTGCTCCCTGAGGAGTGCAGCCCAGTGGGCCCAATGGTTCCTGTGGAGTGGGGAGCTGGATGCTGTGGTGTCTCCAGCACCCACCCCAGACCCCAGTTCCTGCCCAGCTTGGGCCAAAAGGAGAGGCTGGACTTTGGAGGGTGGGTGTGAGTGCCTTTGCTGAAACTGGCCCCTGCCACCCAGTGGCCGGCATGACAAGTTGAGGCTCTAACCCTTCCACCCCTCACATCTTTCTCTAGGCTTTTCTGGCTTTGCCCGCCCAGCTGCTCTGTGCCAGGAGGAGGAGACACCTAGAGCCTGCAACACCATGGCTCGCCTCACTGCGGGTGGGCGGCAGTGACAGAGACTGCGGTACACCAGAGCGGTAGGAGAGCGGCTGCGCTAGGAGGGCAGGCGGCTGCAGCCAGGGTTGGGGGTCAGGCTTAGAGCGATGGACGGGCTGCAGCAGTGGCCAGGTGGTAGGAGCCTTGTAGGGAGGGCTGGTGCATTGGCAATGGGCCTGGCTTTGCCCTGCGCCTGCCGTGGATCTGGCCCTGTACTGCCCTGCCTTGCCCTGTACCTGCCCTACTGTTACTTGGACTCTCGGCCCTGTCCTGCTCTGGTCCCATCCTGACCCTGTCTTGGCCCTGTGCTACCCTGTCCCTGCCCTGGTCTTGCCCTGGCACTGGCCCTGCCCTGAACCTGCACTGGCCTGACCTTGGCTCTGGCCCTGGCTCTGGCCCTGCCTCTTGTCCTGACCCTGGTCGTGTCATGGCACTGGCCCTGCCAATGGTCATGGTCCTGCTCCTGTTCTGGCCCTGACCTGGCCTTGGACATGTCCTGGCCCTGCTTTGGCCCATCCCTGCCCTGGCTCCACCATGGGCCTGCCTGTTCTGCCCTCTCCTGGCACTGACCTTGCCCTGTCATGGCCCAGTGGTGCCATTGCCCTGCCTTACCCTGCGCTGGTTGTGACTTGGCCCCGCTTGGTGCTGGCCGCTCCCTGGACCTGCCCTGGACCTGCCCTGACCCTGCCCTTGGCTTTTGCCCTGCCCTCACTATGGCCTGGCCCTGGCCCTAGCCCTGGTCCTGCCATATCCCTGGCCCTGCCCTTATCCAGGCCCTGGCCTGGAACCTGGTCCTGTCAAGGACCTGCCCTGACTCTGCCATGGCCCTGGCCCTGCTCTGCCTTGTTCCTGGCCCTGACCCAGACCCAGACCCTTTCCTGGCTCTGCACTGGACTTTCCCTGGCCCTGAGCTGGCAATGGTCTGCCCCTGGTCTTGCCATCACCCTGCCCTGCTGCGCTCTGGATGTGTCATCACCCTGCCCTGGCCCTACTCTGCCTTTGACCCTGCCCTGGCCTTACCTTGGCCCTCACCCTAGTCTTCGCTAGACCCTGCTCTGGAGCTGGCCCTAGCACAGACCTGGCCCTGATCCTGGCCGTGGTCTTTGTCCTGCCATAGCCCTGGCCCTGAAGTGGACTTGGAGGTGTCCTGGCCCCGGCATAACATGGCTCTGCATTGGCCTGTCCCTGCCCTGCCGCTACCATCTCCTTGCCCTGCTCTGTCCTGTCCCAGTACTGACCCGGCCATGCTATTTCCCTTCCCTACCCTGCCTTGGCTGTGCCCTGGCTCGGTTCTGGCCCTGGCCCCGGCCCTGCCCTGGACATGCTCTGACACTGCCTCAGCCTCGGCACTAGCCTGGCTCTTTCTTGGCATCAGCCCTGCTCTCTCTGTGGACCGGCTCTTGTCCTGTCCTGCACTGGCCATACCATGCCCTGCCCTGCCCTGCCCTGACTCAGTCCTGGCTCAGCCCTGGCCCAGCCTTGGCCTTGGCATTGCCCCTGGTCATGCCATATTTCTTGCCCTGTCCCTACCCTGGCCTTGGCCCTGACCCTTACCTTGCTGTGGCCCTGCCCTTGCCCTAACGCAGCCCCTGGCCCTGTCATGGCCCTGCCCTGGACCTGTCCTGGCCCTGGCCCTTCCCTGCTTGAGACCTTGCCCTGGTTCTCTCCTGGCCCTGACCCTGAAATGCCTGGCCCTACCCTGGCCTTGCACTGCTCTGGCCCTTGCCCTGACTCTGGTCCTGTCACTGGCCTAGCCCCAGCCCTGTTGCTGGTCTCACCATGGCCCAGACCCTGCCTTGGCCCTGCCCTGACACTGTCCTGGACCCTGGCTGTGCCAAGAACTTGCACTGTCCTTGCCATTGTTTTGCTCCTGCCCCGAACCTGGTCCTCCCCAGGCCGTGGCCATGGCCCTGGCCCTGGCTCCGCCCAGGTCTTGGCACTGTCCTGGCCCCGCCCTGCCCTGGCCGTATGCTTTCCTGGCCCTGCCTCGCCGGCCCTGGCCCTGCCTTGGCCCTAGCCTGGCTTTGACCCTGCCCTGGCCCTACCTTGGCCTTCACCCTAGCCTTACCTGGGCACTGTGTTGGACCTGGCCATAGCACAGACCTGGTTGTGGTCCTGGTCCTGCCGTGGCCCTGTCTCAGACCCTAGCCCTGCCAGGTACCTGTCCTGGCCCAGCTCTGGGCCTGGCTTTGTCCCTGGTTCTTAGATGAACCTGGCCCTGCCCCTGCCCTTGCTCTTGCCCTGACACTGGCTTTGGACATGTCCGTGGTCCTAACCCTGGCCCTGCCCAGGAGCTGCCACTGTCTTGGCTGTGCCCTGGCTCTGGCCCTGCCCCGGCCCCAACCATAGACCTCCCCTGGTTGGTCGTGCCCTACCTTAACCCTGTGCTACCCTGGGCCTGCTCCACCCTGCCCTGGCCCTGCCCTCCCTTTGGCCCTGTCCTGACCCTGCCTTGGCCCTCACACTGACCCTAGCACAGACCTGGTCCTATGTGTGGCCTTGGCCTGGCATTGACCCCTGCTCCTGACCCCGGTCCTGCCATGGCCCTGGCCCTGCCAATGACCCTGGCAGCCCTGACCCTGGCCCTGTCTTGGCCCTGGCCCTGAACTGGCCCTGCCCTGACCCTGGCCCTGAAGTGGATTTGCAGGTGTCTTGTCCCTGATGTAACCTGGTCTTACCATGGCCCTGTCCCTCCCCTGGCTCTGTCCTGGCCTTCTGCTGACCCTGACCCAGACCTTGGCCCTGCCCCAGCCTTGTCCTAGATCTGGCCATGGCCCTGCCTCTGCCCTGGACCGGCGCTGGCACTGGCATGGACCCTGGCCCTGGCCCTTCGCTACTTAAGGCCATACCCTGGCCCAGCCCTGGTCCTGATGCTGTCCTGTCCCTGATTTGGCCTGGCTCTACCCTGGCATGCTATTCTGGCCCTAGCCCTGACCCTGTCCCTGTCCCTGTCCTGGCCCCAGCCCCATTGCTGGTCCTGCCATGGCCCTTGTCCTGACATTGCCGTTTCCTGGTTCTGGCCCTGGCCCTGTCCCAGCCCTGCTCTGGCCCTGGTCTGAACCCTGGCCCTGCAATAGACCTGCCTTGGTCCTGCCCAGACCCTGGCTCTGGCCCTACCTCTGCCCTGGCCATACCCTTGCCCTGGCCTGGCCCCCAGTCCTGGTCCTTGTCCTGCCCCAGCTGTGGCCCTGTCCCTGCCCTGCCTGTGCCCTGTTCTATCCTGGGCTGGCCCTGCCGTGGCCTGGTCTTGCCATTGCCCTGCCCTAGCCTGCTCTGCTTGTGCCCTAGATCTGCCCCTGTCTTGGTTCTAGCCTTGACTGAGCCCTGGACCTTCCCTGACCTTGCCTCAGCCCTGGCACTACCCTGGCCTTGCCTTGGCATTTGCCCTACTCTCTCTATGGCCTGGCTCTGGTCCTGCCCTGCTCTGCTCTTGTTCTGTCCTGGCACAGCCCTGGCCCTGGCCCTGGCCCTGCCGTATCACTGGCTCTGGTCCTGCCCTTATGCAGACCTGACCCTGCCACTGCCTTGGCTTTGGCCTGGACCTTGGCCATACAGTGACCCTGCCATGACCCTTTCCTGGCCCTGGCCTGGAACCTGGCCCTGCCAAGGACTCGCCCTGGCTCTGTCATGGCCCTGGCCCTTTCCTGGATTTGGGTGTGTCCTGTCCCTTATTTGCCCTGGCCCTTCCCTGGCTCTGCCATACCCCTTTTCTGGGGTAGGGCCAGGGTCAGGACCAGACCAGGGCAGGGTCAGGACCAGGGTAGGGCCATGGTAAGGCCTGAAGATGGGAAGGGCCAGGGCAGCGGCTGGACCAGGGAAGGGTCAGGGCCAGGGATGTAGTAGGACTAGGGGCAGAGCCGGCACTAGGGCTGAGCCAGGGCAGAGCAGGAGAGATTACAATGGGCTATTACGTAAAATTTTTATTTTAGATTTTTAAGATAACTATAGTAGTAGTAATGTCTATACTATATTGTTTGTAATAGTAATAATATTTGCAGTAATCACTAAATTTTAACTAATACTATCTTTGCTTCCAGTAGTGTTCTATGAGTATAATTTTATCAATATGTTAATATGTGAGGCATTGATTCTCACAATAATTCTATGTGCTAGGTACTTAAAGCATCCCCATTTTCCAAATGTAGGAAACAGGCATAAAGAAGTTAAATACTTGGCCAGATTACTCCTGTAATCCCAGCACTTTGGGAGGCCAAGGCAGGCAGATGGCTTGAGCTCAGGAGTTTGGAACCAGCCTGGGCAACATTGTGAAACCCCATCTCTACTAAAAATGCACAAAAAGAACTAATTTAAGTTTCTTGTAGGATTCTGGTTATAAAACACTGGTCAAACACACAGGGCATGGATAGGGCAGGGCCAGGGACAAGGTCAGGCCAGGAAGGGGCCAGGGCCAAGGCAGGGCCAGAGCTGGACTTGGAAGTGTCCTGGTCTGATTTGCCCTGCCCCAACGTTGGCCCAGCCCTGCTCTGGCACTTCCTGTCATGCCCTGTCCCTGGCCTGAGCACTGGCCCTGGCCCTGTCCTGCTTCTGGCCTTGCCCAGGAGTTGACCAGGCACTGCCATGGCCCAGTCCTGCATTGCCCTGCCCTCCTCTGCCCTGGTGCTACCATGGCCCTGCTTGGGCCCTAGCTCTGCCTCTACTCTGGACCTGCCCTGACTCTGCTCAGCCCTGGATCTACCCTGACTCTGCCTTGGTGTTGCCTTCCCATCTCTATGGCCTGGCTCTGGCCGTGCCTTGCACAGTCCATGCTCTGCCCTGCATGTCCCAGCCTGGGCCCAGCCCTCGTCCTACCATATTCCTGACCCCAGCCATACCCTTCCTTCTGGGCGTGACCCTGCCGTGGCCCTCTCCTGGCCCTTCCTTGGTCCTTCCCTGCCCTTCCATGCCCTGGCCTTGCCCTCACCCTGCGTTGGCCCTGCACTGGTCCTGCCCTGCCCTGGCACTGCCTTGGCCCGGCCCTGCCTTCTCCCTGGTCTTGCCTTTGCCCTGCCCTGGCCTGACCCCAGGCCTACCGAGTCCATGAAATGGCCCTGGACCTGCCTTGCCATCGTCTGTCCTGGCCCTGTATTGTCCCCACCATGCTCTGGTCCAGCACTTGCCCTGGCCCTGTTGTTAGTCCTGCCACTGTTATGGCCCTGCCCTGTTTTTGGCCATGCCCTGTGCTACCCTAGCCCTGCCCTGCCTTGGCCTTGGCCCTACCATGGCCTTCTCCTACCCTGACCTGGCCCTACACTGGCCTTTTCTACCCTGGCCTTGCCCTTCCCTGGTCTTGCCTTGCCCTGGCCTTGCCCTGCCCTGGCCTTGGCTTTGCCTTATCCTGGTCCTGGTTCTGCCCTGACCCTGGCCTTGCTCTGGATCCTCTCTGGTTCTGCTTTCTCCCTGGCCCTGCCCTTGCTCTGGCCCTGTCCCTGGCCCAGCCTTGACCCTGACCCTGGCCCTGACAATCCCCAGGTCTGACACTGGCCATGCTTGGCCCTGGCCCCTCCTTTTGGCCCTGCCCTGGCCCTGCCTTGGCCCTGTGCTATCTTAGTCCTGCCCTGGCCCTGAACTCACCCTGGCCCTACCCTCACCCTACACTGGCCCCACCCTACTGGCCTTGCCCTGCCCTGGCCCTGCCTTTGGCCTGCTCTGGCTCTGCTTCTGCCCTGGCCTTGCCCTTGCCCTGGACCCTCCCTGGCCGTGTTTTTTCCATGGTCCTTCTCTGGCCTTGCCCTTGCCCTGTCCCCTTTCTGGTCCTGCCATATTTCTGGCCCTGTCCTGTCCATGTCCTGGACCTGACTCTGGCCCTGGACCTCCCTGTCCCTGCCCTGCCATACCCTGGCCCGTTCCTTGCTCTACACTGACCCTGCCCTGCCTTGGCCCTGTGCTACCCTAGCCCTGCCCTGGCCTTCTGCTGACCCTGATCCTGCCATGGCCCTGGCCCTGCCATGTCCCTGCCCTGGCCCTGGTTCTGCCCTGCTTCTGGCCCTGGCCTTGGTCCTCTCATGTCCCTGGCCGTGACCCTGCCCCTGGTTTTTCTCTGGCCATGACCCTGCCCCTGTTCTGTCCTATCCCTGGCCCTGTCTTAGTTCTGTCCTAGCCCTGGCCTTTCACAGTACTTTATGCTTAGTAAGGGCTCCATGGTGTCTGTGAGTTGAATGTTGTGTTCATAGTATCTGCCAAAACAGAAAGAAATAAAACAAAATATTTTGATAAGAAGTTAAAGCTTTGTATATAATATACCTTGAATTGTAAATGCCTGTTATTAGTTGTATTACATATAGGTCATGGTTTTGTACACATAACTCCAAACCATTGATACTGTTAAAAGAATATATGAATATATGAAAGAATGTATAAACGTAAGAATGTATCAGTATCTAATGACCTTTCCAAATTAATTTTTATTTTTAGCTCTATTAGATTTTTCTCAGTGTAACAAATGTTTATTCCTATGTAATTAAGGGTGTATTTCCTGTACAGAATATTCATATTACCTAATTGAAAATTATATGATACAAAAATATAATACTATTTTTAGGCCAGGCATGGTGGCTCATACCTGTAATCCCAACATTTTGAGAGGCCAAGTTTGGAGAATCATTTGAGTCCAGGAGTTGACCAGCCTGGGCAACATAGTGAGATCTTGTCCTTATTAAATAAATAAATAAATAAATAAATAAATAAATAAATAGGTTGGGCACTGTGGCTCATATCTGTCATCCCAGCATTTTGGGTTGCCAATGCAGGAGGATTGCTTGAGCCCAGGAGTTTGAGACCAGCCTGGGCAGAATAGCAAGACTCCATCTCTACAAACAATAAAATATTAACCAGGTGTGGTGGTGCGCACCTGGGGTCCCAGCTACCTGGGAGGCTAATGTGGGAGATTTTCTCGAGGCTGCAGTGAACTGTGAATGCACCACTGCATTCCAGCCTAGGCCACAGAACAGGACCTTGTCTATGAATAAAGAAATAAGTAAAAATATAAATAAAAATAAGTAAAAAGAAATATTAGTAAATATAAATATAAATACATATAAATATAAAAATGCATTCATGAAAAGAAACAATTTTTAAATTTAACATCACTGAGGGCATCCTATCCATTTCATTTCATGATTCCATTATGTCATTTCACTTAGATGAAATGATAAGATGACTTGAGATGAGATGAAATGATGAGATGAAATGACAAAATGATAAGATGAGATGATGAGATGAAATTTTGAGATGAAATGGTGAGTAGAAATGATGAGATGAAATGATGAGACAAAATGACAAAGTTGAAAAGAAATTGAAAGGAGATGAGATGAAATGAGATGAAATGATGAGATGATGAAATGATGAGATGAAACGAGATGAAATGATGAGATGAAATGAAATGAAATAATGAAATGATATGAAATAATGAAATTGAAATGAGATGAGATGAGATGAAATAATGAGATAAAATGAGATGAAATGAGATGAACGATGAGATGACATGATGAGATGAAATGAGATGAAAAATGATGAGATGAAAAATGAGATGAAATAATGAAATGAAATAATGAAATGAGATGAAATGAAATGAAATAATGAAAGCAAATTATGAAATGTAATGAAATTGAAATGAAATTGAAATGAGATGAGTTGAAATGATGAGATGTAATGATGAAATGAAATGATGAGATGAGATGAAATGAGATGAAATAATGAGATGAAATGAGATGATGAGATGAGATGAAATCATGAGATGAAATGATGAAATGAAATGAAATGATGGATGAAATGAGATGAAATGTAATGAGATGAAATGAAATGAAATAATGAAATGAAATAATGAAATGATGAAATAATGAAATGAAAATGAAATGGAAATGATGAGATGAGAAGAAATGATGAGATGAAATGAGATGAGATAAAATGAGATGAAATGATGAGATGAAATGAAATGAGATGAGATGAAATGAGATGAAATATGATGAGATGAAATGACATAATGAAATGAAATGATGAAATGGAATAATGAAATGGAAATGAGATGAGATGCAATGAGTTGAAATGAGATGAAATGATGAAATGATGAGATGAGATGTGATGAAATGATGACATGAAATGATGACATAAAATGAGATGAAATGTAATGATGAAATGAGATGAAATGATGAGATAAGATGATATGAAATGATGAGATGAATGATGAGATGAAATGATGAGATGAGATGATGAGATGAAATGATGAGATGAACTGATGAGATGAAATGAAATGAAATAATGAAATGAAATTGAAATAAATAAATTGAAATGAGATGAGATGAAATGATGAGATGATGAAATAAAATGATAAAATGATGAGATGTGATGAGATGAAATGATGAGATGAGATGACATGAAATAATGAAATGAAATAATGAAATGAAATTGAAATGAGATGAGAAGATATGAGATGAAATGAAGTAATGAGATGAAATGATGAAGTGATGAGATGAAATGATGAAATGATAAGATGAAAAGAGTTGATGAGATGATAAGACGAAATGATGAGATGAAAAGATGAGATGAAATGAAATGATGAGATGAAATGAGATGAAATGAAATTAGACGAAATGTAATGAGATGAAATGAAATGACATAATGAAATGAAAAAATGAAATAATGAAATAAGGTGAAATTAAATGAGATGATGAAATTAAATGATGAAATGAAATAATGAAATGGAAATGATGAGATGAGATGAAATGACGAGATGAATGATGAGATGAAATGAGATGAAATGATGAGATGCAATGATGAGATGAAATGATGAGATGAGATGAGATGTAATGATGAGAGGAAATGATGAGATGTAACGAAATGAGATGAAATGAATGAGATGAAATAATGAAAGGAAATTGAATTGAGATATGAGATGAAATGAGATAAAATGAGATGAAATAAGAAATGATGAGGTGAAATGATGAAATGCTGAGGTGAGATGAGATGAAATGAGATGAAACAATGAGATGAAATGAAAGGATGAGATGAAATGATGATATGAGGTGAGATGAGATGAAATGAGATGAAACGAGATGAAATGATGAAATGATGAGATGAGACGAGAAGAAATGATGAGATGAAATGAGATGAGATAATGAGATGAAATGAAATGAAGTGAAATGAAATGAAATAATGAAATGAGATGAGATGAAATGAGATAAAATGATGAGATGAAATGATGAGAAGAAATGAGATGAAATGATGAGATGAGATGATGAGATGAAAAATGATGAGATGAAAAATGATGAGATGAAATGATGAGATGAATTGAAATGAAATAATGAAATAATGAAATGAGATGAAATGAAAAGAAATGATGAAATGATATTGAAATGAAATTGAAAGATGAGATGAAATGATGAGATGAAATGATGAAATGTTGAAATGAAATGATTAAATGAATAGATGTGACATGAAATGAGCTGAAATGATGAGATCAAATGAAATGAAATGAGATTAAATGATGAGATGAAAAATGATGAGATGAAATGCTGAGATGAAATGAGATCAGATGAACTGAGATGAGATGAGATGAAATAATGAAATTAGGTGAAATAATGAAATGAGATGAAATAATGAAACTGAAATGAGATGAGAAGAAATGAGATGAAATGTTGTAATGAAAGGAGGAAATGATGAGATGAGGAGATGAAATGATGAGATGAATTGAGATGAAATGAGATGAAAAATATGAAAAATGATATCAAAAATATGAGATGAAATGAAATGAGATTATATGAAATGACATAATGAAATAAATGAAATTAGATGAAATGAAATGAAATAGTGAAATGAAATGATGAAATGAAATAATGGAAATGAGATGAGATGAGATTTGGTGAAATGATGAGATGAAATGATGAGATGATATGAAATGATGAGATGAGATGGGATGAGATGAAATGAGATAAAATGATGAGATGAAATGATGAAATGATGAGATGAAATGATGGGGTGAAGTGATGCACTGTCACGTGTGTGTCTATTCTTTTTCCCAAGCAACAAAAATTATAATTCATTAATTTTAATTTTATTATTTAAGAATATTCTTAAGAGTTGAAGGAAAAATAATATCTGTACATTATGGGTTACAATCTAAGTATAAATAATACATAAATATATTAAAACTTACAAAGAATATGTTTTGGAATCGAATATACCATGCTTCTGTGATGACAGTTATTTCATGCTGGTTGTCACAATTTTACATGAAAAACTAATGAAAAAATGTTTTTAACTGTTTCTAAAAATAACAGTTTCCAAAACAGTTTTACATTCGAAATATGAAAAAGATGTCTTTGTGTTCCTTAATCTGATGAGATTTTCACACTCTGCACATGATAATTGTTAGATTTTTATTGTGTTGATAAATTGTATATCAAATAAAAAATGTTATTACCTCTTAAATTAGGATTTTTAGGTGATATAGGCAGAAAGGACGGCAAGTTTTTATAACTTTCTCTAAATGAACTTTCTAAATGCCTGAGTATTAAAAGATAGCATGTCTATAAATCACAATGTATATATTACTGTATGACCTAGGACCAATCAAAACCGTTACCTCTGATAACATTATATTGTGCCCAGTATAAAATAGATATAATAATACCTCAAACTTAAATCCGGGCATTGTCATTGAATATCTTAAGAATATGCAACAAAGGTGCTTTTAAAAATACAAGCTAGTGATTGTACCAAATTTGTAAATCACATAGGATAGTGGGTCATTTTAAGAATATTAGTTATTTCAATCTATAAACGTGGATGTCTTTCCTTTTTTGTGTTTTCTTTAATTTCTTTCATTAATATTTGTCATTTTTGTTGTCGAAATCTTTTACTTCCTTGGTTAAATTTATTTCTAAGTACATTTTTGTAGCTATTGTAAAAGGAATTGCTTTCTTAATTTCTTGTTTCAGCTAGTTTATTATCAATATATAGAAATGCTACTGATTTTTGTATGTTGATTTATATCCTGCAACTTTATTAATTTCATGTATCACCCTAAGAAGCTTTTGGTAGAGTCTTATTTTTTTCCGTGTATAAGATCACATTGTCTTTAAACAGGGACAATTTGACTGTCTCCTTTCCAATTCAGATGTCCTTTATTTCTTTCTCTCACCTAATTGTCCTGGCTAAGACTTTCACTATGTGAAATATGATTGGTGAGAATAGGCATCCTTTTCTTGTTCCAGTAAAATCTTTTTCTTGTTCACAGTAAAATCTTTCACCTTTTCCACACTCAGTATGATCTTAGTTGCAGATTTGTCCTTTATGTCCTTCTGTTTTAAGGCATATATTTTCTATACTAAATTGTTGAGAGGTTTTTTGTCATGTAAGAATATTTAATTTTGCCAAACGCTTTTATTGTGTTTATTAATTTAATCATATGGTTTTCAGTATATATCCAAAGGAAAGAAAACCAGTATATCAAAGACTTACCTGCACCCCCATGTTTATTACAGCACTATTCACAATAGCCAAGATATGGAATCAACAAAAGTGTCCATCAACAGATGAATGGATAAAGAAATGTGACATACATATATAATGGAATACTATTTAGTCATAATAAAGAACAAAATCCTGTTATTTGTGGCAACAAGAATGCAAGTGGAGGGCATTATGTTAGGTGAAATAAGCCTGGCATAGAAACATAGACACCACATAACTACGTGTTCTCACTTATGTATGGAAGCTAAAATTTTTAATCTCGTAGAAGTAGATAGTAGAGTTTTGGTTACCATATCCTGGAAAGAGTAGGAGAAAGAAGAGTATAAGAAAAATGTGGTTAATACATACAAAATTACAGCTGGAGAGAAGGAAGAAGTTCTAGTTCTCTACAGCACTGTTGGGTGACTGTAGTTAACGGGAATTTATTGTGTGTTTTCAAATAACTAAAATAAAAGATTTTGAATATTCTCACTGCAAAGAAATAATACATGATTTAGGTAATGGATATGATAATGACTCTGACTTGATCTTTACGTATTGCATAAATATATCAAAATATCACTCTGTACCCCATAACATGTACATTTATTATATGTCAATTAAAGTAAATTTAAAAGAGAAAAAATGAGGTAAAGGTAAATATACATAATTTAATTACTTTTTCTTCTATAAAACCCGAGTCAGTACCAAGAAGAGTCAATTTATTAGTTTTCTAAAATAAAAAAAATCAAAATCACCAAAAAAGAGCATATCCAAGAAAACATTGAAAATGAAACACAACATTTAGTAAGAATAGAAAACTTGGGCACCGTATCACCCTGTTCCTAGATACCGATTTACTGATGGCCATTTAAATAGAATTTTATTCTATCTAATTCATTAATACTCCCAGAGTTCGAAATTACATTTTACCTACAATAAATGAGATAACACTTGTAAATTATATGGTACTCTGCCTAACACACGTTAATAACTCAATACATGTTAGCAATAAACTTTTAGTATAGTAGTCAAAGTATTAATTTCTCACATTGCAATTTCCTTCAAAGACATGAATACAACCTTTCTAATGACTCCTTGTTCATCAAGACACCTCTTCAAATTATTCTATTTGTTTCATTCAGTATATTATCTGTGTATACCGATATTACACTCTTTTCTTTTTTTGAGATGGAATCTCATTCTGTTACTGATGCTGGAGTGAGGTGGCATGATCTCGGTTCACTGCAACCTCCACCTCCCAGGTTCAAGCGATTCTCCTGTCTCAGCCTCCCAAGTAGCTAGGACTACAGGTGCATACCACGATGCCTGGCTAATTTTTGTATTTTTAGTACAGTCAAGAGTTTCACCTTGTTGTCCAGGCTGGTCTCGAACTCCTGACCTCAGGTGATCCACCCACCATGGCCTCCCAAAGTGCTGGGATTACAGGCATAAGCCACCGCACCCAGCCTGATATTGCACTCTTGGATTTTGAACACTGAATATCTTTTTGAAAGATTACACCTCTTTACTTCTTTGTGCTTCAGAAATTATTTTCCTTCAAGTGTTCTAAGAGTCTAATGAAGAATGAAGTCATGTTTTATCACTTTTGTCCTTAAAGATTTCAGACATGCTGAAACTGATTGAAGTATCATTTGCTACTAGATAGATTAATTATCTCCAGTTGTAGGAGTGGATACATCTTTAATGGTATATTTTGGGTTATTGTCTTATTTTTGATGCAGTATTCTATAAATAATTTATTAAACCTGGCATCCTTGGGTGAGCATAGATTTTTCAACTTTGGTGTTATATTGTGTTTGCTTTTAAAAACTGCTTCTGAGGCCAGGTATGGTGGCTCTTGCCCATACCCAGCACTTTGGGAGGCCAAGATGGGTGGATTACCTCAGGTCAGGAGTTCAAGACCAGCCTGGTCAACATGGCAAAACCATGTCTCTACTAAAAACACAAAATTAGCCAGGCATGGTGGTGCGTGCTTGTAGTCCTAACCACTCGAGAGGCTGAGGCAAGAGAATCACCTGAACCTGGGAGGCAAAAGTTGCTAGGTTGCTGTGAGCCAAATTCGCACCATTGCCCTCCAGCCTGGGTGAAAAGAGCAAAACTCTGTCTCAAAAAAAAAAAAAAAAAACCCACCAAAAACTGCTTTTGAATGGAGTTGTACATATAATTTTTATGAAAAAAATTAACAAGTGCATAAGTTCATAATAGAAAAACCAATAATACTCCAGGCACAAGTTAGTACTAAAAAAATTATGTTGAATATTCTCTAATACAACATGCTTTTTCCCTTCATGAACAATTTGTGTTTTACTGAGAAGAGTCATTGTTTATGGTAGACTACAGATGAATATGTACTTTAAACACTCTTAGTTGCTTTCTTAATTTTATATCTGCTGCTTTATGCTTCTGTTTATTTTCATTCTTTCCAATGTCCACATTCTAGTAAATTTGAATATTTTAATCCAAGTTTATATACTATTTAATATTGCTTGTATAGTTTAGTATTTTTAAGACTCAAAAAGGTTTACAGAAAGAAGAAAAAGATCAACATGTTATTAATCATTTAAAGATCATTTTGAAATCTTTGACCTTTATATTTTAATGAATAAAATATTAGTAGTTATTAGTATAAAATAATTTATGTCTTTTGGACTTAGCATCCAGTATTTCTTTTTTAATAAAGAAAATAATTATTCTCTTGCAATGTACTATGTTTATCTGGGTTTTGAAAAGTGATGTTTCCTAATATGAGAAAGCCATTTACAGTTTTAAATCTACAAAGGCAAATGGAATGGTACTAAATTATTTACATAATAATGTTTAGATGGTGGCCCTTATAACATTCTTTCTATACTTCCTACAGAGTTGGGGATATGCAATTCTAGAATATTTCTGGGAGCTAATCCTTTACCTTGATGAATGAAACAAGACTTTTAAATAAAATTAAACTTTCAAATTATCCAGGTAATGGGCCTGTCTTTTAATTCAATGGATATGGAGCATAATGAATTAACCCCTGTTCATTGGGTAATAAGTTCTCATTCTTTTAATACTCAAAATGTCCTTTAATTTTTAATTTTTGATAGTCATATCATTATCCCTAGGTATTTTAGCTTCTATCTTAAATTCTAAAATAATTTTGAAATAGGAGAAAGTATTCTTTATTACTATATGTATTAAACATCATGGTTTTCAAATTGAACTGCAAATGTATCTTTTCATTGCTTCTTGATGACGCCCTTCACCCTATCCATATTGTCACTACCAAGTGGTGATTACTTTTCAGGTTCACATACTTATTCTTCAGAAAAATCTTCTCTGTGCCTTATAAAGAATATGATTGTTGGCATTCAAAAGCCAGCGAAGTATACATTATTAGCCTGTTGCCTAACTCATTTCTTTAAGAAACTACACTAATTACCCACATACTTATGTTTTTATTTCCTCATTATTTCTGGAGAAAACAAATACTGCTAACGTGATATTTGTAAGAGAGAAAAAAGTCTTTTCTTGAAAAGTGCTGTCATTGTAGTACTAACTTATAGTATCAACTTCTTTATAAACTCCTTAGACACTTTTTATTCTGAGAGAAATAAAAAAGCTAAAAGTCAAATGACTTTTTTTACTCTCCTTATTATAAGCACCCATCTTGGTAATTTAGGGTCTTTATAGTTAGGGTAAGTTGTGTCATACCGAGGTTACAAAATAAAAAGTATTTTGTCTCTTTGGGCCTTTCCTTATTCAGTAATACTGTCAGTTTGGCTTTTTTTGTAGGTCAACTTATTGAACTCAGTATTCTGAAATAATATGTTTACTATCTTTTGAGAAGCACTTAAAATATTAGATTTATTGTTACTCTTCTGCCTTTATTGGGCTGGAAGAATAATTGTTTCACTCCACAAAAGGCAAGTTGCGGAGAAAAACACATAGACATTCAACCGCAAAGCAGAGAAACTTGACTATTTTCTGCAATTTTAAAGTGTATATTGAATAAAACCATCTTTTTATTTTCTTTTTTGCTCACTGGCAAATATTAACAACATCAAGTGTATTATTATAATGTTATCTAGTTAAAAATCTCAAAAAGTTTTCATAATTACCATTTTAAAATATATAAATAGGTGACCTAATGTTAATTTTTATTGTCTGAGACCATGTCTGTTATTTCACTCTTTAAATTCAGTTAGTAGTGCAGAACCTAGCACTTAGTAGATACTCAAAAATTATTTGCTGAATAAAAAAAGGTTAAACATGTAATATATACAAAATGTACTGGAAAAAAATGCACCAAACAATTTTGTTATACCAGTTTAATGTAAATATTGCCTTTAAAAGATAATATAGTTTTCAGGTGTCTACAGTGATTTTGTAATATTTGTGCACATATAAAATAATATTTCCAAAAATGTAATCCAGTGGGGAAATATACTTTCTAAATTCTAGATTTATAATTTAGGGTTTAAATTATAAAATCATTAAATAAGACACAAGTGAAATGTAGTCAAATATCCCCTTGGAAAAAAATTAAGTGGCCTCTAAAGTGAGGTATTCATATATGTAATTTTACAATCCTCTAGTGATAGAATTAATTAAATACACCACCAAATTGATTAATTCCTACTGTGTTAAAAGAGAAGCACTAACAATGCCAGTTACCATGTAACATGGATTTAAGCTACAAGTCATAGAAATGTGATGAGAAGCCTCAGCGCTGTAAAACAGAGGGTGGAGGAAAGCTTTTCCTCTCTCAAATGAGCTTTGCGAGATATACTTCTTGAAGGATAGGAAGTTGAAGTGTTCAGGACTTTTATGTCTATTCTACTTTGGCTTAGTTTACATGATTCGTAGTTTATTAGCCTAGAAATGGCCAAGAAAACTTAAGGTTCAATAATTAGTTATAAATATGAAATATCCCCGATTTTTAAGATAAAAACAACTTATAAATGTATTTGTCTGTAAAAATTGTGTATATTTTTACAGAACATCTATTTCTTTTTTTATTTTTTTATATTTATTTATTATGCTTTAAATTCTAGGATACACATGCACAGTGTGCAGGTTTGTTGCATATGTATCCATGTGCCATGTTGGTGTGCTGCACCCATTAACTCATCATTTATATTAGGCATATCTCCTAATGCTATCCCTCCCCCCTCCCCCCACCCCACAACAGGCCCTGGTGTGTGATGTTCCCCTTCCTGTGTCCAAGTGTTCTCATTGTTCAATTCCCACCTATGAGTGAGAACATGTGGTGTTTGGTTTTTTGTCCTTGCGATAGTTTGCTGAGAATGATGGTTTCCAGCTTCATCCGTGCACCTACAAAGGACATGAACTCATCATTTTTTAATGGATGCCTAGTATTCCATGGTGTATATGTGCCACATGTTCTTCATCCAGTCTATCATTATTGGACATTTGGGTTGGTTCCAAGTCTTTGCTATTGTGAATAGTGCTGCAATAAACATACGTGTGCATGTGTCTTTATAGCAGCACGATTTATAATCCTTTGGGTATATACTCAGTAGTGGGATGGCTGGGTCAAATGGTATCTCTAGTTCTAGGTCCCTGAGGAATGGCCACACTGTCTTCCACAATGGTTGAACTAGTTTACAGTCCCACCAACAGTGTGAAAGTGTTCCTATTTCTCCACATCCTCTCCAGCACCTGTTGTTTCCTGACTTTTTAATGATCGCCATTCTAACTGGTGTGAGATGGTATCTCGTGGTTTTGATTTGCACTTCTCTGATGGGTCTATTTCTTTAAAACAAAGGGAGGGGAGTCTCTCATTTGCATTAGTTTTTTTCATAGCCTTTTAAACTTTGCAATTTCTATGTTTCAGAACCTATTTCTTACAGTTTTTCTATGCTAAACTCTGTCCTAGTCAGTTCTAGAGTGTATGAAGAACCAAATGATGTAATTGTATGCCACCTGGCTGTAGTGGAACAAATTTGACTCTTAAGTATGCAGGCTCTAATTTTCCTGCCTGGTTTTGGCAAGTATTCCTTACATAGGTTTTTTCTTTGAAAATCTGGGATTGAGAGGTTGATGAATGAAAATTAATCCTTTCACTTTTTTGTATATAGGTTTGCAATAATTAGGTCAGAGTGGAGTTTTAAGGTCACGGAGGGGTCTGATGACTTACAAATAATGGGCTCTGATTGGGCAACCACTCATCTGAGTTCCTTCCATTTGACCTAATTAAGCTTGTGAAATTTACACTAAGCCATGAGCTCATCTTTAAAAAGTTTTATTAAAAGATTTTCAGCTGTTCCAAATGGGACTTATTAGTGGAATGTGTTTTAAAGGATCATATCAGATGAATGAAAGGTATTTGATCCTTCGTTTCCTTAATAATAAAATGATGGTTTGGAAAAATAGGCTACAGTCTAACCACAGTGCTATTATTAGGCTTTCTTGTTAAACATAGGTCTAAGCCTAAGTATGTCAATACAACAAATACTTACTGTTTCATTTCTAGTAATGAAAAAAAAAAACAAGTCTTTCTGGCATAAGGATGATTTTCATCTGGTTATTTTGAAACATTTTTGTAAAATAAATTTACATCTATAAAGAACATTTTTATTTGTAAGGAGGGGTATGTCTCTGTGCACTGGAAGAGAGGGAGGACTAAATCACTGGGAAGTCTTATGATAAAGAAGCCATTGGCTTAAATCAGCAAAGCAAGCTGTCCCTTGGTTTAAGGTGTTTTTCCTGGCCATCCTGTCTTGACTAGAACTTTACCTACACCTTCCTTTTTGGTTTAGGCAAATTATAGTATCTAAAACTAAAGTCTCAGCTCTGTGTCTTTGACATATAAATGTTCTACCATGTCTTCTCTGGAATCTGATAACTATCTATCTCTTTAAAATGCAAGTCTAGGGAGATGACTCATCAGAAAAAGAAGAAAAAAGAGGTATTTGGAAATTGTGCAAATTAAAGCAGCCCCTGATGTCAAAGTCTGCACATTCCTGAGTGAGTCAGTTCTGGCCAGTTCTAGCTGGATCAAGAGAGCTCTTCTGGGCAGGCCTGAAGAGCACCTGAATGGCAGACACCTGAGGAGCCAGGTGCCTGAAACTTCCTTCACCTGCTTGAGGAGGGCCAAAGCCCAGGTGCTGGCTGGACAACCACTTCTGGCTGCCTAAGCAGATGGCAGAAGAAGGAAACAAGGTCAGAGGCAGAGTATTGAACCCTGCCTCCCAGGTGGGTGGAAGATGCCTGTCGCCAAACTAGGGCCAAGCTTGCCGGGTGAGATGGGTGAACTGGTGATCCCCCGAGAGAGTGGACGTCAGAACTACATGTTCCTGGACTTCACCTCGGCCAGCGAAGGAGAGAGAGGGTTAATGTTAACTGCACGAGGCCCACTCTAGCCTTAAATTCTGTAATTCAAACCCTTCCCTTGGAGACAAAACAAACATGACAAGGAATTCTGAGGTCAGGGGACAAGAATCACAAAGTGGGAGACTGAGGAGGCAGTGTCCTTCCTGCCCTTGGTCTACTGGCTAAGAACCTTCCTCAGCCTGACCTTTGCACATTGCACTTTCAGCTCTGTTTACAATTTTCCTCCTTTAGTGCTGAGGGAATCCCAGTGTTCCATCCTGAAATCTATAGGTTCCTAATGGGTGGTTAAAAAAAAACCTCAGCGAGAGAAGCAGAAAAATGTTTCCTCTTCCTGAAAAACTGTAGAAAGGCAGGCACCATTCTGGTTGAGGACATGGTCCTTGCAAATGTCTTTGTGTTGTTTTTGTTTTTGTTTTTGTTTTTGAGATGAAGTTTTGCTCTTGTTGCCCAGACTGGAATGCAGTGGTGTGATCTCTGCTCATTGCAACCTCCGCCTCCTGGGTTCAAGCAGTTCTCCTACCTCAGCCTCCCGAGTAGCTGGAATTACAGGCACCTGCCACCACACCTGGCTGATTTTTTGTATTTTTAGTAGAGATGGGGTTTTGCCGTGTTGGCCATGTTGGTCTCGAACTCCTGACCTCAAGTGAGCCACCCGCTTCTGCCTCCCAAAGTGCTGGGATTACAGGAGTGAGCCACCGCGTCCAGCCTGCAAACGTCTTTAAAGACAGCGTGTTTCAGAGGCTGTGACAGTGCCCTGTGAACATGCCATTTCTCACAGTCCTGGGAGCTCTGAGGAGCAGGCCCGGCTCCTTGCCAGGCTGATGGTACTGAAACTCTGCTCTCCAAGACATAACCTGATGGCCATGCAAGATTTCTTAATCGACTGTGGACCGTGAGAGTCTGCATCTCATTTTAATTAAGATGGGAAAAGAAAGAACAAAAGAGCAACTCCCAGGTTATAGAGAAAGTGGATTTTAGTATAATATTCAAGTGTAGCATTGCTAATAATAACAAACCTTTCCCCTCCTGAACGGTAAACACTTGCACTGCCTATTATACAAAAATTCAACCACCCTCTCTGTTACCCCGATATCTCCTCCCCAGTGACCCCCCCCTCTCATGCGGCCTCCTGAGCCTGACCAGTGGTGAATGGCACTTTCATGGGCATGAGACTCCACGTGAGTGGGACTCAGCTGGGACCCCTCTCCACGTGGGAGCTGGGGAAGCCACCCTAGTAGCAGCTCAAAGTGTCCGTGATGTCCCTGCTGCTGAGGTAGGGGCTGCCTCTGAGCTGGTCTCGGGGTGTGAGCTGCTGCTGGTAGTAGGCTCTGCCCTGAGGGCCTGGTGGCTGGTCAGAAGGGCAGGCACACATGGGTGACTCCCCAGGAACTCAGGCCACCTCCCCACCACAGCCCTGCACTGTGTGCTCCAGGCATGTGCTGAGTGCCTGGTCAATCACCAGTGCCCTACTGATCCCAGTCTCCAGAGAGAGCATTTAGTGTCACTCCACAGAGGGGGAAACTCGGCCCAGAGAAGTAAGGTGACTCTCTCCAGTCACAGAGCTGGTCAGCAGTAGGATGGGAGGCTAGTCCCTTGCTGTCTGACTCCCTGAGCCCACCCATATCCCAAGGCAGCCAACCTCTGCCCGCCCTGGTTCAGGCCCCGACTGGCCCCTGTGGTGGGTGATGTCTATCTTCCTGGCCTTTGTGCTCCCAGCCAACTGGGATGGAGCCTCCAGCTGGCATGACATGTTGTAGCTACGGACAGAAGAGTGGCTGTGAGGCTGCCAGGAATCTCACCAGGGCCCCCTCCCAGGGCCTGTCCAGAGTGAGGTCTGGGTACCCCAGGCATTGCCAGACCACAGGATCTGATGTTGGCCAAGAGGCCATGGCCACAGGCTTTCTGAGGCTGGCCCCCAGGGAGAGTTCAATCCTACTATCCCAATTCCTGTCCTGGCCTTACCTCTCAGTCTCACCGAGCCGCTTCGTGGTCCCAAACCAGGACCCAAAGTGCTGCTTGGGCTCAAGGTTGTAATTATTTGCAGTCAACTGGAGCAGTGGACCTCCTTGCTTACTTTGAATTCCTGGGTCCAGAGGGAAAAACTGGGTGGTGACAGGGACTGGACAGGGATGCCACAGGGGCCCTGTGGGGGTGTTAGATGGGGTGGTGGCCAGTCTTTGCTCATAGGGGACCCCCTCCTCCTCTCCAGTCCTGTCCCCACCTGTTCTCAGAGCTGGCTCAAACGGCAGCTCCTCCAGGAATGTGTCCTTGGTTTCAACCTGGTACTCCCACCTGCAGGTCTTCCTGGAGTGTCTCCTCTTTCTCTCTGTCTCCCCATAAATCTAAGACGAGGGGGATGGATCTGCCCACTGCTACTCACCATATGACTCTTGTGAGGTTGATCAGTCTCCCCTGGAAGGCCAACAGCTGAAGTCCATCAGAAAGGGTCCTCTGGCCCAGAGCCAGCCCCTGCCCACCCCTGTCTTGCTGCACCCAGGGTGCAAGACCCAGATCAGGTCTGGGTGACAGGAGGGGTATAGAGGGGCTGAGGCTCAGGGGCCTTCTAGCCTAACTTGTCTGGAGACAGTTGGGGAAACTGAGACCCCAAGCAGGGAGGTATGGCTCCGAGAGATTATTCTCATTAATCTGGAACATTTTTGCAAGCTGTTAGGTATAGGAAGTCTGTCACAGGTAAGAGAAATGCTTTTTAAGAGCATGAGAGACAGCAGGGTTGTCACAATATTGAAACACCACCGTGCAGATTCACCAATTGCCACCACCGGGAGCCCCCTGAGAGTCATTGCAGATGCACAGCCCTCCCCTGCAACCCCTGGGCCTCCCCGTGGTCTGGCACCTAAAGGGTTATGCCTCATGGCGGGAATCAGGGCCCTCAGGGTGCCCTGCCCACTCCAAGGTCTGCCTCTGCTCTGATTGGTCACTGACATTCAGATTGTCACCCAAATATAAGGACGTTAGCAGAAAGACTCATTCAATACAAGTGGACTCAGACATAGATAGGAATTGGGTTGCAAAAAGCCCCTTTTGTTTATTTTATTTTGGAAAAAACTTTTATTGTGAAAATTCACATATATATATATATATATAAAAACTCAATCAATGCAAAAGGATAGACAATGAACAAATGAATTCCCCTTCCACTCCAGATCCCCAACTCAGATCCAGACCTCCTGAGCCCACTTCCCCCATCTCATCACAGATCCAGACCTCCTGAGCCCACTTTCCCCATCTCATCACAGATCCAGACCTCCCCCACTTTCCCCATCTCATCACAGATCCAGACCTCCTGAGCCCACTTCCCCATCTCATCACCAGTGATTTCTTGGGCTCTGCATTAGTTTTCTATTGCTGCTGCAACAAACAGCTACAGACTCAGTGGCTTCCATTTCTGTCTTATAGTTCTGGTTGCCAAAAGTCCTAAGAGGATCTCACTGGGCTAAAGTCAAGGTGCTGGCGGGGCTATGTCCCTTCTGGAGGCTCAAGGGATGAATCGGGTCCCTGCCTTTTCTAGCTTCTAGGGGCTCCAGCTTCTAGGTTTGTGGCCTCCTTCCTCCATCCTCAAAGCCAGCAACAGCAGGTGAAGTCCTCGCCCATCATGCATCACTCTCCCTTCTTCCTCCTTCAACTTTTTTTTTTTATATTTAGGGGGAACGAGTACCGGATTCTTACATAGTCAAAAAGCTCCTTATAGAGAAGCTTGGAACTTTCAATACAACTTTGCCTTTTTTGCCATTTTAATTTTCCATTTAATTTAAATGTATTCTCTCATTTGACCTTCATACTCTGTGGAGAAATATTCCTATTTCGGCTTGTATTGACAAGCTGTTTTCACACAGCCCCCACATCACCCAACCAACCAGCAAGAAACAGATAAAGAAACTGAGGCCCAGGGAGGCTGAGTCCTGCCAGGATCATTCACCTTTCAAGGTAGGGAGCCAGTTCCAGACCTGGGTTTGTGCAGCTCCAAGCTCCCCCGTCTTTCTACAATGCTAGATTTAGACTATAGCAATCTAGCAAGTGTGGCCACACAATGGTCAAGTTGGATTTAGATGATGTTCCCTATAAATCCATTCTCCTCTCCCGTGTAAGCAAGGCAAAGTACTCCAGGTCATGGGGAGTCCCTGAAGACTCGATGAACTGCAGTGGCCACATCAGGAGGTTGCAGGTTGACCAGAACTCACTGACACAGCAGGAGAGCAGCTTGGAACCTGCAACCTAGCCAAAACCTAGTGCCTTGGATTGGGGGAGAAAACAGGCAGCCATTCCTCTCTCTCTGCTGGCTAGAGGGGATTCTGGCTTTTCCTGCCAGAGCCACCCCTTTCCCTCCTCCTAAAGTTGATGGTGGTTCTTTAAGGAAAGGGAGAAGTGCACGGTGTGATAGGGCAGGAAGAGAAGAAAATGGAGGAGAGGAGGGGACTTTCCCATAAGCAGGCAGAAGAAAAGGCAGCTGTGGTGTGTGATGGACATGGATGCAGTGGTGTCCAATGTGGGGTCAGCCCTAGATGAGAGACAGAGAGAGAGAGACAGAAAAGTGAGAGTCCTGACCCTTACGATTAACATGGGATCTGCCTGCAAATGCTGTTTAGGGCCATCGCCTCTTCCTGTACTGCTATTTTTGAGAGTGATGCTCCTGAGCCCCATGACCCAGTCAAATTTGATGTCCCCTCGAGCCAGATTCAGTGCTGGGAGTCCAGTGTGATCTGCCTGGATCTTGCTGCATTGAGAACAGGCCAGATCTTGACCCCAATACAGGGGCTGGATATGAACAGGCAACAGCTGGGTTTCTGAGTCAGAAAGACTTGGTTAATTGCTAATTGCTTAGGTGAGTAATTTAATTTTGTTGAGTCAGATTCTTCAGCTACAAAATGCAGATGACAGTACTTATTCCTCCAGGTTGTGGGGAAAATGGAGATTCTAAGCACGATGTCCATTTCACAGAAAGGTACCAATTTGGTGGCTTATTTTCCTTTCTACCTTCAGAAGTGGCTATCCCTGCCACCCAAACAGACCCTTGACTCTCAAGTGGACGGGGTCCCATTTGCACAGGGGGAGACCTTACAGCCTACGTTGAGTCTATACTTACCACTTAGTGAGCATTGTGTCCGCTCAGGGGCCTCTGTGGGCATCCGTCTCCTCTGCAGCATCTTTCCTCCCCACTGCTGGGTCTGCACATGACCTCCTCCTTGGGTTAGGCCTCTGATCAGTGATGACCTTGGTATGGTGGTGATGGTCAGTCTTGGCATCAAATGAGCCAGTTTATATCATCAGCTATTCAATAAAATACCAATCTAGGTGTCACCGTGAAAGTATTTTGTGACATTGTTATGTACGTGTTGTTACAAATGTGCATGATGCATTTACTACAGCATAGAATTTTGCCTGGGTGCCAGCCTGAAGTCTGTCCGACAGATCATAGCCATGTTAGTCCCACAGTCACAGGGGCCAATTGATTAAATTATTTTATCTCCCTTGAAAACTAAAAATAAAATCCTAAGCCCCCCACCCGACTTAACAGACCCCCTGTTGGCCAACGGAACCTCAAATAAATCTTAAAATTCAGTTCTTGGCCATGACAGGACAGGAGGTCAGACATACCTCCCTGTACCTCCCTCCCTCTTATGGTTTAGACCCCACAACTGAACAGCATTAATGTTAAAATAGAGATCATGAGACTGACAGAACAGACTCTTTGTGGCAATAAGACCTCAAATTATAAACAGGACCTAGGGCCATGCCAGGCGAGCGTTAAGTCTTGTAGCCTACTCTTAAAGAATTAACTAGATTCTAACTACCACGTGGGTTTTATTTTTCTCTAGCAACCAAGCAAGCACTGGCTGTGAGAGAAGCAAGATTAAAACAATTACAACTCACCCAGTTCACAGACGCTGAGTAACTGATCTCCTGCCCCACTAACCTTAATGACAGCTTTCTCTGGACAAGGGACTGATTTCAGTAACTTTCTCCTGATAAGAGACCATCCTCCATGGACTGGTTCTGGCCAGTTTTGGAGGCTGTGCCTGTACAGAGGCTGAGTACCTTCATGTCCCTGCTTCACTTTTTGATGTGTAGGGCCTAATTATAATACATTTAAATGTCAAGTCTCCACCCCAGAATGAACATGCATGTTTATTGAATATGCATTCATTAGGACCTCTTTTATGAGTATTCTCATAAAATGATATAGCTCCTCTGATATCCTATTGAGTATGTATATGTAGCCAACTCATTTGGCTCAAATTCCTGTCCTCTCCTTCCCTCCCTGGAAATGCCTGCCTCTGGCCTTGGCTGTAGGCCACACTTCCCAGGCTGTCATAATGGCCACCTTGCAGACTGCAAACCTATATAAGAAATAAAGCTCTCTTTTCTAAATTTATAAAATTGTGTGATTTTTTAGTTGATGCTCTCTTTCTACACACACACACACACACACACACACACACACACGCAATTTATACAGAAGGAAATCTGGAGAATATATGTGGGAATGGATATTAAGTGTGTGGCACCATGGTGGAAGTAACATAAAGTTGGATTAGGCTAAATTTATTAATGTTGGCCCACTAAACAGAGATTCTGGACTCAGGGTTGTAGGTCAAAGCTTTAGAAAGGGCTCCAAGGGTTGGTTTGATCGGTTACTTGGTTGGTTGTTTGCTTGGTTGGTTGGTGCTTGCTTCCTTGCTTGGTTGTTTGGTTGGTTTGTTGCTTGCTTGCTTGTTGGTTGATTGGTTGGCTGTTTGCTTGTTTGGTGACTTGGTTGGTTGGCTGAAACAGAATCAGAGTTTACCTAAGGTACATAAAGTTGAGATGCCACAACTTCCTTGGTTTATGTGTACAGAAAGGTATGCAAAAACTCAGGGAGACTGGATTTATTATGTCAGACCTGCTCACTCACACTGGAGGGTCTACGGAACATACTCCTCACAACGATCATGAGAAAGAATATTGTGAGAGGAGCCCAGTATCCTGGAAGAGCTTTGAGCTTGTGCTCTCAGTAGGCAAAATGTTACAGCAGGAACTGCAGCCACTGGACTGGGATCTTTAAGTAAAATGAGGATAATTGAATCCTGGGGTGGCAGGGAACATGGGCTGTCCTTAATCACCAAAGATGAGGTGGGTGTGGTCACCACAGTGGAAAGCAGTGTCAAAGCAGCAGTCAGAATGGTTTGACTCACAGACACCCACGGCATTGTGTAGTCCATGGTATCCACAGGGAGAGCTAATGGGCTGTACCAAAGTCTTAGTTGTTCTTTAAAAAATGAAGAATTCTAGGTCAACTGAATAAAAGACTAACTCAAATTAATGAAACACAGATCTAAAACCCTCAATCAATTCCCAGACTTGAGCCAGTTCACAGGCCCACAACCCCTTAAGTGAAGGGGAGGCTGGGTGATCTTGGGGAAGTACGCTGCTACGTTGCCAAAAATTTACATTGTTAATCTTTTTCCCAGTCTTCCCCAAAGGGACTTACAGCCTTCTGCCAGGATGACTGTGACTTAAAGAAAAGAAAATTCTCAGATATTTGGGGAATTACTGGACACTGGCTCTCATTTGACACTATTATCACTATGTTGCCTAGGATGGATTCATGCTCCTGGGTTCAAGCAGTCCTCCTACCTCAGCCTCCCAAAGTGCTGGGATTACAGACATGAGCCACTGTGGCCAGCAGAGCTTTGAAACTAGAACATGGAGGTCCAGTGGTAAAGATCTGACAAGTCTGGGAAGAGATTGGGCCAAGGCAATGTTGATGATTCTTTTTTTTTTTTTTTTTTTTTTTTTACAACAGAGTCTTGTTCTGTTGTCTAGGCTGGAGTGCGATGGCGCGATCTCGGCTCACTGCAACCTCTGCCTCCGGGGTCCAAGCAATTCTCCTGCCTCAGCCTCCTGAGTAGCTGGGATTACAGGTGCCCACCACCACACCAGGCTAATTTTTTATTTTTTTGTGTTTTTTGAGACAGAGTCTCACTCTATATCGCCCAGGCTGGAGTGCAGTGGCGCAATCTGGGCTCACTGCAAACCCCGCCTCTCAGGTTCATGCCATTCTTCTGCCTCAGCCTCACGAGTAGCTGGGACTACAGGTGCCTGCCACCGTGCCTGGCTAATTTTTTGTATTTTTAGTAGAGACGGGGTTTCATTTCACCATGTTAGCCAGGATGGTCTTGATCTCCTGACCTCATGATCTGCCCGCCTCGGCCTCCCAAAGTGCTGGGATTACAGGGATGAGCCACCATGCCCAGCCACACCAAGCTAATTTTTGTATTTCTTTTTTTAGTTGAGACAGGGTTTCACCATGTTGGCCAGGCTGGTCCCTGACCTTGTGATCCACCCGCCTCGGCTTCCCAAAGTGCTGAGATGACAGGCATGAGCCACCCCGCCTGGCCAATGTTGATGATTCTAAACAGCAGCCGTTAATGTGAAAACCATCCAACTGGAAGCCCTGGCCTTGCCCAGAGGACACAGTCTGGGTGGTGGGCAGAGACTTCAGCTGCCTTCCAAGGCAAGCAGCTCCTTGCTGCCCGCTTGCTGGGGATTTTACTTACAGGGCAGAAGCTGGCAGGTGATTTGGGGGCAGGAATTGCTTCCTGGATGGTATAGGATGAACCACACTCCCCAGGAAGGCACTCATCCTGGTGGCCTAACAGAAGCAGCCCTCACCCCAAAAGGCAATGCTGCTCCACTAGTTTTATGGGGTGACTCCTTCCTGTAGGTTCCTTCCAGCTTTACCAGAAACACAGAACATCTTTCCTGACAGGGCATTGGTTTTGTTTTTGAACAGAGAGATCCTTCTTTTAAAAAGTTAGTTTTTTGTTTTCTTTTGTTTTGTTTTTTGTAATGGAATCAACCTAGGTCCTAAGCCTAGCAGGTTGTTATTATTATTTTTATGATTATTTTTTGAGATGGAGTCCCACTCTGTGGTCCAGGCTGGAGGGCAGTGGCACGATCTCAGCTCACTGCAATGTCTGCCTCCTGGGTTCAAGAGATTCTCCTGCCTCAACCTACAGAGGAGCCAGGATTACAGGCATGCACCACCATGCCCGGCTAATTTTTGTACTTTTAGTAGAGATAGGGTTTTGCCATGTTGGCCAGGCTGATCTCAAACTCCTGACCTCAGGCGATCCACCCACCTCAGCCTCCCAAACTGCTGAGAATACAGGTGTGAGCTGCCATACCCAGCCACAGGTTATTTTTGCTGATCTTCTCCCTCCTCCCACCCTCAAAGAAAACGCGGTACATCTACACCATGGACTACTACGCAACCCTGAAAAGGAACAAAATCACGGTTGTTTTTTTTTTTTTTTTTCTTTTTCTTTTTTTTTTTTTTTTTTGCAGCAACATGGATGTAGCTGGAGGCCATTATCTTTTTTAATTATTTTTATTATTTTTTTTCTATTCTACTTTAAGTTCTGGGGTATATGTGCAGAATGTGCAGGATTGTTACATAGATATACATGTGCCATAGCGGTTTGCTGCACCCATCAACCCATCATCTACATTAGATATTTCTCATAATGCTGTCCCTTTCCCAGTCCCCCACCCCTGCAGTAGGCCCCAGTGTGTGATGTTCCCCTCTCTGGGTTGATGTGTTCTCATTGTTCACTTCCCACTTATGAGTGAGAACATGCACTGTTTGGTTTTCTGCTCCTGTGTCACTTTGCTGAACATGAGGGTTTCCAGCTTCATCCATGTCCCTGCAAAGGACATGAACTCATCTTTTTCATGGCTGCATAGTATTCCACAGTGTCTATGTGCTACATTTTCTTTATCCAGTCTATCACTGATGAGCATTTGGGTTGGTTCCACATCTTTGCTATTGTGAACAGTGTGGAGGCCATTATCTTAAGTAAATTAATAGAATGCTGCGTGTTCTCACTTATAAGTGGGAGCTAAATGTTGTGTATATGTAGACACAGAGAAGGGAACAGATATTGGGGTCTAGTTAGGGGGAGAGAGGAAGGTAGAAGGACAAGAGTTGAAAAAACCAACTGTGGGGTATTATGCTCACTACCTGGGTGATGGGATCACTCATACCCCAGACCTCAGCATCACACATCGTACCCATGTAAGAAACCTGTACATGTACCTCCTGAATCCAAACTGCTCCACCATTTGCACCAGCAATTCCAAGACTGGGCATCTACCCAAAGGAAAAGAAGTCATTCTACCAAAAAGACACATGCATGGTAAAGTTCCTTTTTTTTGTTTGTTTTTTGAGATGGAGTCTCACTCTATTTCCCATGCTGGAGTGCAGTAGCAATCTCGGCTCACTGCAACCTCTGCCTCCAGGGTTCAAGTGATTCTCCTGCCTCAGCCTCTTGAGCAGCTGGGATTACAGGCATGCGCCACCATGCCTGGCTAATTTTTGTATTTTTAGTAGAGACAGGGTTTCACCATATTGACCAGGCTGGTCTCGAACTCCTGACCTCAGGTGATCTGCCCACCTTGGCCCTCCAGAGTGCTGGGATTACAGTGCCTGGCCCTGTAAGGTTCATCACAGCACGACTTACAATAGGAAAGTCATGGAATCAACCTAGTTGCCCATCAGTGGGGTACCGGATAAAGCAAAAGTGGTTCTTCTACAGCATCGAATACTACACAGCCATGAAAAAGAATAAAATCATGTCCTTTGCGGCCACATGGATGTAGCTGGAGGACATTATGCTTAATGAATTAACACAAGAACAGAAAATCAAATACCACATGTTCTTGTCTGGATAAAGCAATTGTGGCCCTTCTACACCATGGAATACTACACAGCCACGAAAAAGAATAATGTCATGTCCTTTGCAGCCACATGGACACAGCTGAAGGACATTATGCTTAGTGAATTAATGCCAGGAACAGAAAATGAAATACTACATGTTCTCAACTGGATAAAGCAAATGTGGCCCTTCTACACCACGGAATACTACACAGTGATGAAAAAAATAAAATCATGTCTTTGCAGCCACATGGATGCAGCCAGAGGGCATTATGCTTAGTGAATCAATATGAGGAACAGAAAATCAAATACCACATGTTCTGCACTAGATAAAGCAAATGTGGTCCTTCTGCATCATGGAATACTACACAGCCATGAACAAGAATAAAATCATGCCCTTTGCAGCAACGTGGATGAAGCTGAAGGGCATTATGCTTAGTGAATTAATGCCAGAAACAGAAAATCAAATACCACATGTTCTCAATTAGATAAAGTAAATGTGGTCCTTCCGCATCATGGAATACTACACAGCCATGAACAAGAATAAAATCATGCCCTTTGCAGTCACATGGATGAAGCTGAAGGGCACTATGCTTAGTGAATTAACGCCAGGAACAGAAAATAAAATACCACATGTTTTTGCTTATAGGTGGGAGCTAAACATTGCCTGCACCTGGACACAATGAAGGGGCACCACAGACCCTCAGGACTAATAGAGTAGGAAGCAGGGGCGGGGGTACAAGGGTTGAAAAACTACCCTGAGATTCTTTGAATTTCAGGCAGAAGGCAGCAACTGGAGAGATCTTTGGGTCACGGATTTTTCTGTTGCATTTTCTTGCTTGTTTGTTTTCTATCTCTCTCTCTCTCTTTTTTTTTTCTTTTTTTTTGAGATGGAGTCTCACTCTGTGACCCAGGCTGGAGTGCAGTGGTGCAATCTCGGCTCCCTGCAACTTCTGCCTCCTGGATTCAAGCAATTCTTCTACCTCAGCCTCCCAAGTAGCTGGGACTACAGGCACCTGCCACCACACCTGGCTAATTTTTGTATTTTTAGCAGAGACGGGGTTTCACCATGTTGGCCAGGCTGGTCTCGAACTCCTGACCTCAGGTGATCTGCCTGCCTTGGCCTCCCAAAGTGCTGGGATTACAGGCATGAGCCACTGCACCTGGCCCTCTTCTTATATATTTCTAGAACTCCTCTCGAATTTGGGGTTTGTTTTTCTTAATTACAAGGAATCAAGTTGAATCATTAGTGCATATATAAATATACATTTTATTTTTAGTACACATTATATACCTCAGGAATGTACAATGCTCAGCGCCTGGGTGACGGGATTATTCATACCCCAAACCTCAGCATCGTACAATATCCCCAGGACACAAAGCTGCCCGTGGATCCCCTGAATCTATAATAATAATAATTAATAATAATAATAATAATAAATAAAAAGTGACTTTGTCATTCGCAGGGAAATGTGAATGACATTCACTCTGCCTCTCAGGTCCTTGGATTCCCAAAGTTTGTTTTCCTCACGCCCAGGGGACACTCAGAATGTCGTTTGCAGAACACGGGTTGTTTTTCTTAGAAACGCCTTGCAAAACAAAATAGGAAGCAAAATCTTTCTCACTCCTTCCACTCCATAATAGACAAAATAAAATGAGGGGGCAGGAATCCAGAGACTTTGACCACAGTTGGCAGATTTATTGTGGTACAGACATGAAGGCAAGCAGTGTTCTCTCTGATTCTACGAACTGTACAGCCCGGGCCAGGTGCCTTCTGCTTTCTGGATGGTGCAGGCGTGAGCTCCAAGCCCAAATTTCACTGGAGCTCCAAGAATCGAGCCTGGCCCAGGCACTCACTGCACGGGGGCCAAGCGTGAAACCAGTGATCGCTCCAGCAAGGTAACAGGACAGCTTGGTGATCCTTCTTGCCGGCCACAAAAGGTTATAGCCAGAATTCCACCGAATGTGGTCTTTCTGTGTCTCTCCCCAGATAGTGAAGCTGCACAAACCTGGGGGTGGGGGGTGGGGGGTGCTGACCTCAGTGGGGTGTCCTGGAGAGGCAGGAACCAGGGTTTACAGGGTGCAGATCCTACTGAAGCAAATGGACGTGGCATCCGTGGGCAGAGCTGGCTGTGGCTGGCCTTCCAGCCTGGATGTCTCCCCCCCCCCGCCTGGGGTGTCACCAGATGCACCCAGAGACCCCTTCTAAACCTGGGGGGATGTGCTGACCTCAGTGGGGTTTCCTGGAGAGGCAGGAAGCTGGGTTTCCAGGGTACATATCCTACTGAAGCAAATGGATGTGGCATCCTTGGGCAGAGCTGGCTGTGGCTGGCCTTCCAGCCTGGACGTCTCCCCCACTGCCTGGGGTGTCACCAAATGCACCCAGAGACCTCTCTTCTGAAAGCCCATTCATGGGAAGCCTCCAGGTCTCCTCAGCAGGCAGCATCACGTCTGATTTCACTGCGTTATCAGGTAATGCAGGCCTGTTCTACCTGTGTGCGTGAGCGCGTGTGTGCCGTGTGGGAGTGTGTGTGTTGATGTGGGTGTGGGTGTGTGCTTGTGTGGCTGTGTGTGTGTGCCTGTTTATGTGATGATGAGTGTGTCTGTGAGTCTGTAAGACAACGTGTGTTTCCATGCGTGTTTCTGTGTGAGCGTGCATTCCTGTGTTTTATGGAAGTGTGTTTTTGTGATGGTGTTTTTGTGTGCCCCTGCGTTTATCGTATTTGTGTGTTTGTGAATATGAGTGTATGTGTGTGAATCTGTATGGCAATGTATAAATTTTTTTTTTTTTTTTTTTGAGACGGAGTCTCGCTCTGTCACCCATACTGGAGTGCAAAGGCACAATCTCAGCTCACAGCAACCTCCGCCTCCCGGGTTCAAACGATTCTTCTGCCTCAGCCTCCTGAGTACCTGGGATTACAGGCACCCACCGCCACATCTGGCTAATTTTTCTTTTTTGATACGGAGTCTCGTTCTGTCACCCAGGCTGGAGTGCAGTGGCGTGATCTTGGCTCACTGCAACCTCTGCCTCCCGGGTTCAAATGATTCTCCTGCCTCAGCCTCCTGAGTAGCTGGGATTACAGGCATAAGCCACCACATCTGGCTAATTTTTGTATTTTTGAGTAGAGATGGGGTTTCACCATGTTGGCCAGGCTGGTCTGGAACTCCCGACCTCAAGTTATCTGCCCGCCTCGGCCTCCCAAAGTTCTGGGAGTACAGGCGTGAGCCACCTTGCCCGGCCCCAGTGTGTGAACTTTTATGTTTGTGTGTCTACATGATTATGTGAGTCTTTTTGTGACTGTGTTTCCATGAGTGTGTGACTGTATTTGTGTGTTTGTGTGTGCTTGTGTGATTCTGAGTGTGTCTATGAGTGTGTATGACATATGTGAGTGTCTGTGTGGGTGAGTAGCCATCCACGTGTTTATATGAGAGTGTTTTCATGATTCTGTTTATGAGTGACTTTGTATGTATACGTGTTTGTGTGCTTTGTGAGAATGTCAATGTGCATGTGCACCCACGTGTGCAAAAAACCCACACATTTTTGTAATTGTGTTTGTGTGTGTGTCCCTGCATTTGTGTGAGTGTGCATGTCTTCGTGTGTCCATGTGTTTCTATGAGTGTGTTTTGTGATTCTGTCTGTCTTTGTGTTGATGTGTGTTTGTGTAAGTGTGTGGTTGCATTTGTGTCAGTGATTCTGGAGCAGGTGAGCTGATCACAAGTCTGAGCCGAGAATCCATGGAGCTCTTTTACAACAGAAGCCGGGACCCTGTGCAAATCCTTCTGAAATATCCCCGGTTTACAGAGCTCCTAGGGGTGGGGAAGAAAAATTCCCTGACTTTTCGGCCTCAGGGAAAGAGAGAGACACCCCGCTGGCCGTACACCTCTGCTGTTTCTCAGAAAACAGGTGGGGTATCACTCTTTCCCAAATGACGGTGATTTTAAGAACGGTTCACCTTTTGAAGAGACGTTTCTGCCCTGGCGATCCATACATATTGAACCCAAATGAATATTTTTTAATTAAAAATTTTTATATAAATATACATTGTGCATACTTTATATTAATATATTGATATAAATATATTTTATTAATATAAACATGATTTTTATAGTTCATATAAATAGTTATATATAGTGTATATGTAAAATATACTTTTATTTGTGATACATAATTTTATAGATTAAATTTTATATACTAAGCAAAGTTATATGTGATATATACATGCCATATAACATCATTTATATAATATATCTTTATGTAAATAAGTATATAATAAAATTGATCTTATATTTGTTAATACATAATTATGTATATATACTATGTAAAAATAAAATTATATATTGTATGTGCATAATATTTCTATAAATACACGCTTATGTGTGTATTTATACATGAATGCCTGTGTTTGTGTGAGTACTTCAGTGAGTGCGTGAATGTGTGTGTGTGCATGTGTGCCAGTGTTTGTGTGAGTGTAAGAGTGTTGTACATTTATACACACACATTTTGTCTTCTGGTTAATAACAAGATCTATCTTTGATTTAGGATATGAAGAATTCTTATAAGCAACCCCCCACACAAAATTTGTATTTATTTTAAAATATTCTTAAAATATGGGTTCTTTTATTTTTGCACAAACAGACAAGAGTGTTTTTTCTTTCCAAAACTTTTATTTCAAATTCTGACCCTGAGGAGCAGAAAAAGAAGAAAACATTGTGTAACCTTATATACATTAGAAACATAAGTAGTTACTAAATGCAATACAGATTTTGACAACATGCATTTAGGAAAAATGAGGAATTCAAACTCGTAGCTGCCTCAATATTGAACTTTCTAAAGTTTAATTTTTTTTAATTAAAAAATATTCATTTGGGTTCAATATGTATGGATCTCCAGGGCAGAAATGTCTCTCCAAAAAGTGAACCACTCTGAAAATCACCGTCATTTGGGAAAGGGTGATGCCCCAGCTGTCTTCTGAAAAATAGCAGAGGCTTCCGGCCAGTGGGGTGTCTCTCTCTTTCCCTGAGGCCGAAATGTCAGGGAATTTTTCTTCCCCACCCCTAGGAGCCCAGTAAATGGAGAATATTTCAGAAGGATTTGCACAGGGTCCCGGCTTCTGCTATTTATGAGCTCCATGGATTCTTGGCTCAGGCTTGTGATCAGCTCACCTGCTCCAGAATCACTTCCCATCTTAGCTTCTGGGCTAAGACACCTCAAAACCAGCAAAGGAAAGTCCTCACTGGTCAACGCGTCCATCCCAACTCCCCCATCTCCCCTTAGGGTGGGTTTGGGGTTCGGGACTGCTTTACTGTTCCTTTCAAAGCAGACTGGGAGGTAAGATTTTATTCTGCTTCCAGAGGTTCAGGATTTCTGCAGACGGTCAGCAACTCTTTGCATCCTACTGGTAAAAGTTTTATATACTTTGTATTTATAGAAATACGCATTGTGTATATTTTATATGAATAGATTGATATAAATTATTTTAGTAACTTAACCATATGACTTTTATATTTTTATATAAATAAAGTTATATGTAGTGTATATGTAAAATACTTTTATTTCTAATACATAATTTTATAGATTAAATTTAATATATTAAGCAAATACTTTTATTTCTAATACATAATTTTATAGATTAAATTTAATATATTAAGCAAAAATATATGTAACATATATAACATATAACATCATTTCTATAATATATAACTTAATGTAAATAAGTATATAAAATTGATATTATATTTGTTAATACATAATTATACATATATACTGTGTAAAAATAAAATTACATATTGTATATGCATAATTATATTTCTAAGTACAATTATATACTATGTATAATTATGTATAAAATAATTGTATAATAAAAATATAATAAATTTTGAAACGTTATAAATTATACATAGTATTTTATTGTATTAAATTTAGAAATGTGTTATATGTAATAAAATTTTATTATAATAAATGTAGATTATATAAAATCTTATTTATAATAAATTACCTTATGTATAATTATGAGAAAATAATTACATATCATTGTATTATAATAAATTTAGAGATGTTATACATTATTATATATAAAATTTCATTATATTAAATTTAGAAATATATGTAATAAAATGGTATTATGTTAAAATTTTTATGTAACATTTTATTATACATGTATAATTTTATATAATGTTTTATAATATATAGAATATAAGTACACAGAATATAAGTACAAAAATATTTATATACAGCTACACGTAATATAAATACATCAGTGTAAGATGTTTTGTGTGTGTGAGATGGAGTCTCGCTCTGTTGCCCAGGCTGGAGTGCAGCAACACGATCTCGGCTCACTGCAACCTCTGCCTCCTGGGTTCAAGCGATTCTCCTGCCTCAGCCTCCCGAGTAGCTGGGATTACAGGCATGCACCACCACACCCAATCAATTTTTGTATTTTTAGTAGAGATGGGGTTTCACTGTGTTAGCCAGGATGGTCTCAAACTCCTGACCTCAGGTGATCCACCCGCCTCGGCCTCCCAAAGTGCTGGGATTACAGGCATGAGCCACAGTGTAAGATACTAGCTATTAAAAAATAAATATATATATATACTGCAACAGCTGATTTGTCTGGAAGAGTTTGGTCAGAAGACAGTGTATTAAGAAGACTGTGAGTCCCCAGAGGAATATAAGAATATACATCATGTTGATATATTATATATAACATAAATAGCTAACTACATCTGTGTATATAGTATAAACAAAAGTACAAAAATATTTGTATATAACTATATGTAATATAAATATATCAGTGTAAGATATTAGCTATTAAAATATATATATATATAGAGAGAGAGAGAGAGAGAGAGCAACCGGTGATTTGTCTGGAATATTCTAGTCAGAAGACAGTGTATTAAGAAGACAGTGAGTCCCCAGGAGAATACAAGAATGTGCATCATGTTAATATATTATATATAACATAAATACCTAACAACATCTGTATATATAGTATAAACATAAAGTACAAAAATATTAGTATATTACTATATGTAATATAAATATATCAGTGTAAGATATTAGCTATTAAAATATACATATGTGTGTATGTATGTGTATATGTGTATATAAATATTATATATATATATAGTAACTGCTGATTTGTGTGGAAGACTTTGGTCAGAAGACAGTGTATTAAGAAGACAGTGGGTCCTCACAGGAAAATAAGAATATACATCATGTTTATATTATATATAACATAAACAACTAATTACATCTGTATATACAGCATAAACATAAAGTACAAAAATATTTGTATATAATCGTATGTAATATAAATATACCAGTGTAAGATATTAGCTATTAAAATATACATGTGTGTATGTATGTGTATATGTGTACATATAATATATATACATATATAACATATATAATATATAAGATATAACATAATATAATATATTATATATAATATGTAATATGTAACATATATTATATAATTAATATATAATATATAATATATTCTATGCTATATAATATATAATATATTCTATGCTATATAATATATAATATATTCTATGCAATAAATTATATAGCATATATATATATATAGCAACAGCTGATTTGTCTGGAAGAATTTGGTCAGAAGACAGTGTATTAAGAAGACAGTGAGTCCCCAGAGAAATATAAGAATATACATCATGTTTATATTATATATAACATAAATAGCTAACTACATCTGTATATATAGCATAAACATAAAGCACAAAATTATTTATATATAATATAAATATATCAGTGTAAGATATTAGCTATTAAAAAATATATATATATAGCAACCGGTGATTTGTCTGGAAGACTGGTCAGAAGACAGTGTATTAGGAAGACAGGCAGTCTCCGCAGGAAGCATGGTGCAGGTGGGATCTGGAGGTGACTCTGGGCTGCCAGAAGACGCCCCACTGCTTTGCGGCAGACACAGGTGGAGAGGTCCTCTCTGTAGCTTCAGCATGGACAGTGTGTGTGTCTTGCTGTGGGAACACTTCTTTCTGCTTCCCTCTCCACTGTGACCCCATCACACTCACTGACCTGCCCTCCTCCTTCCTCTCGCTCTCCGGGGCCCCTGTGGAAAGAGGGTCTTCCCTCCGTGCAGCAGGAACCCCCAGGACCATCCCCATGCTCCTGGGTTCTGAACTTCAGGGACATATGATCCTACCTGACCGGGCACAGGCTCTGTTCACCCTCAGGAACCCCTGTCCTCCCAGGCCACCGTGGACTGGAGAACTGGCCTCCTGAAAATCCAGAGAGAACTTAGCACTCACAACTTCTTTCTTTTTTTCTTTTTTCTTTGAGACTGGATCTTGCTCTTTTCCCCAGGCTGGAGTGCAATGGCATGATCTCAGCTCACTGCAACCTCCTCCTCCCAGGTTCAAGCAGTTCATCCCGCCTCTGTCTCCCGAGTATCTGGGATCACAGTCATCCACCCCCGCGGCCAACTAATTTCTGTATTTTTAGTAGAGACGGGGTTTCACCATGTTGGCCAGGCTGGTCTCGAACTCTTGACCTCAAGTGATCCACCCGCCTCGGCCTCCCAAAGTACTGGGATGACATATATTAGCATGATGTATATTCTTCTATTCCTCCGGGGACTCACTGTCTTCTTGGGCAGTAAACCACTGTGCCCGGACTTCTCTGTCCACATCTGCACACATCTAAACCTCTGTAGATTCTGAATTGTTTTTCCTTTTGCACAGAATGAGAGGAACTGAAGTCGGGAGGCCCAGCCCCAACACGGTCCCTGTGGCTCTGTGCTCAGGTGGTTTATGGCTGAGAAGGACTTGGGGGGTTGAGGGCTTCCTATCAGCCCAGGAGACATTACCTGGGTCTGGGAAGCCTGCTCTGCACTTGTGGGTCTCGAATTGTCTGTTGCATTTACCTGCCTCATTATTTTTTCTTCCTGTCTCTCTTCTTACATATTTCTTTCGAATTTGGAGCTTGTTTTTCTTAACTACAATCAACTTGAATCATTACTGCATATATAAATATAAATTTTATATTGAGTAGACATTATATACTCAATCTACTACACATTCGAACACGGGCCATATCTAAGATGAATATTTATATTTAATGTTTAAAACATGTTTACATTTCATATAGAAAAATATATTTATATTTAATATATATGTGTATATTTAATACAGGAAATATATATTTATATTTAACATATAAAAATATATGTTTATATTTAATATGGGAAATATATGTCTTTGTTTAATATACATAATACATGTTGATATTTAATATAGAAAATGTATAGTTATATTTACTATGCAAAATACATGTTTATATTTAATATAGAAAATATGTTTATATTTAATGTACAGGATACATATTTACATTTAATATAGAAAATACATATTTATATTTAACATACACAGTATTTATATTTAATGTATAAAATATGTTTACATTTAATGTGCTGAATATATGCTTATATTTAATGTCTAAAATGTCTATATTTAATGTACTGTATACATTAAATGTACCAAATGTATTCTTATATTTAATGTATAAAAGAAGTTTATATTTAACATATAAGATATGTTTACATTTAATGTATAAAATGTTTATGTTTGATGTATAAAAGATGTTTATATTTAACGTATACAATTTATATTTAATGTACCAAATATATTATTATATTTAATGTCCAAGCCAGCCAAGCCAGTCAGCCAAGCCAGCTAAGCCACCCACCCAGCCAAGCCAGCCAAGTGAGCCAGCTAGCCAGCCAGCCAAGCCAGCCAAACCAGCCAAGCCAGCCAGCCAGCCAAGCCAGCCAAGCCTGCCAGCCAGCCAAGCCAGCCAAGCAAGCCAGCCAGCCAAGCCAGCCAGCCAGCCCAGGAGCCCCAGCCAGCCAGCCAATCCAAACAGCCAAGCCAGCCAAGCCAGCAAGCCAGCCAAGCAAGCCAAGCCTGCCAGCCAGCCAAGCCAGCCAAGCAAGCCAGCCAGCCAAGCCAGCCAGCCAGCCCAGGAGCCCCAGCCAGCCAGCCAACCCAAACAGCCAAGCCAGCCAAGCCAGCCAGCCAGCCAAGCCAGCCAAGCCAGCCAGCCAGCCAAGCCAGCCAAGGCAGCCAAGCCAGCCAAGCCGGCCAGGCAGCCAAGCAAGCCAAGCCAGCCAGCCAGACAAGGCAGCCAAGCCAGCAGGCCAAGCGAGCCAAGCCAAGCCAGCCAAGCCAGCCAGTTAGCCAGCCAAGCCAGCCAAGCCAGCCAGCCAGCCAAGCCAGCCCAGCCAGCCAGCCAGCCAGCCGAGCCGGCCAAGCCAGACAGTGAGCCCAGCCAGCCCAGCCAGTCAGCCAGCCAAACCAGCCAGCCAGCCAAGCCGGCCAGCCACCCAGCAAAGCCAGCCAAGAGACCCAAGCCAGCCAGCAAAGCTGGCCAAACCAGCCAAGCCAGTCAGCCAAGCCAGCCAAGCCAGCCAAGCCGCCCAGCCAAGCCGCCCAGCCAGCCAAGCCAGCCAAGCCGCCCAGCTAACCAGGCCAGCCACCCAGCCAGTGAGCCAAGCCAGCCAAGCCAGCCAGGCAGCCAAGCCAGCCAAGCCAGCCAAGCCAGCCAGCCAGCCAGCCAAGCCAGGCATGCCAGCCAAGCCATCCAGTCAGCGACGCCAGCCAGCCAGCCAAACCAGCCAAGCCACCCAGCCAGCCAAGCCACCCAGCCAGCCAAGCCAGCCAAGCCAGCCAAGCCCGCCAACCAGCCAAGACAGGCATGCTAGCCAAGCCAGCCAGGCAGCCAAGCCAGCCAGGCAGCCAAGCCAGCCAAGCCAGCCAGCAAGCAAAGCCAGGCATGTCAGCCAAGCCAGCCAGGCAGCCAAGCCAGCCAAGCCAGCCAGCCAGCCAAGCCAGGCATGCCAGCCAAGCCATCCAGCCAACTAAGCCAGCCGGCTAGCCAAGCCAGCCAAGCCACCCAGCCAGCCAAGATGGCCAAGCCACCCAGTCAAGCCAGCTAAGCCAGCCAGGCAGCCAAGCCAGCGAAGACACCCAGCCAGCCAAGCAAGCCAAGCCACCCAGCCAGCCAAGCCTGCCAAGAGACCCAGCAACCCAAGCCAGCCAAGACACCCAGCCAGCCAAGCTAGCCAAGACACCCAGCCAGCGAAGCCAGCCAGCCAGCCAGCCAGCCAAGCCTGCCAAGCCACCCAGCCAGCCAAGCCAGGCAAACAACCCAGCCAGCCAAGCCAGTCAAGCCAGCCAGCCAGCCAAGCCGGCCAAGCCACCCAGCCAGCCAAGCTGGCCAAGCCACTCAGCCAGCCAAGCCAGCCAGCCAGCCAAACCGGCCAAGCCACTCAGCCAGCCAAGATGGCCAAGCCACCCAGTCAAGCCAGCTAAGCCAGCCAGACAGCCAAGCCAGCCAAGCCAGCCAAGACCTCTAGCCAGCCAAGAAAGGCATGCCAGCCAAGCCAGCCAACCAGCCAGACAGCCCAGCCAGACAGCCAGCCCAGGCAGCCAAGAGACCCAAGCCAGCCAGCGAAGCTGGCCAACCCAGCCAAGCCAGTCAGCCAAGCCAGCCAAGCCGGCCACCCAGCCAAGCCAGCCAAGCCAGCCAACCAGCCAGACAGCACAGCCAGACAGCCAGCCCAAGCAGCCAAACCAGACAAGCCAGCCAGCCAAGCCAGCCAAGCCAGCCAAGCCAGCCAGCCAGCCAAGACAGCCAAGCCAGTCAAGCCAGGCAAGCCAGCGAGCCAGCCAAGCCAGTCAACCCAGCCAGCCAAGCCAGCCAAGACAGCCAGCCAGCCAAGCCGGCCAAGCCAGACAGCCAAGCAAGCCATGGAAGCCAGACAGCCAGCCAGCCAAGCCAGTCAAGCCAGCCAGCCAGCCAAACCAGCCAAGCCAGCCAACCCAGCCAGCCAAGCCAGCCAAGCCAGCCAAGCCAGTCAGCCAGAAAAGCCAGCCAAGCCTGCCAGCCAGTCAAGCCAGCCAAGCCAGCCAGCCAGCCAAGCCAGCGAAGACACCCAGCCAGCCAAGCAAGCCAAGCCACCCAGCCAGCCAAGCAGCCTGCCAAGAGACCCAGCAACCCAAGCCAGCCAAGACACCCAGCCAGCCAAGCTAGCCAAGACACCCAGCCAGCGAAGCCAGCCAGCCAGCCAGCCAGCCAAGCCTGCCAAGCCACCCAGCCAGCCAAGCCAGGCAAACAACCCAGCCAGCCAAGCCAGCCAAGCCAGCCAAGCCAGCCAGCCACCCAGCCAGCCAAGCCAGCCAAGCCTCCCAGCCAGCCAAGCCAGCCAAGCCACCCAGCCAGCCAAGACAGCCAAGCCACACAGCCAGCCAAGCTGGCCAAGCCACTCAGCCAGCCAAGCCAGCCAGCCAGCCAAGCCGGCCAAGCCACTCAGCCAGCAGCCAAGCTGCCCAAGCCACTCAGCCAGCCAAGCCAGCCAGCCAGCCAAGCCGGCCAAGCCACTCAGCCAGCCAAGATGGCCAAGCCACCCAGTCAAGCCAGCCAAGCCAGCAAGCCAGCCAAGCCAGGCATGCCAGCCAAGCCATCCAGCCAGCTAAGCCAGCCGGCTAGCCAAGCCAGCCAAGCCACCCGGCCAGCCAAGCCAGCCAGCCAAGCCAGCCAAGCCAGCCAACCAGTCAAGCCAGTCAGCTAGCCAAGCCAGCCAAGCCACCCGGCCAGCCAAGCCAGCCAGCCAACCCAGCCAAACCAGCCAACCAGCCAAGACAGTCAGCTAGCCAAGCCAGCCAACCAGCCAGCCAGTCAAGCCGGCCAGCCTGCCAGCCAACCAAGCCGGCCAGACAGCCAAGGCAGCCAAGCCAGCCAAGCCACCGACCCAGCCAAGCCACCCAGCAAGCCAAGACAGCCAAGCCAGCCAAAACAGCCTGCCAGCCAAGCCAGCCAAGACATCCAGCCTGCCAAGCCAGCTGGCCAGCCAAGCTAGCCAATCCACTCACCCACTCAAGCCAGCCAAGTCACCCGGCCAGCCAAGCCAGCCAAGCCAGCCAGCCAGCCCAGACAGCCAAGCCAGCCAGCCCAGACAGCCAAGCCAGCCAGCCAGCCAAGCCAGCCGAGCCAGCCAAGCCACACAGCCAGCCAAGCCACCCAGCCAGCCAAGACAGCCAGCAAGCCAGCCAGACAGCCAAGCCAGCCAGCCACCCAGCCAGCCAGGCCGGCCAGCCACCCAGCCAGCCAGGCCAGCCAGCCATCCAGCCAGCCAGGTCAGCCTGCCACCCAGCCAGCCAAGACAGACAAGCCAGCCAAGCCAGCCAGCCACCCAGCCAGCCAGGCCAGCCAGCCACGCAGTCAGCCCAGACAGCCAAGTCAGCCAGCCAGCCAAGGCAGCCAAGCCAGCCAACCAAACAAGAGAGCCAGCCAACCAAGCCAGCCAAGCCAGCCAGCTAGCCAAGCCACCCAGCCAGCCAGCCAGCCAAACCAGCCAAGCCACCCAGCCAGCCAAGCCAGCCAAGCCAATCAGCCAGCCAGGCAGCCAGCCACCCAAGCCAGCCAAGCCAGCCAAGCCATCCAAGTCAGCCAGCCAGCCAGCCAGCCAAGCCAGCCAAGCCTCCCAGCCAGCCAAGCCAGCCAAGCCACCAAGCCAGCCAAGCCAGCCAAGCCACCTAGCCAGCCAGGCCCGCCAGCCAGCCAGCCAGCTAGCCAAGCCAGCCAAGCCAGCCACCCTGCCAAGCCAGCCGGCCAGCCAAGCTAGGCAATCCACTCAGCCACTCAAGCCAGCCAAGTCACCCGACCATCCAAGCCAGCCAAGCCAGTCAGCCAGCCCAGACAGCCAAGCCAGCCAAGCCAGCCAAGCCAGCCAAGCCCGCCAACCAGCCAAGACAGGCATGCTAGCCAAGCCAGCCAGGCAGCCAAGCCAGCCAAGCCAGCCAGCAAGCAAAGCCAGGCATGTCAGCCAAGCCAGCCAGGCAGCCAAGCCAGCCAAGCCAGCCAGCCAGCCAAGCCAGGCATGCCAGCCAAGCCATCCAGCCAACTAAGCCAGCCGGCTAGCCAAGCCAGCCAAGCCACCCAGCCAGCCAAGCCAGCCAGCCAAGCCAGCCAAGCCAGACAAGCCAGCCAACCAGCCAAGCCAGCCAGCTAGCCAAGCTACCTAGCCAGCCAGCCAGCCAAACCAGCCAAGCCACCCAGCCAGCCAAGCCACCCAGCCAGCCAAGCCAGCCAAGCCAATCAGCCAGCCAGGCAGCCAGCCACCCAAGCCAGCCAAGCCAGCCAAGCCAGCCAAGCCAGCCAGCCACCCAGCCAGCCAAGCCAGCCAAGCCTCCCAGCCAGCCAAGCCAGCCAAGCCACCCAGCCAGCCAAGCCAGCCAAGCCACCCGGCCATCCAAGCCAGCCAAGCCAGTCAGCCAGCCCAGACAGCCAAGCCAGCCAAGCCAGCCAAGCCTGCCAACCAGCCAAGAAAGGCATGCTAGCCAAGCCAGCCAGGCAGCCAGGCCAGCCAGGCAGCGAAGCCAGCCAAGCCAGCCAGCAAGCAAAGCCAGGCATGCCAGCCAAGCCAGCCAACCAGCCCAGCCAGCCAGCTAGCCAAGCCACCCAGCCAGCCAGCCAGCCAAACCAGCCAAGCCACCCAGCCAGCCAAGCCACCCAGCCAGCCACGCCAGCCAAGCCAATCAGCCAGCCAGGCAGCCAGCCACCCAGCCAGCCAAGCAGGCCAAGCCACCTAGCCAGCCAGGCCCGCCAGCCAGCCAGCCAGGCAGCCAAGCCAGCCAAGCCAGTCAAGCCCGACAGCCAGCCAAGACAGGCATGCCAGCCAAGCCAGCCAGGCAGCCAAGCCAGCCAAGCCAGCCAGCCAGCCAAGCCAGGCATGCCAGCCAAGCCATCCAGCCAACTAAGCCAGCCGGCTAGCCAAGCCAGCCAAGCCACCCGGCCGGCCAAGCCAGCCAAGCCGGCCAAACCAGCCAACCAGCCAAGCCAGCCAGCCATCCAAGCCAGCCAAGACAGCCAGCCAGCCAAGCCAGTCAAGCCAGCCATACAGCCAAGCCAGCCAAGCCAGGCAAGCCACCCAGCCAGCCAAGCCATCTAGCCATCAAGCCAGTCAGGCCAGCCAGCCAGCCTGCCAAGCCGGCCACCCACCAAGCCAGCCAGCCATCCACGCCCGCCAAGCCAGTTAGCCAGCCAGCCAAGCCACCCAGCCAGCCAAGCCAGCCAAGCCACACAGCCAGCCAAGCCACCCAGCCAGCCAAGACAGCCAAGCCACACAGCCAGCCAAGCCATCCAGCCAGCCAAGACAGCCAAGCCAGCCAAGCCATCCAGCCAGCCACGCAAGCCAAGCCAGCCAGCCAGCCAAGCAATCCATGCCAGCCAAGCCATCCAGCCAGCCAAGCGAGGCGTCCGGCCAAGCCACCCCACCAGCCAAGCCAGCCAGCCAGCCAGCCAGCCAGCCAAGCCACCCAGCCAACTAAGCCAGCCAAGCCACCCAGCCAGGCATGCCAGCCAAGCCACCCAGCCAGCCAAGCCTGTCAGCCAGCGAACCAGCCAAGCCAGCCATGCCAGCCAGCCAGCCAAGCCATACAAGCCAGCCAGCCAGCCATGCCAGGACGAGACTCCATCTCAAAAAAAATAAAAAAAAAGACAGCCTGGCCAACATGGAGAAACCCTGTCTCTACTGAATGTATAAAAAATTATCTAGGCGTGGTGGCACATTCCCGTAATCCCAGCTACTCGGGAGGCCCAGGCAGGAGGATCGCTTTAACCAGGGAGGTGGAGGTTGAAGCGAACCAAGATTGCACCACCTCATTCCAGCCTGGGCAACAGGGTGAGACTCAATCTCAGAAAAAAAAAAGAAAAAAAAAAAGGCCAGCCTGGCCAACATGGTGAAACCCCATCTCTACTAAATATAAAAAGAAATTAGCTGGGCGTGGTGGCACATGAATGTAATCCCAGCTACTCGGGAGGCCCAGGCAGGAGGATCGCTTGAACCCTGGGGGTGGAGGCTACAGCGAGCCAAGATTGCACCACTGCACTCCAGCCTGGGCAACAGGGCGAGACTCCATCTCAGAAAAAATAAAATAAGATATACCAGCCTGGCCAACACGGTGAAACCCCATCTCTACAAAATATACAAAAAAATTAGCTGGGCGTGCTGGCACACGTCTGTAATCCCAGCTACTCGGGAGGCCCAGGAAGGAGGATCGCTTGAATCAGGGAGGTGAAGGCTGCAGCGAGCCAAGATTGCACCACTGCACTCCAGCCTGGGCAACAGAGTGAGACTCCATCTGAAAAAACAGAAACATTCCAGCCTGGCCAATAGAGCGAGACTCCATCTCAAAAAAAAAAAACAACAAAAAAAACACCAGCCTGGCCAACATGGTGAAACCCCGTCTCTTCTAAATATACAAAAAAAATAGGGCCGGGCGTGGTGGCTCATGCCTGTAATCCCAGCACCTTGGGAGGCCGAGGTGGGTGGATCACGAGGTCACGAGATCGAGACCAGCCTGACCAACATGGTGAAACCCCGTCTCTACTAAAAATAGAAAAATTAGCTGGGTGTGGTGGCACATGCCTGTAATCCCTGCTACTCGGGAGGCTGAGGCAGGAGAATTGCTTGAACCTGGGAAGCGGAGGTTGCAGTGAGCCGAGATGGCGCCACTATACTCCACGGTGGTGTCAGAGCGATACTACATCTCAAAAAAAAAAAAAAATTAGCTGGGTTTGGTGGCACACACCTGTAATACCAGGTACTCGGGAGGCCCAGACAGGATGATCACTTGAACCCGGGAGGGGGTGGTTGCCGTGAACTAAGATTGTAGTACTGCACTCCAGCCTGGGCAACAGGGCGAGACTCCATCTCAGGAAAAAAAAAAAAAAAAGACCAGCCTGGCCAACATGGTGAAACCCCGTCTCTAGTAAATATACAAAGAAATTAGCTGGGCGTGGTGGCACATGAATGTAATCCCAGCTACCCAGGAGGCCCAGGCAGGAGGATCGCTTGAACCTGGGAGGTGGAGGCTGCCGCGAGCCAAGATTGCACCACTGCACTCCAACCTGGGCAAAAAAGTGAGACTCCATCCGAAAAAAAATAAGAACTCCAGCCTGGGCAATAGAGCGAGACTCCAACTCAAAAAAAAAAAAAAAAAAAAAAAAAAAGACCAGGTTGGCCAACATGTTGAAATCCCGTCTCTACTAAATATACAAAAAAAATTAGCTGGACGTGGTGGCACAGGCCTCTAATCCCAGCTACTGGGGAGGCCCAGGCAGGAGGATCACTTGAACCTGGGAGGTGGAGGCTGCAGCGAGCCAAGATTGCACCACTGCACTCTGGCCTGGGCAACAGAGTGAGAGTCCATCTGAAAAAAAAGAAGCACTCCAGTCTGGTCAACAGAGCGAGACTCCATCTCAGAAAAAAAAAAAAAAAAAAAAAAAAGACCAGGTTGGCCGACGTGGTGAAACCCCGTCTCTACTAAATACACAAAAAAATTAGCTGGGCGTGGTGGCACACGCCTGTAATCCCAGCTACTCGAGAGGCCCAGGCAGGAGGATCGCTTGAACACAGGAGGTGGAGGTTGCAACGAACCAAGATTGCACCACTGCACTCCAGCCTGGGCAAGAAAGTGAGATTCCATCTGAAAAAAAAGCACTCCAGCCTGGGCAATATAGCAAGGCTCCATCTCAAAAAAAAGAAAAAAAAAAAAGACCAGCCTGTCCAACACGGTGAAACCCCGTCAGTACTAAATATACAAAGAAATTAGCTGAGCGTGGTGGCACACGATTGTAATCCCAGCTACTCGGGAGGCCCAGGCAGGAGGATCGCTTGAACCCGGGAGGTAGAGGTTGCAGCCAGCCAAGATTGCACCACTGCACTGAACCCTGGACAACAGAGTGACACTCCATCTGAAAAAAAAGAAGAACTCCAACCAGGGCAATGGAGCGAGACTCCATCTCAGAAAAAAGAAAAAAAAAAGAGCACCTTGGCCAACATGGTGAAACCCCCTCAGTACTAAATACACAAAGAAATTAGCTGAGCATGGTAGCACACGAATGTAATCCCAGCTACTCGGGAGGCCCAGGCAGGAGGATCGTTTGAACCCGGGAGGTGGAGGTTGCAGCGAACAAAGATTGCACCACTGCACTCCAGCCTGGGCAACAGAGCGAGACTCCCACTCAGAAAAAAAAGAAAATGAAAAAAACACCAGCCTGGCCAACATGGTGAAACAACGTCTCCACTAAATATACAAAAAAAATAGATGGGCGTGGTGGCACTCATCTCTAATCCCAGCTACTCGGGAGGCCAACGCAGGAGGATCACTTGAACACAGGAGGTGGAGGCTGCAGCTAGCCAAGTTTGCACCATTGCACTCCAGCCTGGCAAACCAAGCCAGCCAAGCCAGCCAGCCAAGCCAGTCAAGCGACCCAGCCAGCCAGCCAGCCAGCTAAGCCACCCAACCAGCCAGCCTGCCAAGCCAGCCAAGCCAGCCAGCCAGCCAGCCAGCCAAGCCAGCCAAGCCAGCCAAGTCAGCCAAGCCAGCTAGCCAGCCAAGTCAGCCAAGCCAGCTAGCCAGCTAGCCAGCCAAGTCAGCCAAGCCAGCTAGCCAGCCAAGCCAGCCAAGCCAGCCAGCCAGCCAGCCAGCAAAGCCACTCAGCCAGCCAGGCAGCCAAGCCAGCCAAGACAGCCAGCCAGCCAGCCAGCCAAGCCAGCCAAGCCAGCCAGCCAGCCAAGCCAGTGAAGCCACAAAGCCAGCCAAGCCAGCCAAGCCAGCCAAGCCAGCCAGCCAACCAGCCAGCCAAGCCAGCCAAGCCTCCCAGCCAGCCAAGCCAGCCAAGCCAGCCAGGCCCGCCAGCCAGCCAAGACAGGCATGCCAGCCAAGCCAGCCAGGCAGCCAAACCAGCCAAGCCAGCCAGGCCCGCCAGCCAGCCAAGACAGGCATGCCAGCCAAGCCAGCCAGGCAGCCAAGTCAGCCAAGCCAGCCAGCAAGCAAAGCCAGGCATGCCAGCCAAGCCAGCCAGGCAGCCAAGCCAGCAAAACTAGCCAGCCAACCAAGCCAGGCATGCCAGCCAAGCCATCCAGCTAGCTAAGCCAGCCGGCTAGCCAAGCCAGACAAGCCACCCGGCCATCCAACCAGCCAGCCAAGCCAGCCAAGCCAGCCAACCAGCAAAGCCAGTCAGCTAGCCAAGCCAGCCAACCAGCCAGCCAGCTAAGCCGGCCAGCCTGCCAGCCAACCAAGCCGGCCAGACAGCCAAGGCAGCCACGCCGGCCAGGCAGCCAAGCCAGCCAAGCCACCGACCCAGCCAAGCCAGCCAAGCCACCCAGACAGCCCAGACAGCCAAGCCAGGCAGCCAGCCAAGCCAGCCAGCCAGCAAAGCCAGGCAGCCAGCCAAGCCAGTCAAGCCAGACAGCCAGTCAAGCCAGACAGCCAGCCAAGCGAGCCAAGCCAGCCAGCCAGCCAAACCAGCCAAGCCAGCCAGCCAGCCAGCCAGCCACGCCAGCCAGCCACCCAGCCAGCCAGCCAGCCAGGCCAGCCTGCCACCCAGCCAGCCAAGCCAGCAAGCCTGCAAAGCCAGTCAGCCACCCAGCCAGCCAGGCCAGCCAGCCACCCAGTCAGCCAAGCCATCCAAGCCAGCCAGCCAGCACAGACAGCCAAGCCAGCCACCCAGTCAGCCAAGCCATCCAAGAGAGCCAGCCAGCCCAGACAGCCAAGCTAGCCAGCCAGCCAGGCAAGCCAGCCAAGCAAGCCAGCAAGCCAGCCAGCCAAGCCAGCCAGCCAAACCAGCCAAGCCACCCAGCCAGCCAAGCCACCCAAGACACCCAGCCAGCCAGCCAGCCAAGCCAGCCAAGCCACCCAGCCAGCCAAGCCGGCCAAGCAAGCCAGCCAAGCCAGCCAAGCCAGCCAAGCCTGCAAAGCCAGCCAGCCAGCAAAGCCAGCCAAGTCAGCCTGCCAAGCCAGCCAAGACATCCAGCAAGCCAAGCCAGCCAAGCCAGCTAGCCAAGCCAGCCAAGCCAGCCAAGCCCGCCAAGCCAGCCAAGCCAGCCAAGGCAGCCAAGCCAGTCAGCCAGCCAAGCTAGCCAAGCCAGGCAGCCATCCAAGCCAGCCAGCCATCCAAGCCAATGAAGCCAGCCAGCCAGCCAAGCCACCCAAGCCAGCCAAGCCAGCCAACTCAGCCAGCCAGCCAAGCCAGCCAAGCCAGCCAGCCAGTCAATCCAGCCAAGCCAGCCAGCCAACCAAGCCAGCTAAACCAGCCAGCCAGTCAATCCAGCCAAGCCAGCCAGCCAACCAAGCCAGCTAAACCAGCCAGCCTGCCAAGCCAGCCAAGCCAGCCAGCCAGCCAGGCCAGCCAGCCAGCCCAGCAAGCCAAGCCAGCCAGCCACCCAGCCACCCAAGACAGCTAAACCAGCCAGCCTGCCAAGCCAGCCAAGCCAGCCAGCCAGCCAGGCCAGCCAAGCCAGCCAAGCCATTCAAGCCAGCCAGCCAGCCCAGCCAGCCAAGCCAGCCAGCCAGCCCAGCCAGCCCAGCCAGCCCAGCCAGCCAGCCAACCCAGCCACCGCTGCCAGCCCAGCCAGCCACACAAGCCAGCCAAGTCAGCCAGCCAGCCAAGCCAGCTGGAAAGAGAGAGAGAGAAAAGGGAAGGAAGGAAGGAAGGAAGGAAGGAAGGAAGGAAGGAAGGAGGAAGGAAGGAAGGAAGGGGAGAGAGAAAGAGAGAGATTGGGAGAGAGAGAGAGTGAGAGAGAGAGAAAGAAAGGAAAGGAAGGAAGGAAGGAAGGAAAGAAAGAAAGAGAGAAAGAAAGAAGGAGAGAGAGAAAGAAAGCAGGAAGTAAGGAAGGAAGGAGAGAAAGAAAGGAAGAAAGAAGGAAGGAAGGAGAGAGAGAAAGAAAGAAGAAAGAAAGAGAAAAAAGAAGGAAGGAAGGAGAGAGAGAAAGAAAGGAAGACAGAAGGAAGGAGAGACAGGGAAAGAAAGGAAGAAAGAAGAAAGAAAGATAAAGAAAGAAAGAGGAGCAAATGTACACTGCTCAGGAATCTCCTTTTCCTGTGGCCGGGGCAAGATTGTTTGCATTTTTCTCTGTAAGGAAAAAACAAAACCACACACACACACTACACACACACAGCAATAAGCTTTCATCCAGCCGGCACAAGACAGTTTCCTAGAGAATCTGTACACAGTCATGATGCTGGAGTCTCAATTTCAGATTGGGTTAAAGTGCCCTGCAAACCAGCATTTGCAGAGGCCATGGGAGAGGTTACTGGGGAATTAAGAGCTGCAGAGATGAGGGTCTCCGGCCGTCACCTTTGCAGCTGCAGGAGAGAGGAGGTGATTAGGGAATCTCCGTGTTCCCTTCTGAGCCTGGCAGGTGTGTTGTCCCCACCCTGTCTCCAGCACCGCACAGTTCATTGCAATGCAAGCCCTGCTTTCGGGTTTAGCAAAGGTAACTCCCCCTGGCACCCCCAGGCTTCTGCTTCCAGCACAGCGACTGCGACGTGGTGTTTGCTCCTCGGTCCTCATACAGAATTTGCCCACCTCAACTCAATCTTCCTCTCCCGGCGGTACCATTAATATTTTAATTTAATCAGAATTTCTGGGACTGGCTTGCCATCCTGAACAACCTAGTTACCTGTCAGCCTCTATCAGCTTGTCATATTAGAGAGGATTGTCCTGGGAATCTAATCTGCCTTAAATGATTTCATGGGGTGTTGGTCTATAAATCATCTCGACGCAAGCCTGACAACGTGAAGGCTTCAGTGGGTAAACAAACCACACTTGTTTTATTTTCAGCAGGCACAGACTTTGCTTTATCAACTTCTTATTGATTTTCGTGCTCCAAGAGGTCAAAAAAATGTTTTTGCTTCTCCTTTACATACAAAAACATTATTCGTAGAAGAGCTGTGGGCAGGCAACTCTCATTAACATAAGTTCTGAGATTTGCAGGTGAGCTGGCTGGTTGGAGAAACGACACACACCTGTTTCAGCCAAGCCCCTGGTGGAGTTTGGAGTTTCCAAAATGTTGACTTTTCCTCTTTCTGGTCAAAATAGAAATTATATGGATATTAAGGAGCCCCAAGTGTCTTCAGGGATGTTGAGGAACCCTGGACATACAAATACACACACACACACACACACACACACACACACACACACGTACACACACTCACCACCCCATGCCAAGAAGATACACAAAAAACTCACTCACGTTTCACTTCAGTTTGCAAATTTGGAGCTGACTTAATGAAGGAAAGAAAAATTGGAGCTACAAAGTAACACAGAGCCAATGAAAAGACAAAAAACACCATTAGATTTTCTTCTTTTCTAAAGTTTTATTTTATTTTTAAGAGTCAACGTTCGGATCAGGCGCAGTGGCTCACGCTTGTAATCCCAGCGCTTTGGGAGGCTGAGGTGGGAGAATCACAAGGCCAGAAGTTCAAGACCAGTCTGGGCAACATAGCAAGATCCCATCTCTTAAAAAAAAAGTACAAAAGTTAGCTGGACCTACTGGTGCAGACCTGTATTTCCAGCTACTGGGGAGGCTGAGGTGGAAGGATGGTTTGAGTCCAGGAGGTTAAGGCTGCACTGAGCCATGATTGCATCACTGCACACTCCAGCTTAGGCAACAGAGCAAGACCCTGTCTCAAGAAAAAAAACTCCATAATGATTGTACACATTTATGACATATACTGTTTCCAAGCACGTGTATATCATGTAATGACACCTCATGGTAATTATCAGATCCAGCTGCTCAGAAATCTCATTTTCCGGTGGCTGGGGAATACGCATTTTTTTTTTTTTTTTTTTGAGACAGAGTTTCGCTCTTGTCACCCGGGCTGGAGTGCAATGGAATGATCTTGGCTCACTGCAAACTCCGCCTCCCGGGTTCAAGCGACTCTCCTGCCTCAGCCTCCCCAGTAGCTGGGATTACAGGCATGTGCCACCACGCCTGGTTCATTTTGTATTTTCAGTAGAGACTGGGTTTCATCGTGCTGGCCAGGCTGGTCTCGAACTCCTGACCTCAAGTGATCCACCCACCTCAGCCTCCCAAAGTGCTGGGATTACAGGCGTGAGCCACCGAGCCTGGCCAACCCTCTCCTCTTTCAGGGGCTTAAATAAAATTTGCTTTTCTCCCCAAAGGCGGGTCCCCACCCCATTCAGCCCAGTTTCAAAGGGTGGAGTGTAAACGGTGGGTTGCCCAATTCCTGCTGCCGTGAAGTACTTCAGCTTACAGCGGAAAGCCGGGTGCAGACACCATGCTTTATTTCTATTTCCACGAACAAGAAGCGTCTCTTGCAGTCTGCAATATTTGTCGTCAAAAATTTCACTGGCTGTTGTATCAAATCAGCCACCTCTATAGGGTGTGATCATTGACAATTTTTTGTTACATCCCGATGGTTGTTTTACCTGGACCGTTTTCTTCCTTTCATGGGTGAAGCAAAACTCCTTGGTGGACTTTTTTTTTTTTTTTTTTTTTTTTTTGAGACAGAGTCTTGCTCTGTCGCTCTGTTGCCCAGGCTGGAGTGCAGTGGTGCGATCTCGACTCACTGCAACCTCCGCCTCCCGGGTTCACACCATTCTCCTGCCTCAGCCTCCCCAGTAGCTCGGACTACAGGCACCCACCACCATGTCCACCTAATTTTTTGTATTTTTAGTAGAGACAGGGTTTCACCGTTTTAGCCAGGATGGTCTCGTATCCTGACCTCGTGATCCGCCCGCCTCGGCCTCCCAAAGTTCTGGGATTACACGTGTGAGCCACCGCACCAGGCCAATGTGATGATTATCTATGGATATACCCTGATCATCAGCAGGAGGAAATGAAGAGGTATTGGTTAAAAATACAAAGTTGCAGTTACGCAGGATGAATAAGTACTAATTTGTAACAATTCAGTATGAAACAGTGTGACCATGGTTAACAAGGCTCTGCTCTATGCCTGACATCTGAGAACAGAGGAATTGAAGTCTGAACTTTGTCCAGAAGAGGATGGCTTTGCAGGCTTTGCTGAGCATGCTGAATTCACGGTTTCCGGGTCAGCCCCTGGGCTGCCCAGGGACAGGGTGGAAACCCTGCCCCAGAAAGTCCAGGAGCCAGGAACCTGCTTAGAGACACATTTCAACAAGGAAAACCACACTCAGGCCGGCCTCCTTAAAAACACATAGGCCCGGCGTGGTGGCTCAAGCCTGTAATTCCAGCACTTTGGGAGGCTGAGGCAGGTGGATTGCCTGAGTTCAGGAGTTCGAGGCTGCAGTGAGCTATGATTGCACTCCAGCCTGGGCAACAGAGTGAGACCCTGTCTCAAAGAAATAAACAAATAAATGAATAAGCAAGCAAGCAATTTTTAAGTTGAACATCAGTTCTCTACTTGACTCTAGAGTTAAATAGGCATCCAGTTGCTTTTTGTGTTTATTTTTATATTCACTGCTTTTGCCTGCAACTGTGTTTCTGGTTCTAAGTAAATATAACGTATGCTACTGGTACACATACATCTTAGGCAACATATGTTTCATTCACTGGATTGTTAGCTCTGTTTTGTTTTGTCACTACTTTAGTCCCAGTACCAATAACTGTGCCAGGCACAAAGTAGGTGTTTAGCTAATATTGTTAAATGAAGAAATACAAATATTTGATTTTATCACTTGAATCCTCATTTATTAGTACTGCACTATCTTTTCTTAGCTGTTTTTGTGAACATATGTGTGCTGCTTTTTTACCCTAACTAGATTGGAAGTACATTGTGGGTAGAAACTTGGTTTTATTTGTTTTTCCTATATTCTCCTTTACAGCAGTTTAGACCTGATGGGAAGTAGGTATTTCCCAAACACGTGATTGAACTGAAATACATTGGTAGATTTCATTTTATCAGGAGTCTGCCAAAAGTATAGTCATAAATAAGGAATTTGGAAGAGAATCAAAAAGCTAGTATGTACTCATCTGTCAGCTTGAAGGCCTGTATAAGACTCCATACTTCTGTGGAGTAAAAAGGGTAGGGTTCTGGGGCTGGACGCGGTAGCTCACACCTGTAATCCCAACACTTTGGGGAAAAAAAGAGGGTTCTGGGACTATTCTTTGCTGCTTCTTCTTTTTTTTTTTTGAGACAGTTTTGCTCTGTCATTCAGGCTGGAGTGCAGTGGCATGATTTCGACTCACCACAACCTCTACCTCAGGTTCAAGCAGTTCTCCTGCCTGAGCCTCCTGAGTAGCTGGGATTACAGGTGCTTGCGACCACACCTGGCTAATTTTTTTATATTTTTAGTAGAGATGGGGGTTTTACCATGTTGGCCAGGCTGGTTAAGAACTCCTGACCTCAAGTGATGCGCCCATCTCGGCCTCCCAAAGTGCTAGGATTACAGGCGTGAGCCACTGCGCCCGGCCTCTGGGACTGTTCTTTTCCTTGCTCCTTAACAGACTATTTCCTGCTTTTTGTTTTGTTTTGTTTTGCTTTGCTTTGTTTTTTGTTTTTGGCCTTCTAACTGTGTTACAAATGGTTTAAGTCAGTGGTTCTCCAAGGGTGGTCCCAGATCAGCAGCATTATCACCTGGGTACTTACTAGAAATGCAAATTCTTGGGCCCCACTCCAGACCTACTGAATGAGCAACTCTGAGGGTAGAACCTAAAAAATTGTGTTTTAACAAGTCATCTGGGTGACTCTGATGGTAAAGTTTGATGTCACCAAATGATAATGATGCTTTTTTTTTTTAATTGAGATGGAGTCTTGCTCTGTCGCCCAGTCTGGAGTGCAGTGGCATGATCTTGGTTTACTGCAACTTCCACCTCCCAGGTTCAAGCAATTCTCCTGTCTCAGCCTCCTGAGTAGCTGGGACTACAGGCACACGCCACCATGTCTGGCTAATTTTTGTATTTTTAGTAGAGATGGGGTTTCATGATACTGGTCAGGCTGGTCTCAAACTCCTGACCTCAGGTGATCCACCTGTCTCGGTCTCCCAAAATGCTGGGATTACAGGCATGAACCACTGTGCCTAGCCTGATAAAGACACTGTCTTTAAGAGAGAGGGCTAGAGGCAGTGATTATGTGCCAGAGAAAACTAGCAGCCTAGATTTAAGAGGATAATATAATCCAAAGCTTTTCAGAGGGAATAGATACAGTTTATAGAAGGCATTAAGACATAAAGCAGATTATTGAAACTTCACTGTACACTGTAACCGTATAATTGACTTTTACTTATATATTTCCTCTTTTACTTTGAAGTTTGTGTTCAAATCAAAAGATGAGAACCTTAAATTAATCAAGTTTTATAATATTTTATTTTAGATTTTTGTAAAAGTGAATGCTTTTTATATTCCATAGCAAGTAACTGAAAAGCTACTGAAAAGTGTCCAACCCAAGAATTTTGTGTATTTTTCATTTTGAATATACTTCTCAGTGATTTCAATTTTGAATCCTAGCCCTTTTAAATTTCAGAATACACAGTAGTTTAAAATGGCTTCAATAAGGCTGGGCGCGGTGGCTCGCACCTCTAATCCCAGGGCTCAGGGAGACCGAGGTGGGTGGATCACGAGGTCAGGAGTTTGAGAACAGCCTGACCAAGTGGTAAAACCCCGTCTCTACTAAAAATACAAAAATTAGCTGGGCATAGTGGTGCGCACCTGTAATCCCAGCTACTCAGGAGGCTGAGGTAGGAGAATTACTTTGACCCCGGGAGGCTGAAGTTGCAGTGAGCCGAAATCGCACCACTGTACTACAGCCTGGGCCACAGAGTGAGACTCCGTCTCAAAAGAAAAAAAAAAGGGTGGGGGGGCTTTAATAAATTAAGTGGTACATTTTAAATATTTTAATTGTTTATTAGATATTACGTATGCAGATAAACCTGTTTAAATATAGAAGATTTATATTCCTATTTACATATATCCTTTTGACAAATTAGAATTGAAAATAATATAAAAATAAATTTTCAGCTGGGCACGGTGGCTCACACCTGTTCCCAGCATTTTGGGAGGCCGGGGCAGGCGGATCACGAGGTCAGGAGATTGAGACCACGGTAAAACCCCGTCTCTACTAAAAATACAAAAAATTAGCTGGGTGCAGTGGCGGGCGCCTGTAGTCCCAGCTACTCAGGAGGCTGAGGCAAGAGAATGGCGTGAACCCGGGAAGCGGAGCTTGCAGTGAGCTGAGATGGTGCCACTGCACTCCAGCCTGGGCAACAGAGTGAGACTCCATCTCAAAAAAAATAAATATATAAAATAAAAAATTAAATAAAAAAATAAATTTTCTTTCTGTCATGCAGACTTAAATAGTAAAATATCTTCCTTCTATTATTTTTATCTTTTTTGTTTATGATGGTTAGGAAGTGAATATCTAATTTTCTATACTGTGAAAAATACACATAAAGTATCATGGAAGTTCAACATTCATTTTCCTTGAAAATAATTCCAAAGTTTTCTTCTCCAGAAATATATCCTGTTATCATTAAGTTTAGTTGTACTGATAAATGGCAGTTGATGATTTGTAAGTTTTTAAACATATTTATTCATAACACTTATTTTTTTTCTTTTTGAGACGGAGTCTCACTCTGTTGCCCAGGCTGGAGTGCAGTGGTGTGGTCTCGGCTCACTGCAACCTCCACCTCCTGGGTTCAAGCAGTTCTCTGCCTCAGCCTCTCAAGTAGCTGGGATTACAGGCACCTGCCACCACGCCCGGCTAATTTTTTTTTGTATTTTTAGTAGAGATGGGGTTTCACCATCTTGGCCAGGCTGGTCTTGAACTCCTGACCTCGTGATCCACCCGCCTCGGCCTCCCAAAGTGCTAGGATTACAGGGGTGAGCCACCACGCCCTGCCTTTTTTTTTTTTTTTTAAAGATGGAATCTCACCGTGTCGCCCAGGCTGGAGTGCAGTGGTGCGATCTCTGCACACTGCAACCTCCGTCTCCCGGGTTTGAGTAATTCTTCTGTCTCAGCCTTCCGAGTAGCTGCGAATACAGTGCCTGGCTGATTTTTGTATGTTTAGTGGAGACAGGGTTTCACTGTGTTGGCCAGGCTGGTCTCGAACTCCTGACCTCAGGTGATCCCCCCGCCTCAGCCTCCCAAAGTTCTGGGATTACAGGTGTGAGCCCCTGTGTCCGACCTATTTTCCTCTTTTTCTTTTTACTTTTTCCCTTCCCTTTATTTCTTCCTTTCACTGTTTTCATCTTTTATGTCTCTCACCCTCGCCCTTCCTCAGTTCAATTCAAAGAGCAATATACTGCCATATCTGGAGAATTTTTAGCTGGAATTTAATCTTTATTTTAAAAGAGTAAGAATTTATACCAATTATTATGTTTTCGACTGAGGTCGTTTTACAGAAGGAATTCTTTTTTTTATGTAGGAATGTGTTTTAAGACTTTTTGTTTCTAATGTCTTAGTTTTCTAGAGAAAAAAAGGTAAAAGATTGACATTATTCTCATAGTCTTTTACTCTTTTCTCAAAGGTCTTAGTTCAGGTCCTAATTTTCTTTCAATTATACTCATTTATTTAACCAGTCTCCTTTAGGTGGTCATTTGGGTTGTATACATATTCTTGTCTGTGTTTTATCAGTAATGTATTATATAATTTCATGTATGTACAAATATATATTTGAAGGATAACATTCTAAAATTGCTGAGTTAAAGGGTATATGCATTTATAAACTTGACAGATATTACCAGTTGTCCTCTATAAAGTGAAACTGGTTTATATCACCACAGCTAACATATAAATGTCTGTTTTCTACCATATTATTAAGTTACTGAACTTTATCCATCTGATGGAAAAGGAGAAATCTGATTGTACTTTATTTTTTATATTTTTAATATTTTTATGAGCCGTCTTGGCATGTTGGCCAGGATGGTCTCAAACTCCAGCCTCAAGCAATCCTCTCACCTCAGTCTCCCAAAGTTCTGGGACTACAGGCATTAGCTACCATGCCTGGCCCTGATTACCACCCCACCACCCACCCCCCATCCCCTTTTTTTTTTTTTTTTTTTTTGAGACAAGGTCTCACTCTGTCACCCATGTTAGAGTGTGGTGGTGTGATCACTGCTCACTGCAGCCTTGGCCTCCTGGGCTGAGGTGATTCTCCTGTCTCAGCCTCCCAAGTAGCTGGGACCACAGACACATGCCACCATGCCTGGCTGATTTTTTAAATTATTTGTAGGGAAGTGGTCTCGCTATGTTGCCCAGGCTAGGCTCAAACTCCTGAGCTCAAGTTATCCTCCCACCTCGGCCTCCCAAAGTGCTGTAATTACAGGACTGAGCCACTGTGCCCAGCCTCTGATTATACTTTTAATTGTAACTTCTCTTATGCTTGAAGTTGAACATATACAGTAAAGACGTTATGGTATTGTAGGCTGAAGTTTCAGAATCATCCAGGACCAATGATGTTAGCAGAAATGCAAAACTAGCCAAGGAGTATCGAGAGGACAAAATTGATAATTGATATTGTTATTACCTTCAAAGTTTGATTGCATTGATTAGCTTATTATTTTTATTAAAATCATTTTAAAGAGCATATAAAGTTCTATGCCAAAGCATGTTTGGCCTGACAAGTTGGGCTGTCACTTCCTTTTGACAAGACTTTCATTTTTATCAGCTTTAAATGCATGTGTCATTACTATTCTGGTTAGGTAACATAATTATCCCACTGCAGAATATATAATTTCAAAAGAGTCTTGTGGATATTTGATGCCTTTTCCTCTGAAAACAATTGAATTGTTTTCAGACCACTTTTATTTCAGTAAGATAAACGTAATCCTTCCTTTAATTGTAATGTAAAATTTAAGAGCATATTGAAATGAAAAGAAAAGCTCAACACTACCTATATTTTGAAAGTTATAAGAGACTAGATAAGTTGGATTTTATGTTTCTTGTGGTACAGAATAGAAACAAAGGTCATTCAAACTAAGTTTGAATGAGAATTAAGTTTAATGGCTCACTTGCTAAACCTGAGTTGCACAATCCTCACAATTCCTTAGGGATGTGGCAAGGTCATCCTTAAATGTAAAGTTCTTGCTCACTTAATGGAAAGCACTGTAGATACATAAATAACATTGTTACCTGTCTTAGTGGGTCAGTATAAAAGACGGGGGTGGTGGTATATGTGAGAATAGTGAAATTTATAGCTAGTTTTGAGGCCCTTGTGACTTTTAAGAGGTATTATGAGTCACCTTAACAAGTTAGTGTTTGTGACATAGTTTCAATTTCTTATGTGAAAGATAGTATTTCAGTTGTAAATGTTCTCTTAATATTCTGGAGAGCTACTCTTTCCTAGCCCCTCTGTTTTACTGACTTTAAAAGTTGTTTACAGTTTGTTTCATGTTCAAATGTAGGGTTTTAGTAATTCCTTGGGGTGGGGGGCAGGAATGGGCAGAAGGCCATTGTCTCTAATTTTCCTTTTCCCAACTTTCACTTTCTTTTTTCTATGGATTACATGTCAAGGTGGGTGAGAAAAATGGTGGGGATTGAGAAAAGGGAGCAACTTATTTTTTGTAGGGGAGGTCCAAAATAAAGTCACTTAAGGAATCTGACATAAAATTTAAATATATGATGAAGCTTGTGCAAGGGGATTATAAGAACTGATTTTACTTTAACCCTTCCTGCTTTATAAAAAGATCTTGTTGATGGCAAAAAGACAAACGCTTTAGCAAACTGTACTGTACACCTTGCATTTGTTTGTATTAATATTAGTTGTTTTATTTTTTAATATGGAGTCTCACTCTGTTACCCAGGATGGAGTGCAGTGGCGCAATCTCGGCTCACTGCAACCCCTGCCTCCTGGGTTCAAGCAATTCTTCTGCCTCAGCCTCCCGAGTAGCTGGGATTATAGGTGCCATCATGCCCGGCTAATTTTTGTATTTTTAGTAGAGACAGGGTTTCACCATGTTGGTCAGGCTGGTCTCGAACTCTTGACCTCAAGTGATCCACCCGCCTCAGCCTCCCAAAGTGCTGGGATTACAGGTGTGAGCCACCGCACCCGGCAGTATTAGTTGTTTTATATTGTAGACTCTTAAATGATGTGGACTATGTGTTGTAAAATCCCTACCCTGAAGTACAATGCATTTAGATGTCCCCCCGCCCTTTTTAACTTAAATCCTTTTTCCCCCTTGCAGTCAGTGCATTTTTATATTTCTACATGCTTTGTGAGAAATGTGTAAAGGAAATATTTTTGCATCTAATTGTTCTAACTTCCAAAGGTTCTTTACTGAGTTAAAAAAAACTGGTTTTTTTTTGGTCTAAACTGAATTTTGTCTGTCTTTCCCCTACTCAGGCCCAGATTACCTTCCTACAGGGAGAAAGGAAGGGCCAAGAAAATTTGAAGAAGGATCTTGTGAGGAGGATCAAAATGTTGGAGTATGCTCTTGAACAGGAAAGGTAATTCAGTAAAATGAAAAGTGGTGTTCTTTTTTGTTTGTTTTGAGATGGAGTTTCATTCTCGTTGCCCAGGCTGGGGTGCAATGGTGCGATCTTGGCTCACCTCAACCTCCACCACCTGGTTCAAGCAATTCTCCCGCCTCAGCCTCCCCAGTAGCTGGGATTATAGGCATGCACCACCACACCCAACTAATTTTGTATTTTTAGTAGAGACGGGCTTTCTCCATGTTGGTCAGGCTGGTCTCGAACTCCTGACCTCAGGTGATCTGCCCACCTCGGCCTCCCAAAGTGCTGGGATTACAGGTGTGAGCCACTGGGCCTGGCCAAAATGGTGGTCTCTTAAATGCTGGAACAATTTTTTCATCATTCCTAAAATAAATTGAAATGTTAATACTGCTTGAGTTCAGGTGTGTCTGTAGTAAACATTTGTATGAATGGTTGTAATATGTTAATTTTATTATGAATAGTTTAATAATGATCAAAAAACTGATTTATATGATTTCTTAAAAATTAGCAACATTTTTTTCCTACTCTGCCTGTTTTGAAGAAGCAGATGTGCTCCCTGAGCTGTTAATACCCACTCATTTTAAAGTTGAAATAGTTTTTAATTTTTAAAGGAGGTTTCTATAATGTTTACTCCTTTTCCTGTCATTTAATATTATTCAATTTGATGTATTTTCTTTAGAAAAAAAATTGTTCTAGCAGACTATGTTAAGATTCTATATAGACTTTTTTTTTTGAAACGGAGTCTCGCTCTGTTGCCCATGCTGGAGTGAGGTGGTGCAATCTCGGTTCACTGCAAGCTCCACCTCCCAGGTTCATGCCATTCTCCTGCCTCAGCCTCCCAAGTAGCTGGGACTACAGGTGCCCGCCACCACACCTGGCTAATTTTTTGTATTTTTAGTAGAGATGGGGTTTCACCATGTTAGCCAGGATGGTCTCGATCTCCTGACCTCGTGATCCCCCAATCTTGGCCTCCCAAAGTGCTGGGATTACAGGCGTGAGCCACCGCGCCCAGCCTATAGACTTTTTTTGTGTATTTTGTTTCTTTGCTGTCTGCCGTTACAATCTGTCCAGAAGCTTGTCTTACCTTTCTATTTTGCTAGTGTCTAAGATACTCCAGTAACTAAATTTGGGTCACAAGTAAAGGAAAATAGGTCATGAGTGAGATTTTTAGATGTTATATGAGTTATTTATTTGCTTTAATGAATGGGCCTTGGATTTTTTTGTCGACAATCTGAGTTCATTTGTTTAAGATAACTGAGTACTTATAGGTGATATTGGAATTATCTATTTTGCTACTTTCTTGCTTTGTTTTTAATGATGCTTGTTTTGTTTTTCTCTTTTTGAAGTTGGTGAATGGGATATTTGCAATAAAATGGCATTTAGATGCAATTAGATAAATAGATAATATTTATGAGTAATGAGAAACAGATAAAATTTTATTAGAACTTATGTTCATCAACATGTAGAATGGTGTAAGAGATTGAAAATAGGTTGACCTCTTAGTGAAAAATACGTGTTTCTTTTCATACTTTGGGAAAGTTGATGAAAAGCTGTATCAGGGACATGGAAAGAAAAAAACATTTTTAGGCTGGGCGTTGTGGCTCACGCCTGTAAACCCAGCACTTTGGGAGGCTGAGGCGGGCAGATCACAAGGTCAGATCAAGACCATACTGGCTAACATGGTGAAACCCCGTCTCTACTAAAAATATAAAAAAATTAGCCAGGCATGGTGGCGGGCACCTGTAGTCCCAGCTACTTGGGAGGCTAAGCAGGAGAATGGTGTGAACCCAGGAGGCGGAGCTTGCAGTGAGCCGAGATTGCACCACTGCACTCCAGCCTGGGCGACAGAGCAAGACTCCATCTCAAAAAAAAAATAAAAATAAAAAAAATAAAAAACATTTTTAAAAATACATAATTTGGGAGTAGTGAGATTTTTTTTTTTTTTTTTTTTTTTTTTTTTTTTTTTTTTTTTTTTTGAGGTGGAGTCCTGCTTTGTTGCCTAGGCTGGAGTGCAGTGGTGTGATCTCGGCTCACTGCAACCTCTGCCTCCCGGGCTCAAGCAATTCTCCTGTCTCAGCCTCCGGAGTTGCTGGGACTACAGGCGCATGCCACCATGCCCGGCTAATTTTTTTTGCATTTTTAGTAGAGACAGGGTTTCACCATATTGGTCAGACTGGTCTTGAACTACTGACCTCAGGTAATCCACCACCTCAGCCTCCCAAAGTGCTGGGATTACAGGCGTGAGCCAATGTACCTGGCCGAGTATTTGAGATTTTTTTTTTTGAAACGGAGTTTTGCTCTGTTGCCAGGCTGGAGTGCAGTGGCACGATCTCGGCTCACTGCAACCTCTGCCTCCTGGGTTCAAGCAGTTCTCCTGCCTCAGCCTCCCGAGTAGCTGGGATTACAGGCACTCGCCACCATGTCCAGCTAATTTTTGTATTTTTAGTAGAGACGGAGTTTCACCATGTTGGCTGGGATGGTCTCAATCTCTTGACTTTGTGATCCATCTGCCTCAGCCTCCCAAAGTGCTGGGTGGCGTGAGCCACTATGCGTGGCCTGGAGTGGTTATTTTCATCTGGAAGAGGAAAGTAGAAAGGAGTGCAGAGTAAGAGGAGGTGAGGCTTGAATAGCATCAAATAAGAAGGTGCTTGTCAGACAGACAAGGTGCAGGAAGTAGAGAGAACATGTTTGACATGGAACAAAGCAGTTTGGTGTGTTCAGAAATTTGTAATCTTTGTGTGTGGAGAGTAGGATGTTGGTTGTGGTCCTCCTCTCAGTTGATGACCGATAATGGTAGAGGGGGCAAGAGTCAGATCACAGAGAGCCTAACCAAGGAGTTCAAACTTTTATCTTACATGTAACAGGGAATGTGGGAGGTTTAATTTTTTTTTTTTGAGACAGGGTCTTGCTCTGTTGCCCAGGCTGTAGTGCAGTGGCACAGTCATTGTTCATTGCGGTGCCAACCTTCTGGGCACAAGTGATCCTCCCACTTCAGCCTCCCAAGTGGCTGGGAATACAGATATACTCCAGTCCACACAGACAAATTTTTAATTTTTTAGAGAGACAGAGTCTCACCCTGTTGTCAGGGCTGGTCTGGAACTCCTGGGCTCAAGCAGACCTCCTGCTATAGCCTCTCAAAGTGCCGTGATTATAGGCGTGAGTCACCATGCCCAGCCAAAAATATTTTATGTAAAATGATCTCAAACTAATAGAGGAGTTGCAAGAATCTTGTATACCCTTTACCCAGATTCACCAATTGAAAATGTTTTGCTATATTTGCTTTATTGTGTTTGCTCTCTCTGTAGGTATCATTTTTTCCCCTAAATCATTTGCTAGTTTGTCCCTAACTACCTCTGTGTATATTTCCTAAGAGCAAGGACATTTCCTTATGTGATTATAGTACATTACCAAGTTAAAGAAATGTAACATTGATATTCTATTATCTGATATAGTCTATATTCAGATGTTCTAAAAAGGATCTTTATAGCATTTTTTTTTCCCCTGGTCCAGGATCCAATCTGGAAATATATACTGCATTTAGTTGTTAAGCACTTGAAAGTTTTAAGCAAGATAGAGTATGAAATACATTTTAGAAAGATCTCCTGACCTCAGTGTGGGGGTGGACTGGAAAGATCTGTAAACACAGCCAGAAAGATTGTAATAGTCTAAGATGAGAAATGATAAAACAGTAGCTGCTGAAATAGAGACACATCAACTATAAAAAATTTTTAAATACAGTCCATGAAATCTGAAGCTTATATAAAAATTTGGAGATGGGACAGGGGGTGAGTGAGAAAGATAATTTGAGAATGACTCCCATGTTCCTGGCTTGAAGGACTATCTGAATTGTGAGAGACTTTTAGAAGGTATCAAATGAATTAAAAAGAAGAATTAAAGAGCAGATATGTGAGGGGGACGCATGATGAGAGATATATGCTTGGGAATCATCAGTATTATTGTGAATGAAGTGAAAGGAGTAGTTGATAGAACAAGTATTGTGGAAACAGAAAAGAGAACTAGAAGGAGTGAGAGGAAGTAGAAATATTTGAAGAGAAGGCAGAGGAAGAAGAGCCAACAAAGAAATAGAGAAGGAAGGAGGAGAGAGTAGTATTTTGGAAGTGAGTTAAAGGAGGAAGTTCAATAACTGAAGATGCTAAGTAGACTCCAAGTAAGTTGTATACTGAAAATAGTCATTTGGAGTTGCCAGTTGGAAGCTTACTAGTACCCTTACTAAAGCAGCCTCAGTAAGGCAGCAGGAACATGCGCCAGATCACAGAGGATCGAGGGCTGAGAAGGATGAAGTGGGGAGAGATGGAGTTGCTTATTATTATTATTATTATTTTCTTTGAGACAGAGTCTTGCTCTGTCACCAGGCTGGAGTGCAGTGGCGTGATCTCGGCTCACTGCAACCTCCGCCTCCTGGGTTCAAGCCATTCTCCTGCCTCAGTCTCCTGAGTAGCTGGGACTACAGGCGTGTGCCACCACGCTGGGCTATTTTTTGTATTTTTAGTAGAGATGGGGTGTCACCATCTTGGCCAGGATGGTCTCGATCCCTTGACCTTGTGATCCGCCCTCCTTGGCCTCCCAAAGTGTTGGGATTACAGACGTGAGACACCACGCCTGGCAGAGTTGCTTATTTTTTAAAGAAATTTGACTCTGAAGGACAGTAGAGATAAGGAACTGGCTGAATCTAGGGAATATTTTTTTCTTCTTTTTCTTAACTAAATGGGATTGCTCCTGGAAAAGAGTTCCTGCTTTTGTGTCTTTTTTTTTTTTTTTTGAGATGGAGTTTTGCTCTTGTCGCCCAGGCTGGAGTGCAATGGCACAATCTCGGCTCACTGCAACCTCCACTTCCCGAGTTCAAGTGATTCTCCTGCCTCAGCCTCCCCAGTAGCTGGGATTACAGGCATGCACCACCACACCCAGCTAATTTTGTATTTTTGGTAGAGACGGGGTTTCTCCATGTTGGTCAGACTGGTTTCAAACTCACAACCTCAGGTGATCCGCCCACCTCGGCCTCCCAAAGTGTTGGGATTACAGACGTGAGCCACCGCACCCAGCCTGGTTTTGTATCTTTTGAAGTATATGGAATGATTTGGGATTATTCTTGATGTTATGGCACTATTTGTATAATCTAAGAAATTTTTAAAAAGCATTTATTTGTGGCTTGAATTTTAAATTGAATTTTTAAAAAATTTATTGAGGAAAGTTTGAAATATACTCATAGAGAAACTAATGTCTTTGATATATAGCCCCAAGTTTTAACAGTTAATGTTTTTGTCAGTCTTTTTCACCTTGATCTATTTTAATGCAATTCCAGATACCTCGTCATTTCACCTGTAAGTGCCTAAGTAAAGATCATGATTTTACATGATTTTCTTCGCATGATTTTTGCAGATTTTCTAAGTAGTCCCACTTTAGGATCCAAAAGTAAAACCGAATTATTAATGTTACAGAAGAATTACCTACCTAGCAGTGGATTTATCAAAGCATTCCTGTCTGGGAAGACCTGGGCTTCCCAGACAGGCCTGAGGATCATCACATGGTGTTCAGCACATACCACCAGGGGCAGGTGCACCCTGGCTTCTGAAGTAGCACCTGAGAATCCCCTGTGTCTAGTACCTGCTTCATGAATAACATTCCATAGGCTTCGGAAAGACTGTGGTTTAGGCTCTAATTTATTCAACTTGAATAATTTCTCCTTGAAATACTGAGAATAGCTTCTCTTTTGCTGTACAAATTCCAATTATCCCATAACACAGACTCCTCAGTTGGACTTATCTCTCTTCTTTATTCAGTCAGGACAGGCATTGTCACATCTTTTCTGCTGGGGATGAGGGTGAAAGAGGCTTAGGGTTCAGAGGAACCTCCCTGGCCTCCTCTAGGAAAATCTCCCAATGACTTTCCAAACCTGACTGAGTTTGAGAACTTCCCTCAGCAGATAGAGGCACCAGAAGGAGCATTGGGGCAGCCCAGCCTCACACATCTGCTTCCTTGGGGATTATGTTATGACTTGTAACGCTGTGGGAGGGGTACTGTCACTCTGTTGACAGTAATAAGTTGCAAAATCTTCAGGCTGCAGGCTGCGGATGGTGAGAGTGTAATCTGCCCCAGATCCACTGTCACTGAACCGAGAGGGAATCCCACTTTGCAGACTGGATGCAGCATAGATCAGGAGCTTAGGAGTTTTCCCTGGTTTCTGCTGATACCAATTTAAATTATTGCTAATGCCCTGACTCGCCCGGCAAGTGATGGTGACTCTGTCTCCTACAGATGCAGACAGGGAGGATGGAGACTGGGTCATCTGGATGTCACATCTGGCACCTGAAGTTGGAAGCATAAAAACAAATATTGTTGCAATTAATCATGTTATCAGAGGACTTCCCTGAAGTTCCAGACAGTACTGAGCACACTGACCGAGTATAATCCTAGTGTTCTCCTTCCTTACCTGGCAGCCAGAGCACCAGGAGCCCCAGGAGCTGAGTGGGGGCCCTCATGTCTATGCTGTGTCCTGACTGGGGCTGATTCCTGCTCCGGGTGTGACCAGCCTATAAAAAGTCTTCAGGGCAGGGGGCTGTGCTCTAGGAACAGGCAAATCAGCAGGGGATGGGGCAGGCTGAGCACAGCTGCAGGGCTGGCTCATCTCAGTAACTCAGCACAGGGGCGCAGTATCCCCAGAGTCCCAGGTCAAACCAGGGCAGCACAGATTTACCTTGAAAGAATGCATTTCTCATTGGTGGCCATATGGTTACAGAACATATTTTTGGAGTGAATTTTCAAAATTTTAAATCAACCTAAGACTAGATTAAATAATATATTTATACTTGTATTAGGAGTGTATAGGAAAGCATCATTTTTGGCAGAAAATTTACAATAAAGTTGTAGAATGTGGGGCTGTCAGAAATTTCAGTTAGTCTCAAAGGAATTTGATGAGTGTAAAAGTATTTAGTGCTATAATAACAATGTCAGTGTGAAATTGCTTCTTGTTTGAAATGAATATAAAAAGAATTTATCAGAAGCATCTTTAATAAATTCAATAGAATTTACTAACAAACTTAAGACATTGTCCCTAGGAGTAAAAGGAAAAACAATTCTCTGAAGATGCACCAAGATGATAACTGTGTCACACATAGATCTGCCATTATCCAGAGCTATGGGTCTCTTTAAGACCCAGGGGCTAAATGGGCTGCACCTTATTCTTGGCGTGATGATCCCCATATTCTATCCCCTTTCCTGCCTTTGGTATAATTTCTTATGGTTCTCCAGCATGGAGAGCTGACTAGTAACACCAGGTCTCATTATTTCAACTAAAATCTCTGTTTCACTCGCTGACTATAGGAGCCTGGATTAAAATCAACTTGAAGCCCTGTATCAATCTAGGCTCAAATAGTCAATTGTTTCAAAGTAGGATGACAAAGGCCACATCCCCTGAGTAATGCTCTGAGCTGCGCTCCCCACCAGCCTGTTCCTGGGGTCTCAGGAGCATCTGCCCTAGAGTCTGGCTTTCTGGAGAGCAGGTGAGGGGGAAAAGCCAGGTCAGTGAGCCTCTCTCCTTAGTGAGGGCAGCTGCTGCACAAGGCATGTTCTTGCCATGCACCAGGGCATCATCCTGACCCAGATGCCAGCCACCCTGTCTCACATGCATTTAGAGAGAATCTCCATCTTCTGCCAAGACACTGCCCATGTAGATGAAAAAGTGTTTTGCATCCAAACATATCTTAAGCACTGATTTGCACCTCAATACTTCACACAGATGCCTTTGCCCAGGGCATGTTGGCCTGGCTCAACAGCAGGGGAAGTGGAGCCAATTACATCAGTGTCAGTGGACTGAGAAATACTCCAGGGAGTAGTTCTCATGCAGGACTACCCATGGCCAGACCAAGGTAGTGCAGCCTATGCACAAACCTCCTCCTGCTTTTCCAGAGGACTGGATTTCTGGGAAATGGCTACCGAACAGGCTGCCAGGATCCATATATCCAGATTCAGAGAGATACATCTCTGGATTCAAATGCACTTTTTCTTTGTGCATAATTTTAGCAGTCATTGTTACTATGCCTTGGGGATTCTAGACATTATACTTCAGCTGACTCTCTATGGCCCTTTCTCCCCTTCACTGCTCTATCTGAACCTGGGGAAGCAGCTCAGGCTGCAAATGAGGCAGACCTCATGGCCTGGAATTAGCATCCCCTAGGACGGTTGTCAATCAGTGATGACAAGGGAGGTGTACACATCCCCCAGCTCCCTCACCTCTCAGGTGGAATAACAGAGGCATTTTTCCTGTGTTTCTATGTGGGCTTGAGCTCTCGTCATCCTCAGAGGTGGCTCCTTCTGAGGCACTTTTCACTTTCCCTTTCCCTCCTCCCCTCCCTTGCTCACTTGCTTGTTTCCCGCACTTTGTAAATATACTGCCTGCATGCGAATCTTTGGCATCCTTCTCACTGAGGGGACCCAACCTAATGCATTGGAAAAATCCTCATTCTTGGAGGGCATCGTTGGTTTGAATTATTGCCACTTCTCATGTTTTAATGCCTAGGGAAATTCCAAAAATTTAGGAAATCTTTAAATTCCCTTTGCCAATCTTTCTTAGATTTGATTTTAGCAGAGATTCATTTTCTCTAGGTCACAAAATCACAGAAGCCTTCCACAAATGGCTACACAACATAGAGTCCACATAGAGCAGAGGCTCAGAATCTCCCAGGATTTGACATCCACACATCAGACAGTCCTAGAGTCTCAGGTTTTTTCTAGGTCGATCGCCTCGTAAATCTGCCTTGTGATATTTTTATTCTACCTTAGAGGAAGGCCATTGTGTGGATGATGAGAGTTGTTTGTGGAATGAATAATACACCCACTAAAGACATCATTGTCCTAATATCTGGAATCTATGATCATTACTTATGAACAAGTCAAAAATAACTTGGCAGACGTGGTTGAGAATTTTGAGGTCAGGAGAGTATCCTGAATTATCTGGGTGAGACCATCATAATCACAAGGGTCCTTACAATAGGGAGGGAGGAAGGTAACAGCCAGAGAGGACCTGGGACAATGGACAGGGAAACTGGAGTGATGGAGGAAGGGGCCATGCTGCTAGGAATGTGGGAACATCAGAAAGATGGAATGCTCGACATTGGATTCTCTCTCTTGAAGCCTAGAATGAATAGAGCCCTATTACTCCTTGATTTTACTTCATTGAGACTTCTGACCTCCAGAAATGTAAGATAATACACTTGTGTTATGTGGAGTAGTAAAGTTGTGGTAATTTGTTACAGCAGCAACAGGAAACCAATGCAAGGGGAAGGGGTGTGTTTTACTTCCCTAGTGTATCACTGTCCTCTGTTCTCCCAAATAGTTCTGTGTTTTTGTGTTTGCTGTCAATTTCAACAAGAGACAGAAAACATTTTTCTATGAGGAGAGCTAGTACCACAATTCTTCTTACGTAGAAAGTGTCTTGAGTAATTCTCTGGGTTAGGTCTTGTACAATCTTGGTATCTGAGAGCCTGGAGGTCATCTCTCACAGCACATGAGAAGAGGAAGGGGATGCGGGTTTGCTGTTTTAACATTCATAGGGCAAATTGGATGTACAAGACCCATTCTTTTTATTATTATTATTATTGTTAAGTTCTAGGTTACATGTGCACAACATGCAGGTTTGTTACATATGTATACATGTGCCATGTTGGTGCGCTGCACCCATTAACTCGTCATTTACATTAGGTATATCTCCTAATGCTATCCCTCCCCCCTCCCCACACCCCACAACAGTCCCCGGTGTGTGATATTCCCCTTCCTGTGTCCACGTGTTCTCATTGTTCAATTCCCACCTATGAGTGAGAACATGCAGTGATTGGTTTTTTGTCCTTGCGATAGTTTGCTGAGAATGATGGTTTCCAGCTTCATCCATGTCCCTACAAAGGACATGAACTCATCCTTTTTTATGGCTGCAAGCGAGGACTGAGTCAGAGAGATGGGGATGGCAGAGGAGACAAAATGTGGTCAGGGCCGTGTAAGATGTGACCCTGCTGCCATATCTGAAAGAAAGGCTGTTGGTGTTTGTAAAGGCTTTGGGCAAATTGTGCTTTGTAGACAAAACTGTAGAAGGGTCTGGGTTTAAGCTTAGTGTCAGCGTGATGAGGACTAGAGGTTGCAGTGAGCTTGTGTTAAGAAATCCACCCTGCACTTCTGGCTTTGTCTCTTTTCCGGTTTTATAGGTGGTGGGTCCCTCTATGGAATGAACGTGGCTCTGTGGAAGGAACATAAGTTAAGGTCAGACAGACCTAGATTCCAAGTTCAGCTTCGACAACTGCTGACCAAGTGACTTTTATGCAAATCAGCCATGTGCTGTCATGAACAGTTTCCTCATGTGTGAAATGGGGCACTGAGGATGTGAAGGGGTGTCCTGAGGGTTCCGCCAGCTGATGCACCATGAAGTGTACATACATGTATAGACAGACACACACACATACATGAGAAGAGTATCTAGTGCCTCTTTTATGCATTCTTGAGTAACTCAGAATGTTATGTGAGATATTAACAGTCATATGTCATTTTCAACTAAAATTATCAATATTTATCTTATAACTAACAGATGCTTCTCTGTACACTGTAGGTTTCATGTACATTTTTTCAATCACAAAATTTTTCACCAATCTATTTACATCTAGTATCAGAAAGTTAAGCAAGGAGATTGCAAACCAACACAACACCTTTAGTCTGGATTTTCCCGGAGCCCCATTTGTGTTAGTGTCCTCGGGCTACTGTAACAAGTTCTCAAAAATGTGGTAGCTTCACACAACAGGAATGGAATCTCTCATAGTTCAGAAGTCCAGATCAGTTTCACTGGGCTAAGATCTTGGAGTCATCAGTTCTGGCTCCTTCTGAAGCTCTAGGGATCAGTCTGATTTAGCTTTTCCAGCTTCTGGTGGCTTCTCTCTCCCGGGATGTGGACACATCACTACAATCTCTGTCTCTGTGTTCACACTGCCTTCTCCACTTCAGTCTATGCTAAATCTCTCTCTACCTCTTGTTTTTTTTAGGACACTTGAGTTTGCATTTAAGTCCCAGTTGATTAATCTAAGACCATCTCCCTGTTTCAAGCTCCTTAATTTACACCTGCAAAAGCTGTTTTCCCAAATGAGATACATGCATAGTCTTCATGGAATGAAACCTCACTATTTGGGGATGATACTCAGTACTACACCATTACATAACCAGGTCTCAGTGTTAGTCCTGTACATACATCACAATCTCTCTCTCTCTCTCTCTCTCTCTCTCTCTCAATGTCCACACACCCTGGCTTCCTCCTTTTCTCAATGTCATAAATCTCTTCAATTCCTTAAGTGTATCCAGTGATACCTATAAACAAATAAGTATCTGAGAAAAGTCTCAATCAGTTTAGAAATTTATTTGGTCAAAGTTAAAGAAATATCAGTGAAACAGCCTCAGGAGGTCTTGAGAACGTGTGTCAAAGGTCGTCGGGCTACAGGTTGGTTTTACACGTTTTAGGCAGACATAAGATATCAATCAATACGTGTAAGCTGCACATTGCTTTGATATGAAAAGGCAGGACAGCCCGAAGGAGGGGGGATGTTGGGGACTTCCAGGTCCTAGGTGGATTCAAAGATTTCATAGGTGGTTGAAAGAGTTTATCTAATGACCTGTAATCAACACAAGGGAGTTTCTGGGTTTAGAAAAAGGGTTTTGGAGCCAAGGTTGCATCATGCAGATGAAGCCTCCAGGTAGCAGGCTTCAGAGAGAATAGATTGTAATTGTTTCTTAGCAGACTTAAAAGGTGCCAAACTCTTAGTTAAATCTCTCTGGGTCAGGAAAGAGACTTAAAAAGGAGTCTCTACAGAATGTAGATTTTTCCCACAAGAACCAGCTTTGCAGAGGCATTTTTAAATACATTAAATAACAATATCTTGGGGAAAATACTTTGATTTCTCTTAGGACGTGGTATCTGTCACATTGGTATCTTATTGCTATAAAGAGTTTTCTTTGTCAGTCTCAAGGTCTCTGTCTTCATATTAAAAGCTGGTCAGTTGTGCCTGAATTTTAAAGGGAAGAGGGTAAGTTAAGGCATATCCAATCATCCGTTCCGATCATGGGCTGCCTTGTATTTCAGGTTGATTTTGGTGTGTGCTTGGCTGAGAGGAGGAGTTCATTCAGTTGGTTAGGGAGCTTAGAGTTTCATTTTTGGTTTACACACCTATGTCCAGGTAAGAGGGCCCCACACAGGAGGGCTTGCTCAGAACCTGGCTTGCAGGGCTGCTTATGGACCTTCTATGTCTCCTGTTGTCATGCACAAGGAAGGACACAGCCAATGACAACCCTCAGCCATCCGAGGAGAAGCTGTGTCTGCAGAGGACGGTCATGAGCTGTGAGTCTAGAGACCTGTGATTGTCTTCAGGGGCCTGTGGTCCTCGGCTTTCATAGGAGTTGTGGGGGCACTGGCTCAAATAGCATCCACCAGGATTCTAATCAGAATATCTCATTCACAGAAGGCAGTGGGTGATATGACAGCACAGAGGGACTCTGTGGGTCCAGCTGCATGGAGCACTCTGGGAGAGTCACTGGCACCTGTGCTAGACAGAGCTTCATTCAACTTCTGGAGCACACGGATTTAGATCTCTTTACATCATTTTGAAAGACCACTTATCATTCTGAAGGAAACCACTGTAATTAACTAAGGTAACATCTTTAATAGGTAGAAAGAAAAAAGTGATTATTTTATTGCCAAGATGATTACAAGAAAAGAAAGAAACAAAAATAGCATGAAGGAAAGAGCAACACTAGACTGAGGGCTTTGGGTAAGAGGTTGAGACTTAGTAGTGAATGCCCTGGGCCATCTTCTGTCAAAAGGGAGGGACAATCAGCAAAGGGAAATATGCAGTAGAGGCAAAATCTTGGTTAGTAAAAGAATCCTAAGAGAAAACAAGAAGTCTCCTTCCTGAGCATCATGTTGGTGTCGGGAAGATGCACATAATCCCCCCATTGCATGTCTTAACACTTTTCAGCAATTAGGGCTCAGCATGAATTTAGAAGACACCATTCACTTCACAGCAGATGGGGACACAGTCAAGGCAGCGGTGAGAGGCAAGGCTGGGCTTTCAGTCTCAGAGCACAGAGCAGGTTCCCCACTACTCCGCACCCTTGTGTCTCCTCCCAGATGTTCCAGATGTTCCACCTCATTCTTGCCTTAAGGGCTCCAAGTTGTTAATGGGACAGTAGCCCTCTTCCTTTCCCAGGGTTTCTAAGAATTTGGCTCTCTTTTGTGTATTGCGGGGTTTGTTTGCCATCTAGAGGCAGGTTTTTGGCATAGCAACTTATAGGCTTTTTCTACTTGTGATAGCGAAAATAAATACATAAATAAATTCATCATAAATAATAAATTGACTTAATGCATTGAATCTGTAAAAAAAAATAAGGTCAGTTTGAGAGCTTAAAAGGAGCCTGATGAGGTTAAAAAGACAAATTACCTTTAGTAAAGAGCAGTTGGAGCAATAGATGATTCTTTCTTTAATCAATGACATTTTAGGAGTAATTATCAAATGGTAAATAAAACTTGAAATAAGCTGATAAACTATAATTTTATATGAAAAAAATATTTCCAAGAACCATACAAATACATTTTCAGATTAAAACAAACAAAAATGTGGGTTTATCATCAGATCCGCTAAATGGAAGATTTCTCAAATGTGTGCTTGGAGCAAAAATAACACTTATCCCTATTTGAAAGTTCAAGATTTTTGAGCTTTCGAAGAAAACAGCTTTCCCTTCACTCTGTTCCACTCACACTTCTGACGATGGCCATGGGGCAAAAAGCCGCGGCGCTGGTGGGGCAAAAAGCCGCGGCGCTGGTGGGGCAAAAAGCCGAGACGCGCAAAAAGCTGCGGTGGTGGGGGGGCAAAAAGCCGCGGCGGCGGAGGCAAAAAGCAGTGGGAGCAAAAAACCATATAACATCGCGGCGGCGGGGGGCAAATAGCCGCGGCGGCGGGGGCAAAAAGGTGCAAAAAGCAGCGGTGGCGCGGGCAAAAAGCCACGGCGGCGGGGGCACAAAGACGCAAAAAGCCACAGTGGCGGGGGGGGGTGGGGGGGGCAAAAAGCCGCAGCCGGCAACAAGCCGCGGCGGCGGGGGGTAAAAAGCCGCGTCGGCGGCGGGCGAAAAAAAGCCGCGTCCTCAGGGGGGAAGAATCCGCGGGGGCGGGGGGGCAAAAAGTCGCGGCAGCGGGGGGCAAAAAGCCGTGGCAGCGGGGAGGCAAAAGCCGTGGGGGGCGAAAAGCCGCGGCGGGCAAAAAGCCACGGCGGCGGGGGGGGGCTAAAAGCCGCGGCGACAAAAAACCACGGCGGCGGGGGGAAAAAGCCGCGGCGACAAAAAACCACGGCGGCGGCGGGGATGCAAAAAGCCGCGGAGGCAAAAAGCCGCGGCGGCAGGGGGGCAAAAAGCCGCGGCGGCAGGGGGGCAAAAAGCCGCGGCGACGGGGGTGCAAAAAGCCGCGACGGGCAAATAACCGCGGCACCGGGGGGGCAAATAACCGCGGCGCCGGGGGGGCAAAAAGCCGCGGCGGCGGGGGTGAAAAAGCCGGGTCGGGCAAAAAGCCGCGGAGGCAAAAAGCCGCGGCGGCAGGGGGCAAAAAGCCGCGGCGAGCAGAAAGCCGTGGGGGCGGGGGGCAGAAAGCCGAGGCGGGCAGAAAGCCGGGGCGGGCAGAAAGCCGCGGCGGCAGGGGGTAAAAAGCCGAGGCGCGCAAAAAGCCGCGGCGGCGGCGGCGGCGGGGCAAAAAGCCGGGGCGGGGAAAAAGCCGCGGCGGAAGAGGGGCAAAAAGCCGCGGCGACGGGGGTGCAAAAAGCCGCGACGGGCAAATAACCGCGGCACCGGGGCGGCAAAAAGCCATGGCGGCGGGGGTGAAAAAGTCGCGGCGGCGGGGGAGCAAAAAGCCGGGTCGGGCAAAAAGCCGCGGCGGCGTAGGATAAAAAGCCTCGGCTGGCAAAAAGCCGCGGCGGTGGGGGGAAAGAGCCGCGGCGGGCAAAAAGCCACGGCGGCGGGGATGCAAAAAGCAGCGGCGGCGGGGGGTCAAAAAGCCGGGTCGGGCAAAAAGCCGCGGGGGCAAAAAGCCGCGGAGGCAAAAAGCCGCGGGGGCAAAAAGCCGCGGGGGCAAAAAGCCGCGGAGGCAAAAAGCCGCGGCGGCAGGGGGCAAAAAGCCGCGGCGGGCAGAAAGCCGTGGGGGCGGGGGGCAGAAAGCTGAGGCGGGCAGAAAGCCGGGGCGGGTAGAAAGCCGGGGCGGCGGGGGGCAAAAAGCCGCGGCGGCGGCGGCGGCGGCGGCGAGCAAAAAGCCGCGGCGGCGGCGGGGAGCAAAACGCCGCGGCGGCGGCGGCGGCGGCGGCGGCGGGGCAAAAAGCCGGGGCGGGGAAAAAGCCGCGGCGGAAGAGGGGCAAAAAGCCGCGGCGGAAGAGGGGCAAAAAGCCGCGGCGACGGGGGTGCAAAAAGCCGCGACGGGCAAATAACCGCGGCACCGGGGCGGGTGGGGGGCAAAAAGCCGCGGCGGTGGGAGGAGCAAAAAGCTGGGTCAAGCAAAAAGCCGCGGCGGCAGGGGGTAAAAAGCCGCGGCGGGCAAAAAGCCGCGGCGGCGGGGGGTCAATAAGCCGCGGTGGCTGGGGGGCAAAAAGCCGGGGCGGGCAAAAAGCCGCGGCGGGCAAAAGCCATGGCGGCGGGGCGGCAAAAAGCCGCGGCGACAAAAAGCCGCGGCGGCGGGGGGTAAAAAGCCGCGGCGGGCAAAAAGCCGCGGCGGCAAAAAGCCACAGCGGCTGGGGGGGCAAAAAGCCGGGTCGGGCAAAAAGCCACGGAGGCAAAAGCCGCGGCGGCAGGGGGCAAAAAGCCGCGGCGGGCAGAAAGCCGTGGGGGCGGGGGGCAGAAAGCTAAGGCGGGCAGAAAGCCGGGGCGGCGGGGGGTAAAAAGCCGAGGCGCGCAAAACGCCGCGGCGGCGGCGGCGGCGGCGGCGGGGAGCAAAACGCCGCGGCGGCGGCGGCGGCGGCGGCGGGGAGCAAAACGCCGCGGCGGCGGCGGCGGCGGCGGCGGCGAGCAAAACGCCGCGGCGGCGGCGGGGAGCAAAACGCCGCGGCGGCGGCGGCGGCGGCGGCGGCGGCGGCGGCGGCGGGGAGCAAAACGCCGCGGCGGCGGTGGGCCAAAACGCCGCGGCGGCGGCGGGGCAAAAAGCCGGGGCGGGGAAAAAGCCGCGGCGACGGGGGTGCAAAAAGCCGCGACGGGCAAATATCCGCAGCACCGGGGCGGGTGGGGGGCAAAAAGCCGCGGCGGTGGGAGGAGCAAAAAGCTGGGTCAAGCAAAAAACCGCGGCGGCAGGGGGTAAAAAGCCGCGGCGGGGAAAAAGCCGCGGTGGCGGGGGGGGGCAAAAAGCCGCGGTGGCGGGGGGGGGGCAAAAAGCCGCGGCGGCGGGGGGTCAATAAGCCGCGGTGGCTGGGGGGCAAAAAGCCGGGGCGGGCAAAAAGCCGCGGCGGGAAAAAGCCATGGCGGCGGGGGTGCAAAAAGCCGCGGCGACAAAAAGCCGCGGCGGCGGGGGGTAAAAAGCCGGGTCGGGCAAAAAGCTGCGGAGGCAAAAAAAGCCGCGGCGGGCAGAAAGTCCCGGGGGGGGGGGGCAAAAACCCGCATCCGGCAAAAAAACCGCGGCGGCAGGGGCAAAAAGCCGCGTCGCCCGGGGTCGGGGGGTGGCAAAAAGACGGGGCGGGCAAAAAGCCGCGTCGGCAGGGGGGAAAAATCCGCGGGGGCGGGGGGGCAAAAAGCCAGCGGCGACAAAAAGCCGCGGCGGCGGGGGGCAAAAGCCCGCGGCGGGCAAAAAGCCGCGGCGGCGGGGGGACATAAAGCCGCGGTGGCGAGGGGGGTCACAACAAAGCCGCGGCGGGCAAAAAGCCGAGGCGGGGTGGGGGGCAAAAAGCCGCGGCGGCAGTGGGGCAAAAAGCCACGGCGGCGGGGGGTAAAAAGCCGCGGCGGGCAAAAAGTCGCGGCGGCGGGGGACAGAAAGCCGTGGCGGGCAAAAAGCCGAGGCGGGGTGGGGGGGAAAAAGCCGCGGCGGCGGGGGGCGAAAAGCCACGGCGGTGGGGGGCAAAATAGTGGAGATGGGGTAGAAGGACGGCACAGCTTGGTATTGCTGGAGTGTGATGTGATAGGAAATGTGCAGCCAAAGACAAAAAAAGATGTAAGCTTGACTCATTGCAGCTAAGAACCCAGATGTTATCTTGAGGGTATTAACTAATAAGCAGTTTAAATCAGAATGGCATATTCTGATTTGTTTTTTGTATGTTCACATTTGGCAGGCATAGATACTGTTTGAAAAGAGGAAAGACAGTAGATAGAGGTAACAAACTTAAATATGTGCGAAGTCTAGAAACAAGAGACCAGGGGGATAAGGACCTTTCAAAATAAAATGCAAGATTTGAAAACTGATTGGCTGGGGCATGAGGAAAAGGCAGGTCTTTAAGGTCAATCCCTGTTTTGCTTTAAGTTGTTAAGGGTTGGTTTTATCACATATTGTAGAACATGTCATTTCAGTTTTGAACATCTTGAGTTAAATTGTCCTAACATATCTTATGAATTTGATTTTCTTCCCTGGGAAGCTAATATTTCAAAAACTGAAAGAGTATATAGATTTCCAACTTGTATCCAATTTATAAAACTATCTCTAGGCTGCTGATTTCAGGAGGAGGCTCATGAATATTCTCTTTGCAGAGAATATATCAGGAGTTAACAACAGCTTCAATATTTGTGGACGACCAGTTAACTAAGCCACCTCTTAGTGTATTTAGATGGGAAATCTTAGCTGAAGATATTCAATAATGAACCAACAGTGACTAAAAAAATCAACATTTAAGTATATTTCATTGTAATTAATTTGAATTGAAGTAGCAGCTAGTATTTACTACATTGAACAATGCAAATAAGAGGAAAAAATTAATAACTATCTCTAATACCACATGCCAAAATCCTCATCAATTTATTCTAGCTAAAGGAGTTGATCAGAAGCAGCAGTTGAAAGCACCAACTAAACCAGCTGGGGTTGGTTCACTGTCGTTCTCTCAGAACCATCTCTTCTCTGAACAAAACAAGTACAGGAGCTCATTGTGAATCTGCATTCTCCTTGCCTATTTTAAGGTTTTGATGTTGACACTAATTTGTGAAATCCCTCCTGTGGTGTGATATTTCGTTTTCCTTGCTTTCTGTTAGGACAAGAATGCTTCAGCTCTTAATTTAAAATTATGTTTCTCCCTCCTAGGTTGAGTGAACTTAGAATGCATTCTCTGACATATCCAAGTTTTTGTTAATATGAATTTCAGGAAAAAAGCATACTTAATTAGCTAAGACTTCTTATTCTAGGCTTGACCCTATGTTCGACATCTTTTGAATTTCTAGTTGCATGGGCTGCTCTCTGACACTGGTTAGTGACCTGGAAGCTGTATTAATGTTAGGGGAGGTGGTGTATGAGCATTAGAGGTATCCTTGCAAGGAAAGACTTGTCTTATCTCAATACGTCTTTTTTTTTTGCACACAAGAAAGTCAATGTTTGAGTCTTCTAAAATCTTCCTATTTCCAAGTTGCAGAGTACCATTGATTCCTAAACAAAAACCTAATTTTTGACTCAGAGACGTGGCGAGGTAGTGAATCACCATTATAATTTAACAATCTTCAAGATAAAATTATCTCTGATATTTAGATTTTGCCCAATTATTAAGATATTTGGGTGTTTTGTTAAGAATGGAAGACTCTTGTCTCTTGAGCAGAGACTATAAAGGCCTCAGATGATCATTTTTAATTTTATGCTCTTTTCTTTAACACCTTCAACACAGTTGGAAGCAGCCGGTATTCCCCAGAGTTGTTGTGTTTTTTAAACCAAATGCATGGTTCAGTGGTAGAAAACTGGGCAGATCCAAGCTGTTTTCAGTAAACACTTCATTTCAGGTGACCTATTTCATATTAAATAATCTCTAGATCCTATCTTCAAAACTAACTAGATCAGATAACCTACCCTGGATTTTCTCCTTTTTAGGGTCTGTGAGCTGCAGTCACTCTTGTGAAAATGATTGCAGTGACAAGATAGAGTTGTAGATGGGGAAAATGTTTTGACTAATTTAAGCATAGTGGTATTTCATATGAGAATTTAAGTTACACACATTTGAAAATTATAATGGAGTCTCTTGGCTGAGCTTTAAAAAAAAATAGCGTTTTGGCTAAAAAGGGAACTGCTACCTCTCCTAAAATCAGAAAGATGTTACAGTAATTCTCCATTCTCTAGAATTATCAAGAAGCACCTTTGTGATGATTTACTTTTGCTCTTGGGAGTGTGAGCCCGTGTAGTCGTGGAACCATCAATTAGAATGGTGGCTTTCTGATCCCAAAGTCATTCGTTCTGAAAACAATATTTTTCATAAATTTGAAAGTGAGAAGTTTTGATCTTGCCATTCCCACGTAACTCTCTTAATAAGAGGCATCAGCATGCTTCAGTGACAGCTGTCACCTTCCAGTGCTGAGAGTCATCTTTGAGTTCTCCATTTCACTCCCTACACTCCAATTTAGCTGCAGTTCTCTTGGCCAGTCCTATGAAATACATCCATGGCCTAACGACTTCTCACCACTACTACCACTCATCCTGACAGCATTCTCACCTAAGTCACTACCTTTTTTCTCTGGATTAGAGTAGCCTCCCAATTTATTTGCTCACATAACCTATTTATTCTACACAGTGCACCAGATACACCCCTTTGAAATGCAAACACAATCATGTTATTCTCTGGTGAAATTATCTCATATATTCCTATCGCATTTAAAATTAATTCAGAATCATCCCATGATTATCAAAACCCTACATGCTCTTCCACAACATGGTTTACTTCCAAGATATCTCTTCAACTTTTTTTTTCACTCTACTGAATTGGTGACTAATAGTCATATTTTTGCTTTTGCTCAAAAAGTCTTGACTTGTAAATTTTTCAGTTTCTCCTTTATCCACAGGTAACTCTTTCCTCATAAGGTGAATTGCTTGCTTCCTTGAGTTCTGCTCTCAAAGATACCCTTCATTTTCTACCTAATATTAATAACTTTAATCATTCATTATTCCATTACTATGCTCTATAGTGTATACAATTTCTGTTCTTTGTCATGTTATTAACTAAATTATTTGGTCCAGTAACGCATTCCATAAATATTGTGCACATAAAAATTGTGTTATTTTTATTCCTGTATGCTCAGCTGCCCAATAACAGTCTGATGATTAACATATTTGTTGAATGCACAAATACATTCTTTCACAAATATTAGTTTAATAATTTCATATTAAACTCCCTCTATACTTACAATATGAATTAGATAATTCAGAATAAACATTCCAGTGGAAAAAACTAAACAGTTTGTTATAAAACATCCTTAAAAGCATCAGAAAGTTAATACAGCAATGAAGAATTACAGGACCAAATTAAGAATGGTATGAAAGCCTGTTGGTGATGCTTATGTTTGGGTTATCTCTTTACTTAGAGTGACTATAAATCTCAAAAGAGAACTAAAGGGAGAAATAACCGTATCTACTAACAGGGTAAGGGTACTTAAACATCTCTTAGTAATTGAGAAAATTGAAAGAAAAGAAAAAAGAGAAAGGGAGAAAGAGAAACAGCGAAAGGGATAATGAAGGAGAGAAAGAAGAAGACAAAGGAAGAGGAAGAAAAGTAAAGAGGAGGGGGAAGGAGGAAGGAAGAAAGGTGAAAAGAAAGAAGGGTAAACTTTTTAATAACATAATTTATCCTTCTAGAATATGAATGTTGGTCTATTTGATGATGTCCCACAGATTCATTAGTCTCTGCTCATTGTTTATTTTTTATTCTTTCTGTTTCTCAGAGTCAGTATTTTCCATTATCTTCTCTTCAAGTTCATGGCTTATTCTGTGTGTGCAAATAGACTCTTAAATCCCTCTGGTGATTTTGAAATTTTTATCATTGTAGTTTTCCATTCCAGAATTTCTGTTATCTCTTTGCTGATATTCCTGCTTTTTAATATTTTTTTCTGATTCCTTTATTTCTTTGATTATGTTTTCCTTTTGACATTTGAGTATAATGAAGAGAGTTGTTTTAAAGTCTTTGTCTAGTAAGTTTGATGTCTGGGTTTCCTTAGGGATATTTTCTGTCAATTTATTTTGTTCCTTTGAATGAGCCACACTTTCCCATTCTTTGTATGCCTTGTAACGTTTTTTGAAAACTGGACATTCTAATAACTATAATTACTAAGTGGTTACTCTGCAAATCGAACACCCTCTACAAACACAGTAATGTTTTGTGGTTTTAAATTTTCTTTACTTATTATATTGTTAAGGATTTTTTTTTTAGTGAAATTTTCCAAAGTGATTTACAAAACTGTTTGCTTTATAAGGTGTGGTCACCGAAGTCTTTTTGTTTCCTTAACAAATGTTAAGCTAATGTTTTGACAGTGATTTTCTTGTATGTCAGGAACCAATCAAACAGGCAAATACAAGAAAAACAAAAAGGAAAACAAGTAATCATTGTCCAGCAAAATATGTCTCTAGGCCATGCAGACTGGCTTTGTGCTGGGTTCTTTAAAGCCGGCACAAAGTGTGTGTTCACTCTTGCACTGAGTGAAGTTCAAGTTCACTCTTGCACAGAGCTTGCACTGAGGGGAGGGATCGGCCAAGGTGAAAGTGTAGGGTCTTCTTATGACATTTGTCAACATGTGGCTTAACCTATGAATACATGTGACTTTCCAGACTCTCCCATGTACGTGAATGATTTTGTATGTCTTAGTTTTTGAAATACTCTTCTCCACCTTTTCTTACTGTGCTGAAGGTGATCTACTATATGTGTAAACTTTAATTTTTGCCCTAAGCATCTGTGGTTTGTTAAGTCTCCTTGCAGAGTTTCTTAATAATGTCCATTCCTTATCTGTTCTGTATTCAAGCAACACAGAAAAAAAAGCCTTTCATGAGTCCTTTAGGTATCCCCCAGACCAGTCAGAACAGACACATAATAACTTGCGGGTAAGATCTTCTCTTGTTCCTTTGGACCATGGACCAGGCTTCCTCACTGGGAACGTGGGCTTCTGACACTTCAAAACTGCCAATTTGCTGGGGCAAAGACAAGTTTAAAATGTCGTAAAGTTTTCCAGTTGTCTTTTTCTTGAGTCTGCTTTCACTTGGTTGTTGTAATCTTTTGACCATTTTCCAGAGTTTTGGCAAAGTTTGTTCGGACAGTTTCTCTTAGTTGTGTGATGTTTCTGTGGGGAAATGACAGATTGCAGCTGTCTCCACTGCCATTTTGCTGATGCTCCTCTTTTGTCAATTTTTGCTTCATGTTATTATGCTTTGTTATTAGTTCATGTATTAGTTTTCTAGGGCTGCCATAACCAACTAACACAAACTGAGTGCCTTGAACAGCATACATTTATAGTCTTATAGTCCTGGAAGCTAAAAGTCTGAGATTGAGGTGTCAGCAGGGATGGTCCCTTCAAGGGCTATGAGAGAAAGCCTGTTCTGTGCCTTGTTTCTCGCTTCTGGTGGTTTAGTGGCAGTCTTTGGCATTCCTTGGCTAATCTCTGCCCTCATAATCACATGGTACTCTCCCTGTGTGTATGTCTCCCTCTACTCAAATTTCTTCTTTTAATAAGGACATCAGTCATATTGAATTCAGGCTCATCTGATTGTATCTTAACTTGATCAGCTGCAAATAACCTATTTCCTAATGAGGTCATATTCAGTGGTTAGAATTTCAGCATCTATATAGAGGAAACAATTTAGCTCATATCTGTGCATACATGATTGTAATAGCTATGTCTTCCTAAAGCGTTGACCCCCTTTTTACTACAATATAAATTTTTAAAATCCTATTCACATTTTTAATAGTCTATATTGTGTGTTATGAGTATAATGAGTTCAGTGTTCTTATGATTGCTCTTTGTAGGATATTTTTTGTCATCTTTTTACTTTCAATCCGTTAGTATCCTTGCATCTCAGCGTATATTGGGATCACTTGTTTTAATCCGGTCTGACAATCTCTGCCTCTGGAATGGATTTTAATCTGCTCACATTTAAGATTATAATTGGTATAATTCTATTTATGTCTGCCATTTTACCGTTTGTTTTATATATTTCCAAATATTTTTCTTTATTGCTTTATTTTGCAATGCAAGAATATTTTTTAAAATAGGGAACTTTAGATTACTAATGAATTATTTTATTATATATTTTTGAGACTTTTTATTGTTGTTGTAAGTTTACCATATAGGTGTATGGAAAATTAATTATTCAAATCATCTTCCAATTTATACTATTAAACTTTTAGTAATACATAGAAACATCATTCTTATATAAATCATTTTTATTTCCTCCATTTTAAAGTATTATCACTTTACACATTACATCTATTAAAGTTACAAAGCCAACAATACATTTTAGTAATTATTACTTTACCATCTAGAGTGATTACCTTATCACAATACATTTTTCTTCCAACTACCTCCTTTTTGATGTTACTGGAAAATATGTTATAGACGTATTACATTTCTACATGTCAAATACTCAGCAATACATTATGCACATATTATTATCATTGAGACGGAGTCTCCCTCTGTCACCCAGGCTGGAGTGCAGTGACACAATCTCCGCTCACTGCAAGCTCCATCTCCCGGCTTCATGCCATTTTTCTGCTTCAGCCTCCCGAGTAGCTGGGACTACAGGCGTCCGCCATCACGCCCGGCTCATTTTTTGTATTTTTAGTAGAAACGGGGTTTCACTGTGTTAGCCAGGATGGTCTCGATCTCCTGGTCTCGTGATAAGCCCGCCTTGGCCTCCCAAAGTGCTGAAATTACAGGTGTGAGCCATCGTGCCTGGCCATTATACACATGTTATTTAGTAAACAATTTATTATAAAGAGAAGAAATGCATTTTTACTGTCTTTTATAATGTCAATATTACGTATATCAGTGCTTTTTTTAAAATGTGGATTCAAGTGACTGTCTTCTGTAACTTGCTTTTAGCCTTAGGAATTTTTTTAGAGTTTTTTTTTTTTTATATGGTAGGTCTGCCAGCAACAACTTCAGTTAATGTTTCTGTTTATCTGGCTAAGTCTTTGTGTTATTTTCATTTTTGAAAAATAATTGCTGGATAAGGAATTCGTGGCTGAGAGGTTTTTTTCCTTTGCATCTTTTGAATATATTATTCTACTGCCTCTTGCCTTCCATTGTTTCTCTTAAGTCAGCTGTTAATCTTACAAAACATAGGTGCTCAGAAAATAAACATGTGCATGAATATTTACAGCAGTAATATTCATACAGTCAAAAAGTGGAAACAATCCATATGCTTGTTGACTCATAAAGGGACACCCAATTTTCAGCTATAACGAAGAATGAAGTACTTATATATGGTATAATATTGGTGAAATTTGAAAGCATTATGTTAAGTGCACAAAAGGACAAATATTACTTGATTTGATTCACATGAAACATCAGGAATTGGCAAATCAATTGGGATATAAATCAGATTAGTGGTCATTAGGGCTCAGGGAAGCAGAATAGGGTGTAACCACTTTATGCATAATGGGTTTTTGTAAGGGACATGATGAAATTGCCCTGGAACATGGTGAATATACTAAAAGCAAGTGCATTGTGTGCTTTAAAATGGTTGTTATTACTTTTGTATTATGTGATTTTTACCTTAAAAAAAAAGAGAAAATAGCCTTACTCTATACATAATAAACTCAAGATATGTTACAAATTTACATGTGAAATCCAAAATACTATAATATTTAAGGAATAGCTAAGTAGAATAACACTGAAATTTAACATAATGAAGCATTTCCTTAAAAAAGGAAAAAGCACAGTAATTAAAAAGGGAAATATATTTAATATTTTTTCTCTCCATTAAGCATGCCATTAACTGAGTAAAAAATCAAGCTGCAATTATGTAAACTACATTTTCTAAAACCATAAAGAAAAGAAGAAATAAAAAGGTATTTGGGAAAAAAATCCAAAGGTACAGTCAACTACACAAAAAAAGCTTAGTCTCATTAATCATTATGAAAATGCAAATGGTAGCTGAAAGAAGATAAAACTACAATTCAAAGACAAAGCCTAAAATTTCAAACCCCCAAAAAGTCTGGGTTTTGGAGATCTGGGATGGAATAGGGTTCCTAACCTGACAACAATGAAAGAACCAAACTAACTTCAAAGTCATCACTTTATTTTTATAGCAACGAGGTTGCCAAGAACTGAGTCAAAATGTGAGGGAAAACAAGCACCTGCAAGGAGAAAGAGGACAGATGCACTTACATAGGACAGATGCAAATAGACACCACTATGACAAGTAAAGCTGGAATAATCAATAAATTCCTAAAGCAAAGTGGGGCTGGTGAGATTGGGAGACCGCTGACAGCTGCAGAAGTTGGGAAAGATCCATCATCTTGAAAACTTTTTCCCCACAAACCCACTGCGATCTCTCAAGCAATTGGTAAGGAATCCAAGAGAGTCTGTTTATGACACAGATCAGGGAGAGCAGAACACTTGGGAGGTGACCAGGTCTTGGGGGCCGAGCCCTTATGAATGGGATTAGTGCCTTTATAAAAGAAGCTCAATGGAGTTCTTGTGTGCCTTCCAATATGTGAGGACATAGAAAGAAGGCACCATCTATGAACCAGGAAATTGGCTCTCATCAACACTGAATTTGTGAGCATCTTGGCCTGAGATCTTACAGCCTCAAGAGTTGTGAAAAAAGAAATATCTGTTGTTTTTTAGTCACCCAGTTTATGTTATTTTGTTAAAAGAGTCCAAACAGACCAAGATATCACACTTAATATGTAGGGGAAGGCAAGAAAATCTGCCACACTTAGAATACTCCTGATGCTGGGAGTATGAAAACAGGAAAAACAAAACAAAACTGCTCTTGAAGGTGAAGGAGGAATATCACTGAGCTCACCAACACAGCCAGGAAAAGAACAGAAGTGTGAGAATGCTACATTCCTGAGACCCTGAGAAAAAGTACCTGCATAAGACTGAGATGAAATTACCTACTCTAGTTATGATTGAAATCCCAAAAAGAAAAGAGGGAAAAGTAATGAAGCAAAAGAAATATTTTTCAAAATAACTGCCAAAAATATTCTAAAAGAAGTGACAGAAAATCAAACTTCAAATATAGGAAACTCAGAGAATGTCAAATAGAACAAAAAGAAATAAGAATTACATCTTGAAAAATCTTTAAAAAATCAAGTCTAAATTTTATATCTTGCTCCAAATATTTAGAGATATAAATAGGTTTTCATCAAGATATGGAGAAAGCCATATCATGGAAACACTAAAATAAAGCTGTGGAAGGACTACATTGATATTAGACACAACAGAGTTTGGAACAAGCAATAGTATCAGAGATGAGAGATAATAGATAATAGAATAATCCGTTCTCAAGAAGATGTAAACATCCTACTAATTAGGGTATGCAGCTAACAACAGAACCTCCAAATACATGAGGTAAAACATGAAAGAAATCAAAGGTGAACTAGAAAAATCCAAAATTATATTTGCAGACTTCAACACTTTTGTCTTAGTAATGGAAAGACTAGGCACAAACTCAGTAATCATGTGGAAGATAAGAACAACAATATCACCAACAAGACACCCAATCTTCAATGGCAGATACTCTTTCAAGTGAAAAAAAAAAAAAAAAGTATGGCATATTCTTTAACAAACCCAGAATTTCTAATATTTGCGTTCTTGCTTCCTTCTTTCCGTCTTCCTTTCTCTTCCCTTCCCTTGCTTCTTCCTTCCTTTCTTCTTTTCCTCTTCCTTTTCTTTCCTTTTTGCTTTTCCTTTCTTTTCTTTTTTCTCCTTCCTTCCTTCTTTTCTTCTTTCTTTCTTTCCTCTTATTCTTCCTTCCCTCCTCCCTCACTTCCTTTCTCCCTCCCTTTTCTTCCTTCTTTTCTCATATTCTTTCTTTCTCACGTTCTTGCTTTCTTCCCTTTTTTCTCCCTTCCTCCTGCCCTCCTTTTCTTCCTTCCTCCCTCACTTCCTTTCCTCTTTTTCCTTCCTTTGCCTCTTTATTTTCTTTGTTTCTTTGTCTTCCTCCCTTTTGCCATTCTCTCTTCCTCCTTTCCTTCCTCCTTTCCTTTCTTTCTTTCTTTCTCTCTTTCTCTCTCTCTTTCTCTTTCTTTCTTTCCTTCTTTCTTTCTTGTGTTCATGCTTTCTTTTTTCTCCCTTCCTGCCTTTCTCCCTTCCTCCCTCCCTCCCTTCCTTCCCTCATTTCCTCCTTCTTTTCTTTCTTCTTTATTTCCTTTCTTCCTTCTTTTTCTTTCTTTGTTTTCTTTCTTTCTCTTTACTACAATTCATATTAGTTTAAAAAAATTAAGAGAGGGAAACAGAAAAATAAAGAACGCTTTAATCTGCAGGTAAATAGATTATGTCTGCTGTAGGCAAAAGAATGGCCTCCCAAAAATTTTCATTTCCTAATTCCCAGAGTCTAACATACAAATATGTTAGGTTGCACGGCAGTGTGAAATTAGATTTCAAGTGAAATTAAGGTTGCGGAAAAATGATAGAGAGATTGTCTTAAATGGGTGGGATCAATGAAATCACAAACTTCCTTATAAGTGAAAGAAGAAGGCAGAAGAAAGGCAACCTTGGAGGTGGTGGCATGAGAAATTACTCAACATCACTTACTTTTAAGATACAAGAATGAGGACCCAGCGTGGTGGCTCACGCCTAATCCCAGCACTTTGGGAGGCTGGGGTGGGTTCATCACGAGGTCAGGAGATCGAGACCATCCTGGCTAACATGGTGAAACCCCATCTCTACTAAAAATACAAAAAATTAACTGGGCATGGTGGCAAGTGCCTGTAGTCCAAGCTACTCAGGAAGCTGAGGCAGAAGAATCACTTGAACCTGGGAAGCAGAGGTTGCAGTGAGCTGAGATCGTGCCACTGTACTCCAGCCTGGGTGACAGAAGGAGACTCCATCTCAAAAAAAAAAAAAAAAAAGAAAAATAAGATATAAGAATGAGGTCATGTTCCAAGGAATAAAGGTGGCCTCTGGATGCTGGAAAAAATCAAGTAATAGATTCTGCCACATAGCCCTCAGAAAGACTGCAGCCCTGCCCAAAACTTGATGTTAGCCCTGTGAGTTTCATTTAAGGCTTCTGAACTACAGAACTGTAGGATTAACGGTCACTTTATTGTAAGATATGAAGTTTGTGGTAATTGGTTACAGCAGCAAGAGGAAGTTTATACTGTAATTGTATCATGAAAATGAGAACCATAATTTACAACTGCTTTTAATACTGCACTTGGATGTTTGAAATCACATACATGGAAATGATCTCTATGTGCATGAGGGAGGATAGCAAATTGATGCCAAAATAATGCAAATGCAAATCTTACACTCATTTCTATGTAGTTTTCATTTAATCTTTGAAATTAAAATGAAATTAAAAGATTGTGATATTTTGATGAAATTAGACCGAAATGAACAATAACAAAATAAGAACTTACTTATATTCTTTATATGGTCAATAAAGAAGTGATAGTGGAAAAAAAACAAGATCAAATGAAGGTGATGATTTAGGAAGTTGGAAAGATAGCTGAAACTACAAAATGGTATATAACCAGAGAACACTTAGACACACTGATTGATGAACTTCAGCTTTTGGCTTGGTGAGAGCATAAAATGAGAGCAGCTGAGGTTTGCAAATTTGTAATCTCCTTGTGGAAAAACAGGGGAAAACACATCTCAGCCTAATAAGATTTATCTACTAAAGAGTCTAGACTTGATCCATTTGTCCTTGTAATTCAAAAGCTAATTCAAATACTGATTTGATGTGTGAACAACCATTGCTGATTATCATCGCATACCTGGCATTCTCTTTTATCTGATATCTAAAATATTTGGTAATTCCTGGACTTTCTCTTTTCAAACCCAGTACGGATTAATTTGAGTCTTAGAACAGTTGTCTTTGAGAAATTCTTCCCTCTACTGCATCTGTGAATGGGCATAGCGTGGTTACATACATACTGTCACTCCATAGAACATTTGTTAAATTAAAGCCAAAGTTTAAAGCAAGAGCTTTAACTTACTGGTTTTACTAATGTTTTCCTCCCCAATAGCCACAACAATATTGATACCCTCACACCTTTTAACATAAAGCTTGGTGTTGTCTATTTTTCAGGTGCTGTCATCTATATGATCTCAGTATTTTAAAAATCAGCTTCCAGCCCATGTGGTGGTTCATGCTTGTAATACCAGCAGTTGAAGAGGCTTAAATGAGAGGATTCCTGGAGCCCAGGAGTTCAAAAGCAACCTGGGCAACCTAGCAAGACCCAGTCTCTATCAAAAGTTAAAAAAAAAAAGTGGGCATGGTGATGTGCACCTGTTGTCCTAGCTATTTTGGAGGCCAAGGTGGAAGGATCGCTTGAGCTTGGGAGGCTGAGGCTGCAGTGAGCAGTGATTGCACCACTGCATTCCAGCCTGGGCAACAAAGCAAGACCCTATCTCAAAAAATATATAATAAAAATGAAAATCAGTTCTCATTGATTTCTATGTAAATATGCACAGATGATGTCCATATAGACATAAATAATAATATATCTGACAATGGGTCCTATGATCTTCAAAATCTAAAGTGCCTATCTGTGTAATTGACTGGTTAGTCTCATTAATGAATATAGATTCAATTCTACTTTCTTGTTCTAGATAAATTATATAATCTAGCTTTTCATTTCACTTATTTACTGATAACAACAGGAAGAATGACAAGATATCTATTTTGGAAAATTACTCTGGTAGGAGTAAAGATGAAACAATGATAGAATTGCATGGAAAACTAGAAAAAAGTATGGTCTTCTGATATTCTATCACATCACATACTAAAGGCCTCATAAAACTCAGACATATTATCTAAAAATGTTATTTTCATCATAGGAATGATCAAAGCATGAGACTACAATTGTATTACATTGTGCTTGTATCACAATGTGCTTGTATCACAAGCACAGGTGCTAAAAAGGAGGGGAAAACATCATTACTGATATTTTCAACGTATGTTTTACCCTCCATCAACATGAACTTCAACTTTATATGATGCAGATTGAAGGAAATCACCCATAATTCCATAGAAAGAAGGCCTGTGATATTTTATGGGAAAATAAATAGAGAAAATGCTAACAGAAACCCTATTAAGCATGAAGCTTTATGGAGCAAACACAAATCCAGTGGTGAAAGATACACACTCGAGTTCTGTTTGTTGTCTTGGAACAATACGTTTTAGGGGCGACTGGCGGGTGAGGAGAACATACGCGAGTTCACCAAAAAGAAAAGCTGAATGAGGCAATGCCTCTTCCTGACCATATCTCTTACTCAGATAACTATATAATTTATTGTCCAGTAAAGGGTATACTGAAAAATCATATTAAAAGTCATGGAGTGAAGTTGTCCAGGGAAATCAAGACTTAACAGTCTCACTCTGACAACAATGAACAGGGGGGTTCCCTCGAGATAGACTAGGACATGACCCCACACTGGCAGGTAGTAGTACCAGAAAAGAACCCATGGAAAATCTTTACCTTATGCTAGAGGTAGGGACCAGGCTAAAGTGAAAGCCAGACATAAAATTCTATCTAAAATATATGCACAACTGAAGAAAATATGTGGTGTACAGGCATAGAATGTCTTTACTGGATCATTGAAATAGTAAGATAAATTCAACATTTTACATTGTTTTCTTTTACTGCAGTTAGGGCTTGAGGTTTGTCTCTGGAGAGTGACTGTCAATTGGAGCCCTGCCTTTCTGGGGTTCTGGTCAGGGGGTTGTGGATGCTTAACATGTGCCTTTCATAGGGCACTTCCTTGCCCCAGCAGTGGCCAGGTTTGCATCCCACGACCAGGCCTCCTTCTCACAGAACATCTGTTGAGACTAGGAGATGCCTGGTGACTGTTGCCTGACCTATGTCCTGTGTATTTCTGACAAGAGCCACTCTCAGAGACCCTGGCCAGGAGGAGAGTTAGGTTCCAGTGTAGGTCAGATCAGAGACATGGAGGCCACAGGAACAAACATGGGAAATCACAGAAGTAGGTTTATTACTCACAGATCCAGAGAGAAGAGGGTAGCTGAGAAGAGGGTTTAGCTGTGTCTCCAGCCAAATCTCATCTTGAATTCCCACATGTTGTGGGAGGGAACAGGTGGGAGGAAATTGAATCGTGGGGGCAGGTCTTTCCCATGCTGTTCTTCTGATAGTGAATAAGTCTCACAAGATCTGATGGTTTTACAAAGAGGAGTTTCCCTGCACAAGCTCTCTTTTCTTGTCTGCTGCCATGTGAGACGTGCCTTTCACCTTGCACCATGATTGTGAGGCCTACCCAGCTATGTGGAACTGTGCGTCTATTAAACCTCTTTCTTCTGGAAATTACCCAGTGTTGGGCATATCTTTACTGGTGGTGTGAAAATGGACTAATACAGTAGCACACCTTACAAGGCTGAACAAAATGGGGAAGATGAGTGGGGAGCAGGAGAGAGAAAAGGGTCTGTGGGACTCCAGACTTCATTGGGCCCAGAACATTACCCAAATAAGTTTTCCACGGGGCACTAGTCGGTGGGGTGAGTGCCAGCAGGCACATTTCTTGACTCCCGCTGCAACCGAGCAGGTCACTCTGGCGTGTGGGGGCTGTCCATGTGCACTGTGAGGTCTGTGGGGTGAGTCAGGTAGGTTGTATCCAACGGTTCCATAGCTGGTAGTCACCAGGAGGAGGCAACTGTGTAGGGTCAATATCTGGGCCAGCCACACTGAGGAACTGTGAGGGTTAGAACTGGAAATTGTCAAGGGAATCTGAACCCAGCTACCATATGAGAGAGTTCAACTTATGTTCAATGTGAATGCCATGGCAATATTACAAGGTAAGAATTCGCTCCATACGTGCTTGAGGTAAATAGGAGAAACCTAGAATTTATGTAAACAGTGAGAAGATTGGATGCGTTTTCCATCACATATTTTAATACTAGCAGCATATTATATATGTCAATGCATCAGGCATTCAGAAATACATGCTTATGAAAATTTTTTGCACCATCAGACAAAAGACAAGGGTAGAAGACATTTGTAACCCTATAAACACTAGTAAATTAAAAACAGAAAGACCTTTATGTCCTAACATATCTGTGTTGTGAAAGGCTGCCCTGTGAAATACGGGATTTCTTAAACATATTTTAAAAATCATAGGTGTCAATATTTTTTAGAAATCCATTTAAATTTTCTCTTGCTATTTTACTGCCTATTTATTTATTTAGTGGCTCTGCTGATTTTGATGAATATCCTAAACTTTACATTTTCCTTAAAGGATGTTTTATACAACTTTATGTAAAATGTTTCAGTATCTTCACATTCTCTCCCTGTCCTTTTGTTTTGCTCTTATATGGTGGTTTTGAGTCTTTTTTCTGGCTTTTCAAACCTAGTAAGACTAAGACACTAAAGTAACTTTTCCCGTGGTTTGGTAATGCCTTCTAAAGCACATCCTAAGCTCTCGTGCATACAGCGGTCTCCTTTGAGCTCTGTGCTTTTGAGATCCCATATACCTAAATTCCAGTACTCCAAATCAGTACTGCTCAGTTTTAGTTGCTAAGTTTAAAAGTGTATTTTAAAAGCAAGTTAGTTTAGTGCACTCTTGCTTCTTTCTTGACTGCTTGTATATATGTATATTCCTTTAAATGAATCTTGGAATTTATTTAAAAATTTTAAATTATACTAATGAAACTGTATATTGTTGTGAATTCATAGGTGAATTTGGAAAGAATTTGTCTTTATGATACTAAATCCTTTTAATCCAAGAATCATATGTGCCTTTATATTTATTCCAGTCTATATTTATATCAGAGTAAATATATAGAAATGTAGATACATACAGCTGTAGTTACAGATACAAATATAGATATAACATGTTAAATCTATATCTATCCCATATAACATATATACATGTTATATGTGTGTGTATATATATATGTTTATGTTATTAAAGAGCTCCCTTAAAATTTTTCTTTTCTTTCCTATATAATTTTAGGTCAAGCTTGAATTTTCCTTGTATAAACAAGCAAATATTTATACTAGTTTTAATACTGGTGTTTAGACATACTATCTTATTTTAGCATTGAATATTTTCACAATTATTATAAATATTATCTAATATTAATAATGTACCTGTTAAAAATAGTTAAAATTTACCTTTGAATTATTTTATTGTTGAATTTAAATTCCTTTAATATGATAGTAAATTTCTATTTTATGCTTTCTCTATGCATATACAAATTAATCTATCCACTTCTCTATCTCTATGTAGTAACACATGAAAATCAGGCCTCTCTTCTTTTAGTGGACATACACATATTTGCATATAGAATATCAGACTCTTTAGAGCATTTAAAATCTTTAAAGTCATGAATATTGCCTTTTAATAAATATATTTTAGCATGTACTGAGAATCCCCTATTTATTTTTAATTTGTGCTAATCAACATGATTATTAATATTATTGGATTACCAAATTTGGAAACACACTTTCATCTCCAAGGTGGATATTTGTTTTATTTTTTGCCAATTTCTTGTCTTACTCTTTCAAATATTGTTGGATATTATTTTTATTTTATTTGGCATTTTAGTATCAACATTGGTAATTGATGTACTCTACATATTTTTTCTTCGATATCTGGTGGGTTTTATAATTACTGCTATATTGGATTTGTAGTAGACATTGACAAAAATTATTCCTGTATGTTTTATAGCTGTATGAAGGAAACTAATATATTTTACCCCTAAATATATTTCCTTGATATATTTCAAAATGGCTATTGAGAAGGGCTGGAAATGCTAACATAGCTGCAAAGCTGTCTTGGGGAGATTTGCATTGGTAGAGAATCTGCCTTGATGCAGCCAGGCTTTCTCTGAGGTCTGCCCCCTTGTCTGGATCTAGGAAAGGTTAACTGAGAGTCTGAGGTCTCCAAAGGTCTGAAAGAAACATTTTCTGTCCATTCTCTCTGAGGACTGCTCCCAGTGAGGTTCCACCTATGTAATAAGTCCACTCTTGCTAGCCAGGGTCGTTTTCTCACATAACCTTTTTTTTTTTTCCCTGTGATCCAAGACCCCATTCTTTCTGTAAACTTCATGTGGTAGATAAGCTTCTGCACGCATCGTGTGTCTGGGTCTTCGTTCTAAGGGCTCCAGTGTACACACATTGCAGAAACCTGTATGCCTTTTCTACTATGTATCTGCCTCCTATTAGTGATTTTCAGGGAAACTTCAGAAGGCAAAAGGGACATTCTCCTTTAGCCCATTCTCAGACAAAATCCCCCAACATTTAACTGATTCCTAATAGCTTAAAATAACTTTGAAAAATCCATATATTTATAACCTTTTCTTGGGTTTTGTTTTTCATTCCATTTACTTCATCCTCGAAAAGATCTATTTTACGTCTATTTATTCTCATTTATGGACATTGAGAAAAGAAAATAACTTTCATGTGAGAAATGCAAGTCCTTTTAAATAATCAGGCCCAGAGAGATATTCAAATGAGACAGCAGTTCTGTCCTGCTCCTCTTTGAGCTGTGTGTTCATCTAGGCTGCTTGCTGTTGCCACAGTAGCTATAAATTAACCAATAACGCCACACCAGACACTATAATCCACACCCAATAATAGTGTAACAGTGTATAGCCAGTCACTAATAAATGTTATTTCCATAAGCCAATGAGAATTTGTGACAAACCTCTTTGGATCATCCCACTTCTGGACCCTTTTTTGCCTTTAAGAAACTGCTTGTTGCAAAGCTCCAAAGGGAGTTCATATCCAAGGATACTTGGGTCTGTTTCTTCCAGGCAGCTGTCCTCATCGTGGCTCAAGTAAAATCTTTGAATTACGTTGTGTGCTTCAGCCCCTTCCACTTAGATTAACAACATGGATTTGTGTCACCATGTACGGCAATTAAAATGTTCACACTTTTCCCCTCGAGGGCACTGATGTGTTTTCCTGAGCACTTGGAATAGCTACGTAGTGTTTACTGTCTAGATTATGGTTTCTCAACCTTGGTGCTACTCACCTTTAGGACCAGAGGATTCTTTGTTGTGGGAGGCTTCCCTAGCAATGCTAGGTGTTTCGTTTGACCTCTACATTTCACACCTCCACCAGTCTTGACATCCCCACAATAACCCTAGACATTGACAAATGTCTCCTGGGGAAAACTCTCCACAAGTTGACAGTCAAAGTTCTGGAAATATTGGAACTGTCAATTGAGATTTTATGTTATCCAAAACAAATATTTTTCTTTGTTTTTAAACATCTACTTCCATCTACTTATCTACTTATTTTTACTTTTATTTGTAACTTAATTCCATGAAGGAGAGAGAGTGCATTTTCTGTTATGCTAAATTTTTGAAGAATGTATTGATTTTTTCTGACCTGATATATGGATGATATGTAGATAGTACATGTTTGTATTATCAAATTTCAGGACGATAATAAAATAAATACTTATAATATTTATATTGTCACTGTATATTAGTTATTTTCTTTCTTCACTACAGGAGTTTTTCAACCTATAGGCTATTTTTCAATTCTAGGTTATCCAGTAGATTTTGAAATGTTATGATTAATTATCTACTTCTCAAGCATTCATCTTTGCAAATGAAACAATCCCAAGCTCTTATAATGCACATCATATAAAGGGCAGATTAGTCAATATATGGTTCAGAAATAATTATGTAATATTTATAAGAAAATTACAAATTTAGATCCTTAATTCAGATAACAATAATCCAAATTAAAATTTGATTTCATTACATAATGTAAAATGACACCAGAATACTAGTAAAAATGTAGATAAGTTTATATAATCTTTTTCAGCTGTAGGACTTCATTAGCATAAATTCAAATACAGGAATCAAAGTAAGATTGAGACCTATTGTCGAAGGTTAAAATGTACACATTATAGGGGCATGATTAAACTAATTTAAAGCATAATATCATGGAGAAATATTGCAAAACATACATTTTACTGAATTAATTGTTAATATCTAATCATTATGTGAGAACAAAATTAAAGAGTAGCTACACATCCACACACCGACACACAAGTGCAATATTGTCAAATAAAAGATGTGCAGCTACACTAGAAATCACACCTGTGTTTTCTTCACAGAAGAGTAAAGATTAAAAATCACAATAATATTTATTGTACATATGGAGGTAAAGATACTCAAAATATTACCCTAAAATACATTTTTTTTGAGATGGAGTTTTGCTTTTATTGCCCAGGCTGAAGTGCAATGGCACAATCTTGGCTCACTGCAACCTCAGCCTCCCAGGGTCAAGTAATTCTCCTAGCTCAGCCTCCCAAGTAGCTGAGATTACAGGCATGCACCACCACACTTGGCTAATTTTTTGTATTTAGTAGAGACGGGGTTTCCCTATGTTGGTCAGGCTGGTCTCCAACTCCTGACTTCAGGTGATCTACCCACTTCAGTCTCCCAAAATGCTGGGACTACAGGTGTTCGCCTGGGCAGCTTTTTGACGTATTTCAAGATGGCTGCTCGGAAGACTGGAGGTAGAGAAAATCTGCATTGATATAGACAGGCTTTCCCTGAGATACTCCCTTGTCTGGGTTTAGGAAAGATTAACTGAGCCTGGCACGTTTATATTTCTAAAAACCATTTCCAAAAACCATTTCCTATCTATACTTCCCAAGGGAGGGCTGCTCCCTGTGAGGTTTCATCCATGTAACAAGACCACCTCTGCTGCCAGACTCCTCTTTCTTCCTTGTCGTCACCTGTCTTCCGCAAAGCCTGATTTACCAACCTACAGCTCTGTGTTTTCTGTAACCTCAAGACAGCATAGGCCTGTTGACTACCTTGCCTTTCCTGGAGTTTTTATATATATAGTATATATTTGTATATCTATTTATAATATACAAATATTTGTATAGATATATTTATATATATTATGTAAACTCCAAGTGCATACTTGTGCACATATCTGTAAACCTTTTTTTCCTGTTAATTTGTACATTATCAGTTTGTTTTATAGACTCAAATAATTAAAGCTTCAAGGGAAAAATTTAAAATTTCCTATAGAGAAAAGACAAATATGTAGGTGACAAATAATATTTAGAGTGTAAGACTCTTTTTAAAGGTATATTTGCAATTTGTGTCAAAACATTTAAATATACATTTGTTATTTTAACTATAAAATTTCAAATAATTTAAGCCAAATACATAGTATATGCAGAAAATTTAGCAATATATCTATGTAGCACCTTACTGTGCATTACTGTAACCAGCCATCTAATATAAAGAATTAATTAAGGTAGCACCTACTTTTCAAATAGCGCATTTTTTCACAGACCTATTAAATGAGACAAATAACATTTAGACTTTACTTTTAAATGTGCAGAATAGTAGTTTTCAGCAGATGGTTTATTTTAGCAAATTCCATCTTCACATTGTGCTATGCTTTTATGAGTTCCAGCTGTTAACGGATACTATTTTACTGCTGAAACTATCATGTGTGATGTAATTGCTCATCATGTGCCTTAAAACACAAGGAATATAATTATTTTCAACTTGGAGCAAATTAAAATCTTATCAACAATTTAAAAACTCTAGAGTCGTCTTCTTCTGGTTAATTGTTTTAAACTTGTATTTTTCTCTTTATGTTTTTAGTGAGTTGTCTTATCAAGGAGAAGAACTCAAGCTGCTTATTCTTTTTTTTCTCTTCCATCCACCTCGCAGGTGTGTTAATAATTTCATTTCTCAGAAAATGTTCTTTCATATCCATCTTACAAGATGAGAGACCTTTTAACATCTTCCATTCGGATGTGATACCAGTAATGGAAAATATTCCAGCTTCATGAATATGGTGATACAAATAGTTATCCGTCTAACCTCTTTCAGTGCCAAATGTTTACTTAACTCAGTGAATTACTCAGTTGACTGGTAATTTCTTCTGAAATTGCTAATGAGAGGATCAGAGGTCTGGCTGTTGTCTGTACCTCATATGACTCCCAGTGCAGACAATTGTTTCTATGGAGCACAGACAGTTGAAAGGACTGACTTCCTGCCTGGAATAGTTTCTGCTGTGCTTCTTATCCTTCTTGTGGAGATTTCAGATTATCTGAATTGCTTTTCTAACTTAAGAAAAAACGCAACAATTCTCCCACATGAGAGGAATGTAAACTGTAGTAAGTTAGCAGAACCAATCCGTAAAGTTTTTACATTGTTTGTTGCAAAATGCAGCGCTGGTGTCTCCATCACTAACCTTTTCTATCCCTCAATGCTCTTTCTTTGACTGCAACAGGATACCTCTAGGCAAATCTGTATTCCCGAGACAGAGTGCCCTTTTGGTGAGCTATAAGCACACTCAATGGTAGGCTGAAATACTAGCTTTTATCTATGGCGAAATGGAATCATATCGGTGATTTTTTTTAAAAGGAAATTTAACTCTTGCTATGGTTTGAATGCTTGCCCCTTCCAATCTCAGGTTAAAATTTGATCCCCAATGTTGCTGGTGGGGCTTACTGGGAGGTGTTTGGTCATGAGGTTCGACCTTCATGAATGGATAATACCCTCCCTTAGGAATCTAAAGCTATCCTCCCTCCTCGGTGCCCTCAGGAATGAGTGTACCATTCTTTATTCACCTGTAATTGCCCCACCCATCCTTTTTGAGATATTAATTACATGTATGTTACACTGCTGCATATTGTCTGACGTATCAGTGAGTTTCTGGCTTTCTTATTTTAGTTTACCCTTTGTCCTTTAGTTTGTAAAGCTTCTATTTTGTTCTATAAATATTCTGATGTTAGGGTAAAATCCATTACTTATTCTATCTCATGGAATTTTTATTTAAAATATTTATTTTTCATCTATACATGCCCCATTTTTCATTTTATAACTTCTATTTTTCTCCTATGTTCAATTTTCATTTAAGTACCTTGACATATATATGTATTTATCTATATGTATTTATAAAATATATTTACTTTAAGGACCTTGAAATTTCCTTCTTTTCTGTCATTTATAAATGACTTATTTTTATCCTGTTAATATATATCTTAATTATATATATCTTACGGCTTCTTTGCATGTCAGAGTTTTTTTTGGGGGGGGGTATTTTGGTGTTATGCTATTGAATATCTAGATTTGATTGGCTACCTTTGAACAATGTTGTGGCAGGCAGTTCAGTAACTTCAGGATGAGTATTTTTCTGTTGTTGCTTTAAATCTCCTCTTTAAAATTTGTTGAGTTAGTCTAGAGCCATCTGTAATTTGGAGCTAAATGAGCACTGTCACTAGGGCATGAACCTCCAGTGGTCTTTACTGAATATCCTGGAGGTACAGAGGGGATTCCCATCTCTGGCTGGTCACAACTAACGTGTCTTCCTGTCATGTGATGCCAGGGAAGTGTTCTTCTTCCAACTCCCTGGTAGAGTCTTTTGCTGAGCTCCTTAGAATTTCATCCTATGTACATTTGGCTTAGGGACTTGGGAGAATCCTTAGGCTGATTCTTGGTTCCTTTTTCTGTAAACGTTCTCTTCTACTACACATTCCAGCTACTTAACCTTTTTTGATTTTTATCTGGTTCCTCAGTGCAATGACAATGTCTGCTGTCTCTGGGATTCTTCTCTACTGCTGTCACGGAGAATCTGGGAATAATGCAGGACTCATTCTGGCTCCTTCTCTTCTCTTGCAGAGCACAGTCCTGCGCTGCCGATGTTCAGTACTTCAAAAAAATGTTTCATATATTTTGTCCTGTTTACTATTCTTTAACTCTAAAAGAGTAACTCCAGTCCAAGTTACAGCATCATGTTCTGTAACTCTACTCCTTGTTGCTTCATTCTGCCATTGTCTGGTATGATCTCCCCTTTCCCTTCTGTAATCAGGCCAAGAGCATAATATAATACTAGTTAAAACTGCACAGCTTGCCTCCGTTGTGTAAAAAAATCACTGAGACTTAACTGTGTCCAACTTTTAAAATGTGAATATAAGTACAACTAAAGCTATATTTTGGTTAATATTTGCATTGCATGCTTTTCCATTATTTACTTTCAACATATGTGAAATATGAATATAAATTATAAAAACTTTAAGAGAGTCCATTTAAAAAATCTGGTCTGGTTATATTTTACCTGGTTTAATACAACGTGTATTCTTGGATTCAGGGTCTAATATAATTGGTCCATTTGTCTATTTGCAAAAAAAAAAAAAAAAAAAAAACTTGACAATATTTTAAAATTAATTTATCCAACTCACAACTTATATGCTTCTGCCATTGTACGGAAGACATATTTTAAACTTTATGAGATAGCATTCTGTTATACAGTCGATATCCAATTAAATTTCTCTCTATGTTTATTTCTTTCATTAAAAAAATTGTTCTTCTAAATGCAAATTTTCATCAGGGATCATGGCTCTTCTCCCTGAAGAATAATGTTTAGTATTTCTTTTCCTGTGTGTCTGCTTGGGAGAAATTCTTTATTGTATCTTTGTTTTGATGGATATGTCCACCAAGTAGACAGTTCTAGGTCAGCACTTATTTTATTTCAGGACTTGAAAGATATCAGTACCTCACTTGTTGGCTTTCGTTGTTTCATTTGAGAAAGTTGTTATCAGTCAACTCTTTCTCTTTGTAGTTAGTCCAATTTTTTTTTTATCAAGTGCTCTTTACATTTTTCTTTTACTTTTCAGAAATTGCCCCATTATGTTTCTAGATGTGTCCTCTGTGTGTGTTTTCCTTTGCTTTGAAAAGTCTCCTGAACCTGAGGTTTAATATTATTGGTCAATTTTGATAAAACCTCTAACATTGCCACTTAAAATGCTGTTCAGACAAGCTGTTTTCTCCTTCTTAGATTTCAACGTGTTAGATTATTACTCTATCCTTCATATTTTTTAAATGACCTTTCTCTACTATTTTTTTAAGTTGGTTAATGTGTATTAGTGTATATTTTGTTTTTTTATTTTATTTTATTTTATTATTATACCTTAAGTTTTAGGATAAATGTACACAATGTGCAGGTGTTTAACATAAGGGTTCATGTGCCATGTTGGTGTGCTGCACCCATTAACTCGTCATTTAGCATTAGGTATATCTCCTAATGCTATCCCTCCCCACTCCCCCCACCCCACAACAGTCCCCGAAGTGTGATGTACCCCTTCCTGTGTCCGTGTGTTCTCATTGTTCAATACCCACCTATGAATGAGAACATGTGGTGTTTGGTTTTTTCTCCTTGCGAGAGTTTACTGAGAATGATGATTTCCAGTTTCATCCATGTCCCTACATAGGACATGAACTCATCATTTTTTATGGCTGCATAGTACTCCATGGTGTATATGTGCCACATTTTCTTAATCCAGTCTATCGTTGTTGGACATTTGGGATGGTTCCAAGTCTTTGCTATTCTGAATACTGCCGCAATAAACATATGTGTGCATGTGTCTTTATTGCAGCATGATTCATAGTCCTTTGTGTATATACCCAGTAATGGAATGGCTGGGTCACATGGTATTTCTAGTTCTAGTTACCTGAGGAATCGCCACACTGACTTCCACAATGTTTGAACTAGTTTACAGTCCCACCAACAGTGTAAAATTGTTCCTATTTCTCCACTTGCTCTCCAGCACCTGCCGTTTCCTGACTTTTTAATGATCGCCATTCTAACTGGTGTGAGATGGTATCTCATTGTGGTTTTGATTTGCATTTCTCTGATGGCCAGTGATTATGAGCATTTTTTCATGTGTTTTTTGGCTGCATAAATGTCTTCTTTTGAGAAGTGTCTGTTCGTGTTCTTCACCAACTTTTTGATGGGGTTGTTTGTTTTTTACTTGTAAATTTGTTTGAGTTCATTGTGGATTCTGGTTATTAGCCCTTTGTCAGATGAGTAAGTTGCAAAAATTTTCTCCCATTTTGTAGGTTGCCTGTTCACTCTGATGGTAATTTCTTTTACTGTGCAGAAGCTCTTTAGTTTAATTAGATCCCATTTGTCAATTTTGGCTTTTGTTCCCATTGCTTTTGGTGTTTTAGACATGAAGTCCTTGCTCACGCCTATGTCCTGAACGGTATTGCTTAGGTTGTCTTCTAGGGTTTTTATGGTTTTAGGTCTAACATGTAAGTCTTTGATCCAACTTGAATTAATTTTTGCATAAGGTGTAAGGAAGGGATCCAGTTTCAGCTTTCTACATATGGCTAGCCAGTTTTCCCAGCACCATTTATTAAATAGGGAATCCTTTCCCCATTTCTTGTTTTTCTCAGGTTTGTCAAAGATCAGACAGTTGTAGTTATGCGGCATTATTTCTGAGGGCTCCGTTCTGTTCCATTGATCTATGTCTGTGTTTTTGTACCAGTAACATGCTGTTTTGGTTACTGTAGCCTTGTAGTATAGTTTGAAATCAGGTAGCGTGATGCTTTGTTCCTTTGGCTTAGGATTGACTTGGCAATGCGGGCTCTTTTTTGGTTCCATATGTACTTTAAAGACGTTTTTTCAAATTCTGTGAAGAAAGTCATTGGTAGGTTGATGGGTATGGCATTGAATCTATAAATTACCTTGGGCAGTATGGCCATTTTCACGATATTGATTCTTCCAACCCATGAGCATGGAATGTCCTTCCATTTGTTTGTATCCTCTTTTATTTCATTGAGCAGTGGTTTGTAGTTCTCCTTGGAGATGTCCGTCATGTCCCTTGTAAGTTGGGTTCCTAGGTATTTTATTCTCTTTGAAGCAATTGTGAATGGGAGTTCCCTCATGATTGGGCACTCTGTTTGTCTGTTATTGATGTACAAGAATGCTTGTAATTTTTGTACATTGATTTTGTATCCTGAGACTTTGCTGGAGTTGCTTATCAGCTTAAGGAGGTTTTGTGCCGAGACAATGGGGTATTCTAGATATACAATCATGTCATCTGCAAACAGGGACAATTTTACTTCCTCTTCTCCTAATTGAATACCCTTTGTTTCCTTCTCCTGCCTGATTGCCCTGGCCAGAACTTCCAACACTATGTTGAATAGGAGCGGTGACAGAGGATATCCCTGTCGTGTGCCAGTTTTCAAAAGGAATGCTTCCAGTTTTTGCCCATTCAGTATGATATTGGCTGTGGGTGTGTCATAGATAGCTCTTATTATTTTGAGATACTTCCCATCAATACCTAATTTATTGAGAATTCTTAGCATGAAGGGCTGTTGAATTTTGTCAAAGGCCTTTTCTTCTTCTATTGAGATAATCATGTGGTTTTTGTCTTTGGTTAGGTTTATATGCTGGATTACGTTTATTGATTTGCATATGTGGAACCAGCCTTGCATCCCAGGGATGAAGCCCACTTCATCATGGTGGATAAGCTTTTTGATGTGCTGCTGGATTCGGTTTGCAGGATTTTATTGACGATTTTTGCATCAATGTTCATGAAGGATATTGGTCTAAAATTCTCTTTTTTGGTTGTGTCTCTGCCCGGCTTTGGTATCAGGATGATGCTGGCCTCATAAAATTAGTTAGAGAGGAATCCCTCTTTTTCTATTGACTGGAATAGTTTCAGAAGGAATGGTACCAGTTCCTCCTTGTACCTCTGGTAGAATTCGGCTGTGAATCCATCTGGTCCTGGACTCTTTTTGGTTGGTAACCTATTGATTATTGCCACAATTTCAGAGCCTGTTATTGGTCTATTCAGAGATTCAACTTCTTCCTTGTTTAGTCTTGGGAGACTGTATGTGTCAAGGAATTTATCCATTTCTTCTAGATTTTCTAGTTTATTTGCATAGAGGTGTTTGTAGTTGTCTGTGATTGTAGATTGTATTTCTGTGGGATCGGTGGTGATAACCCCTTTATCATTTTTTGTTGCATCTATTTGATTCTTCTCTCTTTTCTTCTTTATTAGTCTTCCTAGTGGTCTATCAATTTTGTTGATCTTTTCAAAAAAACAGCTCCTGGATTCATTAATTTTTTGAAGGGTTTTTTGTGTCTCTATTTCCTTCAGTTCTGCCCTGATTTTAGTTATTTCTTGCCTTCTGCTAGCTTTTGAATGTGTTTGCTCTTGCTTTTCAAGTTCTTTTAATTGTGATGTTAGAGTGTCAATTTTGGATCTTTCCTGCTTTCTCTTGTGGGCATTTAGTGCTATAACTTTCCCTCTACACACTGCTTTGAGTGTGTCCCAGAGATTCTGGTATGTTTTGTCTTTGTTCTCGTTGGTTTCAAAGAACATCTTTATTTCTGCCTTCATTTTGTTATGTACCCAGTGGTCATTCCGGAGCAGGTTGTTCATTTTCCATATAGTTGAGCGGTTTTGAGTGAGTTTCTTGATCCTGAGTTCTAGTTTGATTGCACTGTGGTGTCAGAGACAGTTTGTTATAATTTCTGTTCTTTTACATTTGCTGAGGAGAGCTTTACTTCCAACTATGTGATCAAGTTCGGAATGGGTGTGGTGTGGTGCTGAAAAAAATGTATATTCTGTTGATTTGGGGTGGAGAGTTCCATAGATGTCTATTAGGTGCGCTTGGTGCAGAGCTGAGTTCAATTCCTGGGTGTCCTTGCTAACTTTCTGCCTCGTTGATCTGTCTAATGTTGACAGTGGCGTGATAAAATCTCCCCTTATGATTGTGGGGGAGTCTAAGTCTCTTTGTAGGTCACTCAGGACTTGCTTTATGAATCTGGGTGCTCCTGTTTTGGGTGCATATATATTTAGGATAGTTAGCTCTTCTTGTTGAATTGATCCCTTTACCATTATGTAATGGCCTTCTTTGTCTCTTTTGATCTTTTTTGGTTTAAAGTCTGCTTTATCAGAGACTAGGATTGCAACCCCTGCCTTTTTTTGTTTTCCATTTGCTTGGTAGATCTTCCTCCATTGCTTTATTTTGAGTCTATGTGTGTCTCTGCATGTGAGATGGGTTTCCTGAATACAGCACACTGATGGGTCTTGTCTTCTTATCCAATTTGCCAGTCTGTGTCTTTTAATTGGAGCATTTAGCCCATTTACATTTAAAATTAATATTGTTATGTGTGAATTTGATCCTGTCATTATGATGTTAGCTGGTTATTTTGCTCGTTAGTTGATGCAGTTTCTTCCTAGTCTTGATGGTCTTTACAATTTGGCATGTTTTCGCAGTGGCTGGTACCAGTTGTTCCTTTCCATGTTTAGTGCTTCCTTCAGGAGCTCTTTTAGGGCAGGCCTGGTGGTGATAAAATTTCTGAGCATTTGCTTGTCTGTAAAGGATTTTATTTCTCCTTCACTTATGAAGCTTAGTTTGGCTGGATATGAAATTCTGGGTTGAAAATTACTTTCTTTAAGAATGTTGAATATTGGCCCCCACTCTCTTCTGGCTTGAAGAGTTTCTGCTGAGAGATCAGCTGTTAGTCTGATGAGCTTCCCTTTGTGGGTAACCGGACCTTTCTCTCTGGCTGCCCTTAACATTTTTTCCTTCATTTCATCTTTGGTGAATTTGACAATTATGTGTCTTGGAGTTCCTCTTCTTAAGGAGTATCCTTGTGGCGTTCTCTGTGTTTCCTGAATCTGAATGTTGGCCTGCCTTACTAGATTGGGGAAGTCCTCCTGGATAATATCTTGCAGAGTGTTTTCCAACTTAGTTCCATTCTCCCCGTCACTTTCAGCTACACCAATCAGACGTAGGTTTGGTCTTTTCACATAGTCCCATAATTCCTGGAGGCTTTGTTCATTTCTTCTTATTCTTTTTTCTCTAAACTTCCCTTCTCCCTTCATTTCATTCATTTCATCTTCCATCACTGATACCTTTTCTTCCAGTTGATTGCATTGGCTCCTGAGGCTTCTGCCTTCTTCACGTAGTTCTCGAAACTTGGCTTTCAGCTCCATCAGATCCTTTAAGCATTTGTCTGCATTGGTTATTCCAGTTATACACTCGTCTAATTGTTTTTCAAAGTTTTTAACTTCTTTGCTATTGGTTTGAATTTCCTCCTGTAGCTCACAGTAGTTTGATCATCTGAAGCCTTCTTCTCTCAAATCATCAAAGTTATTCTCTGTCCAGTTTTGTTGCTGGTGAGGAACTGCGTTCCTTTGGAGAAGGAGAGGCACTCTGCTTTTTAGAGTTTCCAGTTTTTCTGTTTTCTCCCTATCTTTGTGGTTTTATCAACTTTTGGTCTTTGATGATGGTGATGTACAGATGGGTTTTTGGTGTGGGTGTCCTTTCTGTTTGTCAGTTTTCCTTCTAACAGACACGACCCTCAGCTGCAGGTCTGTTGGAGTTTTCTAGAGGTCCACGCCAGATCCTGTTTGCCTGGGTATCAGCAGCGGTGGCTGCAGAACAGCGGATTTTCGTGAATCACAAATTCAGCTGTCTGATCATTCCTCTGGAAGTTTGGTCTCAGAGGACTACCCGGCCGAGTGAGGTGTCAGTCTGTCCCTACTCGAGGGTGCCTCCCAGTTGGGCTGCTTGGGGTTCAGTGACCCACTTTAGGAGGCAGTCTGCCCATTCTCAGATCTCCAGTTGCGTGCTGGGAGAACCACTACTCTCTTCAAAGTTGTCAGACAGGGACATTTAAGTCTGCAGAGGTTACTGCTGACTTTTTGTGTGTCTGTGCCCTGCCCCCAGAGGTGGAGCCTACAGAGGCAGGCAGGCCTCCTGGAGCTGTTGTGGGCTCCACCCAGTTCCAGCTGCCTGGCTGCTTTGTTTACCTAAGAAAGCCTGGGCAATGGCGGGTCCCACTCCACCAGCCTCGCTGCTGCCTTGCAGTTTGATCTCAGAGTGCTGTGCTAGCAATCAGCAAGACTCCATTGGCATAAGACCCTCTGAGCCAGGTGCGGGACACAATCTCCTGGTGTGCTGTTTTCCAAGCCTGTTGGAAAAGTACAGTATTAGGTTGAGAGTGACCCTATTTTCCAGGTGCAGTCTGTCACCCCTTTCTTTGACTAGGAAAGGGAACTCCCTGACCCCTTGTGCTTTCTGAGTGAGGCAATGCCTCGCCCTGCTTCGGCTCCCACATGGTGCACTGCATCCACTGTCCTGCACCCACTGTTTGGCACTCCCTTAGTGAGATGAACCCGGTACCTCAGATGGAAATGCAGAAATCACCCGTCTTCTGCGTCGCTCATGCTGGGAGCTGTAGACCAGAGCTGTTCCTATTCAGCCATCTTGGCTCCACCCCTCATTTCATTATTTCATCATTTCACTTCATTTTGTCATTTCATTTCATCATTTCATACCATTTCTTCATTTCATCATTTCATCTTTTCATTTCATTTCATCATTTCATTTCATTTCACCATTTCACTTCATCATTTCATTTCAGCATTTCATTTCATTTCCTCATTTCATTTCACCATTTCATTTCATCATTTCATTTCATCATTCCATTTCATCATTTCATCTTTTCATATCATTTCATCATTTCATTTCATTTCATTTCACCATTTCACTTCATCATTTCATTTCAGCATTTCATTTCATTTCCTCATTTCATTTCACCATTTCATTTCATCATTTCATTTCATCATTCCATTTCATCATTTCATCATTTCATTTCATTTCAGCATTTCATTTCATTTCACCATTTCATCTCATCTCATCATTTCATTTCATTTCATCATTTTGTCATTTCATTTCATTTCTTCATTTCATCATTTCGTTTCATCATTTCATCATTTCATTTCATTTCATGTCATCATTTCATCATTTCATTTCATTTCAGTGATACATGTATTTAAGTGCTAATGTGATGCCCAGGAGACACCCTATTTCCCTTTGTAAAACACCTCCTTCAACAGAAGTCAACCTCTCATGGCTGGCTAAGTCTACAGGGATACCAGCCTCTCTTCAACCACCCAATTTGATTCAGAACCTCAAACAGCACCTCAGTTTCATAAAAACCTAAAACATAAACACAACACTTGGTTGTAAGTGAGCCAACAGTTTCTTGTCTCTTTCTCTGCTCAAGGCTTAAGGCCGTGTCTACCCAACTATGTTCAGTGGAAGAAAAGATCCCCTGGACAAATAAGTTTGAGAACTGTTTTTGCAGGACTTCTCAGAACCTTTAAAACACAAATCGTCATCCGCAGGGATCTTCAGGAGGGAGATGGCTGATGCAGCACAAATTTCTTTCACAGGAGTATCTTGCAGAATACAGTATGAGACGCACAAAGGCTGCATTGAGTCTTTTTAAGGGACTGGGCCTTTGTGGCATTGGGGTAGGAGCTCTCCAGATAGCATCTAATGAGTAGAAACATTCAGGTTGCTTTTTTTTTCCTTACTGGCAAAACTGTGTGTGCATCATGAATGAAGCCGGTCTCCCTTATCCATATCAAAACTAAACCCCAATTAATTGGCTAAATTGGGACTCAACACCTCCAGGAGCCATGCGGAAGAAAGCCCCACCACACTTTAAAGTAGCTTACCTCATATTTGATGAAAGCAAAACGCTTATGACCAGTGTGCTGCTAATACAAGTCAACAGATAATGCTGTATGAAAAATTATTTTTCCCAATCATAGCTAGCATAGTCCACATTTTGCATTATACTTTCCCCCCCTTTTTTTAAATTTTAAACACTGGTCCTTTTCTTTCCTTTTTTTAAATATTAATTTAATTATACAAGACAGAGTCTCAGTATGTTGCCAAGGCTGGTCTTCAACTCCTGAGCTCAAGCGATACATCCGTCTCTGCCTCCCAAAGTGCTGAGATTACAGGCCTGAGACACTGTGCCTGGCCTTAAACACAAATCTTAATTCATTCTTACAATTATCCTGAGGTTAGAAAAATGGAAGGGGAAGAAAAATGGCAAGCAGGTAGGCTGACTTCGGCTTCATTATTTGGAAGGACAGTTTGCTCCATTAAAACACACTGCTGCCCACAAAAGCCAAGACAACAGAAACATACAGACATATAAATAGATTTTATATGTGACAGCGGTTTGAATGGAAACTTTTTCAATACAAATGACAAACAGCTGTCCTTGGGAATAAATGACAACGAATTTTTTTATCTCAACACCTGTCCTGAGAGCACGTCTCTACATCTCTACCTGCATTCTGGAGTCAGGGAGAAAGTCAAAACGGACGACAAGACACTAGATCAGCTGTGTCCAACCCTTTGACTACAAGGACTTTTCAGCCTATCTGTGGTGGTGGGTATCATGAAAATTATGCACAAACCTTTTTTTCTTTAAGCTCCTCAGCTATCATTAGCAGTAGTGTATTTTATCTGTGGCCCAGGAGCATTCTTCTTCCAATGTGGCCCTGAGAAGCCAAAAGACTGGACACCTGTGCACTAGATCAAAAGGCTACTCCTTCTGGAAGCAATTGTAAAGAATTTCTGACATTATCTTGACATGAAAACCAATCGATAGTGAGACAGAATGCAAAATCTTCAAGAATTTTTCTTGTTGGTTTTTCTTTTTTGAGTCAAGGTGTTGCGTGTGGCCCAGGCTGGAATACACTGGTGAGATCACAGCTCAGTGCAGGCTCAAGTGCTCCTCCCTCCTCAGCCACAGTAGTAGGTAGGACTACAGATGTGCACAACCACCCCTGGCTACTATTTTTTTTTTTTTTTTGTAGAGACGGGGTCTCACTATGTTGTCCAGATTGGTCTCAAACTCCTTGACTCAAGTGATCCAGGACAGGATAACAGGCGTGAGCCACCACACCTGGCCATGTGCATGAACTTTTAAGACAAACACAGGGCCCCACAAAAGTTAAGGTTTTCCCACCTAATTTCCAGGAGATCTTTTGGTGCAAGGATGAGAAACCCTTAAAAGTACACAGAAAACTCCAAAGATTCAAGAGAGTTCATTCGGGCTGAGCCAGCCCACTGGGCAGACTGACCTTCAAACAAGGCCCACCCATGACATACACCAGATGGCTCTCCAAGAATCTCTCTAGTTCTCAGGGTCCCTAAGGTACTGGACAGAGCTAGGGAGGCAAACCCATTTGCTTCTTCCTGCAGGAAACCCCTTGAGGTCAAGACCCCACAATCAGACGAGGATGGAGTGGCTCACCCTCAGTCAACAGGCCAGACTCAAGGTGTTATAATGTCTTAACCAAGGGTGCGGGCCTCCAGGTCTGACTCCCAACTCACTGCTCCTTTAGTAACCACTCTTTGTTAATTCTCCTTAACAGGGGTTCCTGGCAAGTCATTTCTCCCTCAGGCCTTCGGTTTCCTCACCTACAAGATGAGAGGGCTGGACCAGATGGCAATTCGGGAGGTAAGGGGATGTCCGCGTGCAGCCCACCCCGCCCATGGGCCCCTCGAGCATCCATCACAGTTCCCAACACGCAACCGCTCCACAAATCCTGCCCAAGGTGAGGGCTGGTCCCAGGTCCTCCGGCTGCCGCATCAGCGAGTGCAGGAGGGAGGAGAAGCCTCCAAAGGGGCGACGTGGGCTCAAGGATGCAACTCGGCCAGGAGTGAACTGGGGCCCAGATGGAGGTGTCCAGTCTGGTGCTGGAGCCCAGCCCTGGTCCCTGACCCCCTTACCTCCAGGGTCCGTATCTCCTGCTGGGTGAGGTCCTTGGACACAGCGCACTTGGTGCGCAGCCCGCGCAGGCTGCCAATGGAGATGCCGATGAGCTTCTGGAGCTGCCCGCACTGCTGCAGCGCCCGGCTGGCCGCGGCCCCTGTGCCTCCCTACGCGATAGCCGCGTCACCCCCGCCACTGCCCTCCTTCTTCTCTCCCATTGCAGCCGAGCGCAGCGCCGCTCTATGCGGGCTGCAGCAGCCCAGGAGCGGAGCCCTGGGCGCCGGCGTCTAGGCAAGGAACCCCTGATTCGGGAGAGCTGGACCAGGAGCGCCCCTTGGCGCTGCCTTAGTCAGGACGCCGGTAGAGCTGGCAGCCAAGTCTGCGGATCCAGCCCTCAGACCCGCGGCGGTGGGGGCAAAAAACTGCAGCGGTGGGCGCAAAAAGCCGGGGCGGTGGGGGAAAAAGCCAGGGCGACGGGGGCAACAAGCCATGGCGGCGGGGTCAAAAAGCCGTGGTTGCGGACGCAAAAAGCTGCGGTGGCGGAGGCAAAAAGCTACGGTGATGGGCGCAAAAAGCCGTAAAAAGCCGCAGCATTGGGGGCAAAAAGCCGCGACGGCGGGGGCAAAAAGCCCGGGCGGTGGGGGCAAGAAGCCGGGGCAGGAAAAACCTGCGGCGACAGGGGAAAAAACTCGCGGCGGCGGGGGCCAAAAGCCGCGGCGGCAAAAAGCCGCAAAAAGCCGGGGCGGCGGGGGCAAGAAGCCGCGGCGGGAAAAACCTGCGGCGGCGGGGGCGAAAAGCCGTAAAAAGCCGCGGCGCCGGGGGCCAAAAGTCATAAAAAGCCGCGGCGGCGGTGGCAAAAAGCCGCAGCGGAAAAAGTCGCGGTGACGGGGGCTAAAAGCTGCAGCGGCGGGGGAAAAAAGCCGCGGCGGCGAGGGCAAAAAGCCGCGGCGGTGGGGGGAGAAAGACGCAAAAAGCTGCGGCGGCAAAAAGCCGCGGCTGCGAGGGCAAAGATCCCCAAAAAGCCGCGGCAGCAGGGGCTAAATTCCGCGAGGCCGGGGGCAGAAAGCCGCGGTGGCGGGGGCAGAAAGCAACGGAGGCGGGGGCAAAAAGTCGAGGCGGCGGAGGCATAAAGCCGCAAAAACCCGCAGCAGCGGGGGCAAAAATCCATGGCGGCAAAAAGCCGCGTCGGCGGGGGCAAAGTAGTGGAAATGGGGTAGAAGGCCAGAACAGCTTGGCATTCCTGGAGTGTGATGTGGAAGGAAAAGTGCAGAGGAAGACAAACAAAGATGTAAGTTGGCTTGACTCAGTGCAGCTAAGAACCCAGATGTTATCTTGATGTTATCTATCAGCTAATTTTTTGTAGTTTAGTAGAGAAGGGGTTTTACCACATTGGCCAGGATTGTCTGGATCTCCTGACCTCATGATCCACGCACCTCAGCCTCCCAAAGTGATGGGATTAGAGGCATGAGCCACAAAGTGCTCAAAAAATCTATTAATTAAAAAATGTGTATGTAGCCGTCTTTAATCTACCATGTCCATTAGCAGATAAATACTATAAGCAAAATAGCAACAATGAGAGAAACATAGACTTAGAGTAGATACTCTGATTTATTTAATAAAAATTTGAAAATAGACCAAATTACTCTATGATAAAAAAAAATCTGTTGCTATTGAGGATGAGGGTTAGTGTTTGGAAAGGGGCAGGAGAAGTATCACTATTTTTAGTAATGTTCTATTTTCATACATGGTTATAAGCAAATACATGTGTTTCATTAATGAAGCTATCCATATTTAATCATTGTACTTTTCTGCATGTATGATATATGTCAATAAATGTCTTATATACAGCAAAAATAGACAAAACCACAAGAAGACATACACAAATGTTAAACCTAGAGAGAAATTTGAATATAAGTAAGTCTCTGAATGACTGCTAGAACAAACCGAAAAATAGGATGGAGAGGTTTGGAACAGCATGATTAGCAAAATGGACATATCTGTCTTTTAATATAGGCAGAAACATAGTTAGATAAAAAAAGGACTTGTCTCAGAGCATGATTTCTGAAAATAGTGGAATCGAGTTTGAATCTAGTAAGTACATATAAATAAATGTCTTAAAACTCCTCTTATGTTAGCTAATTAAGAAACATTATTGTAATAGACATTAGAAAATATTTTAATAAATTGAGTGGATTTAACACGCTAAGGAAATGATCTTACTTGCATTTGATAGTTCAATTAGATACATATACACCTATAGGTAGTTTAAAATATTTCTAATAACCTTATATACTTTTAAAAAGCATTGATATCTGTTTGCACTATCTGGTCTATAGAGTACGCATACCAAACATGATTATAGCTCTTCTGCTATAAACTTCAAATGTCTAAGTAATACAAAAATCTAGAATGAGAAGAGTTCTTTGCATTTTTTTTTTTTTTTTTTTTTTTTTTTTTACCAAATAGAATATAGGAAGGATAGCTACAAATATACCTGACACACTTATCTGTGAGTATGGTGGTAGCCTTTTTATTTTATTTTATTTTTCAGAGAGGGTTTCACTTTGTCACCCAAGATGGGGTGCATTCATGTGATCAGAGCTCACTGAAGCCTTCACATACTGTGCTCAAGCGATTCTCCCACCTCAGTCTCCTGAGTAGCAGGGACTGCAAGTGCATGACACCATACTAGCTAATTTTTGTAAAGATGGGGTTTCACCATGTTGCCCTGGCAGATCTCCAACTCCTGGACTCAAGAGATCTGGCCACCTTGGCCTCCCAAAGTGCCGGGATTATAGATTTGAGGCACCGCGATCAGCCCAGCCTTAAAAAAGGGTGACTAGAGATCTTTATCTATGTATATCTATCTATAAAATAAACATATGTGTTTCTTATATAAAAATATATACTATTAATATTATATAAAAATTTTTTTCAAGGTAGAAATATATAAAGAGGGTGCATGTAGAGCCTGGGGCATTGTGTAGTGAAGCTCAAGGCGTCTGAAGAAATGACCCTTGCCTCTTTTGTCTGGGCTAGAATCCGAGAAGGGAAAGCAGCAGATGCACTGGTTCCCAGGTTCTTGGCATCCTACAGAGAGAAACTTGTTTGAGCTAGGGTAGCGTTAAACACCCTTGTTCTTACTCTCCTGTTTTATGTAGTGAGCAGAGACTAGCTTCATGAGAACAGACTGTGACAGCCAAGGCTGTCTGTTATTTTGTGCAGCATTAATTGAGAAATTCTAGCACCTGAAGACCTCTGGGCCATTTGAGGGTAGGTGCAGGGGAGGAAAGGGAAGTTTGCATCCCTCATGCTGTGGAGAGAACCCGTGGGGAGCACAGACCTTGTCCTAACTGAAGGCAGACCCCCTTGCTAACCAGATTCTCATCAGCCAACCCTGGATGAGTTTCTATGTCTATTTATTAAATAATCCTCATTGCTTTTCTTCACATGGGCAAAGTATGGTTTGCAGGGAATATTGTTCCTTTGAACACCCATCAAGGAAAACCCTTCCTGTTGTGGGAAAACAGGCTTCCATATGTGTCTTATTGGGAAACACATAGGCAATTTCTATGTTTTTACTGCATCTATTTCAGGGATATGGGAACTGAATAGTGCCCATCAAAGGCTCACCTGATGTTGGAAATTGATCTGAGAGCGCGGAAGGACATAATTCTTTCTTTGTTCCTGGGCAGCGGTGGTTGAGGGTTCACCTTGTGGCAGCTACAGTGGCAATGATGGAGGCAGAATGGAGGGCTCAGTACCAAGACAAGGAGAGACTTGGCCTCACAATGGCAGCATTGCAGGGGTGCGCTCTACAGAGCATTTGCTCACATGGTTTTGGGCATTGTCTCTAACTACATTGCTTCCCCAATAGGTTGACCCATTCTAACTAACTCCTTTTCTCTTTAAAAAAGCAAACTTCATTTGTATGACTTGCAATTGTAAACGACACCAATTGGCCAGTTATCATTCAAATTCTCTGTTACTTAATCCTGCCTTTTCCTGACGTATGCAAATTTGCCCTAAAAAATTGGACACTTTGTTGCTTACTCATTGTCTTTACACATTTTAAAATGTTGCTTTAGGCCCCAATCCCTAACTACATTTTCAATGTTTTGCAAGTGGAGTCCATGTGTTCTTGATTTACATGAAGCTCAAAATAATGGTTATAGTAACTAGTACTTCATAATTAAGCAAAAAGCTCTTATTGAAAAATGACAGAACTATACATAGGGATGACAACATGGAGAGATATTTCGTGAGATCACAAACTTATGGTATAGCAGAAGTAGAACGCTGAGTAGAGACTCTGTGTTCCCAATCATTATTTCTACCACCAGCTTTCTATTTTGATGGTAATAATGTTCTTATGTGGGAAACCCTACATATTTGCCAATGTTTAGTTCATTGACAAAGAAATAGAAAGAGCTTCAAGAACACTCGAATCTTTAAAAAATAAAATACCTATAATTGGCCATACGAAATAATTGGTACTTGACATATACTGAGATCGTTTTATTTTGTGCTAGATAAATGAAGTCATAGAACAGAATGTGCTTTAAATATTATGAATAGTGCCTGCGTGTGTGTGTGTGTGTGTGTGTGTGTGTGTGTCTATAGATGCATATTAGGCCGCTGAAAAGTTTTATTATTCTTTCCAGGAGAGAGACTGCCAACTTTTGAACCTAACTAGAACAATATATTGCTTCTTCATATTTTGATTAAGGCAAAGAGAGTCTAGTTAAAAATAATTCAACTTGTCGTGGAAATGCTATAAATTGCTGTGAAGTGAGTTGCTGGCTATGGCTTGTCAGAGTAAATATATTGTACAAATCTTAGGGGAGAATCAGTGCTCGTGCATTAAAATCAAATCATCTTGCAGCACACTGAGAAAAAGGTTAGATTTTTAAAATAATTTCAAAGTCATGAAAAGAGCAAATATGCTCCACAAAGAGCCTAGCAACCCTCAATGACCAATGCCCCTTTTATATAGTTTGGTATCTGAATTAGAATCCCAGAATCTACAAATTCCTCTGGGTGAGGGTGCTGCATTTTGAGGATTTTATAACACTGCCATCACCAAGCTCTCTTTTGATATTCACTTTAAGGAGATAATTTACGGGCAACCAGAGAGCATAAACCAAAGTAGATATCTAACTAGATAGCCAGATACATCTCCATATCATTGACAGGATACATTCTGGCCGAGTGTGAGTACAACCTATGGATGTGGTTGGAGAGAACATGTGTTCCACCTCAATGGCAGATCAGGATTATTCCTTCTCATCTGCTGCAATGGCTCAATGTGTTAAGGAGAGGAGCGAGACAGCAAGAACCGCATTCATTCAGTCATACAGACCAAAAGGAGGAATGTCGCCCAGCCCTCTAAACTGACCCAGAACCCAGCTCATGTCTCAACTGCTACCTCTCCTACTTAGAAAGAAGTAACTCCACCAAAGCAGGGTTCTGGACAAATATATTTTTATTGATCATATACAAATAGATGAAGATGGACTTGGATGTTAAGAAAAATAATACTATACAAAATCAAGAGTAGACAGTCACCCCTAGACTTAAATTAAGGGTGTGTACATTAGATAATTTAATCCAATGTATCAGGTAAAAACTTGAACGAACCTTTTAGCCTCTTCCTTAAAATTCAGGAAAGCATGTCCTCCACAAAACAGAATCAAAATATAAATAAAAGACTGGCTTAAGATGAAAGGAAACCTTACAAATGAAAAGAAGCCAGATGAGAGGCCCTTAACTGAGAATGAAAAGAAATTGAGTGGACAAAATAATTATGAGATGAACCTTCAAATCAGAAAGAGGGAAAAAAGCTTATTTGATACTATGGGAACTCAAAAGAGAGTGAACAAAAATGTGAAAATTCCAGGAGTACAGAAAAGTAGCATGGCTAAATTAAGAGAATGAGAAAATGTGTACAATTTTGAGTAATAAGAACAGAAATCAAAAGTAACTGTTGTATGTTATATTTTAGTAGAGGAACACTGAAGAAGAATGAAAACAAGAAATAATATTAAATATGAACATATGGAGAACAGAATAATATTTCTAAAATTTTTAGTTTCTAAGCTTATCTGAAATTTTAATTTTGTTTTCTTATGTAATACCAGAGTTATTAGGAAGGTATTATCTACTAACACTATTTTCAGTGATATTTTAAGTAGTTGTCCTAGTTAAATTTCTATTTTTTAAAAATGTATATTTAAAAATACATTAAATGTGTATATACATCAATCATATGTATCGATTTCTGTTTTTCTTGAATTGCAAATGAAATTTGTATTTTTGTGTTCCTGGAATAAAATAAACTTGAATGGATTGTAATATTTTATTCATGCTGTAATTCAATGTATTTGAATTCTTTAAGAATGTTACATTTACAGTTAACAGATACTGACCTATAAATTTTCTGTCATATAATGATGCTGTGAGACAATCTAAGAAGAATTAAAATTTAAATTCATGTATTCTTACTTTTTTCTCTGTTCTCTAACTGTAATATATTTTAATTACAGATGGAGGAACAGACAGATGTTAGATAAATAGATATATAATATATAGATCATCCAAAATTCTTATTCTTATGGTTTTATGTAGTCAGTATTTACCTCTATTTTTCTACATGTTTATCCTTCCAATTTAGTTCATTATTTCCTGCACCTTTGATTTCATATATATAAACAGGAAATAACACATGGTGGCCGTTATGTAGAGAGAGCCACAGGACTTGTGAATAAAATCCACAGGCAAGGACGTGGCGATTCGTTTTGCAATATTGGAGGGAATGCCAAACCCTATGTTTGCTGTGGAAAAGAGTATGGTAGTTCCTCAAAACATCAAAATGGTATTGCCTTACGATTCAGCAGCCCCACATCTCAAGACAGCAAAAGAATTGAAAGCAGAGTCTTGAAAAAATATTTGCACATCCATGTTTGCAGCAGCATTATTGGCAATAGCTAAAACGTAGAAGCAATTGAAGTGTCCAACAACAGATGAATGGATATGCAAAACATGATATATACATACAATGGTAAATCATTCAGCCTTAAACATGAGGGAAATATTCAGACATATGTTGCATCTTGGATGAAACTTGAGGATATTATGCCAAGTGAAATAAGTTAGTCAGTGAAGGACAAATACAGTACAATTCCATTTGTATAAGAGACTTAAACTGGACAGAATCATAGAGATAGTACAATGATGAATGCCAGAAGCTGGGGGGAGGAAGACATGGGAAAGTACTGTTTAATGGGTATAGAGTTTCAGTTTCACAAGATGAAACGAGTTATGGAGATGGATGGTAGGGACGGCTGCACAATGTTATGACTATATTTAGTACCACTGAACTGTACATTTAAAATGGTTAACAGAGTACATTTTATGTTATGTGTATTTTACCACAATAAAAAAATAAAATACCTTAGGAACATTTTCCTGAAAGAGTCCACATAAAATTCATTTTAATGCATGTGTTTATGCATAGCTTTCTATTTTTCTCTTTTCTATTTATATTCCAAATTAGAATATAATGCTAATCAAGCATAGTGGCTGTGTTTCTTGCTTCCTCTAGTCTGCAGGTAGCATACAAATGTAAGAAACTACTAATTAATGTCACATCTATTTATTTTCTGCTTTATACCAAGCTTGTGGGATTCTCTTAAATACAACATTTTTATACTTACACCTATGAAATACCCATTAACATCGCCTTCCTAAATCAGTGGAAATTGAGTCTCTGTAAGGTGCAGTAACTTACTAAGATACAAAACTCAGCATTTAAGTCTGTATACTTCAATATCCTGCCCTCTTCTCATTTGTCTTTACTGCCTTTTATGTATGTGTTAGATGTTCAATAAATTCTCTTTTTTAAACTGAATTTAAGCCGTGGAGCAGTGTTTTGTTGAACAATAAATATGATATTGGACACTCTTCCTCCCTTTCATTTACGATCCTGTTCAAGAAAAAGAGAAAATCTTTCATTGTGCTAGAAGCTTAAAATAATGAAAATGCCACTTTCTACATTAAACAGAAACTGAAGGGAATCAAGGTGAATTGGATGAGACATAGAAAACAAGTGGGAAATAAATCTAGTATAATTTCCCCTTTGTGTACCTTTGTTATTTAGCATTTGAGAAAATTTTTCCCCCAAATATCTTCCCATCTTAATTCATGTCTATAAAGTAGACATTTATGCCTCACCTTGTCAAGAAGGGCAAACTCTAACATAAACATTTCCCAAAAATGCTTCCTGCTAAAACATAAGCTCGGTCTGGCTAGAAATTAAGCTCACTTCATAAAAATTAATTGGTAGCTAATCTTTGCATGCTGTTCTCTGAACTTGAGTGAAAGCTGTCCATCAGGCATACAGGGAATGACGGAAAAGGTGACAACAGAAGATGAATGCTATGTCACTAACCTTCAAAGATGACCTTCCTTTTCTTTCAAATTCTTGATGTCTTAAGATTTCATTAATTCATCTTTCTTTGCCCTTGGTTCAACATTGTGCTATACCAAAACTCATGTAAAACGATGATGTATTGTAATAAAAATGGCATTTTTCTTTCATGTAGATTCAAGCTATGTGGCATTTTTACAATCGACATATTTCCGTTGTCAATTTTTCATTCTGTATTGGAAGTAATTGATAGGTATTTCTGAAGGAATGAAGGTATTTCTGTGTTCATTGTGATCCAAACTTTTTTTAGACCTAGTGGTGTTTGTAAAACAATTTGTGCCAGCTGACCAAGGACCACTGTGGCAGAAAGCAGCAAACTTGCATAAGATGTCACTGCCTCATCAGTTGGCTTTGAAAACTAGGGGCTTATTCTATAGTCCTCTGAATCAAAGACATTGATAGATGTAGTATAAGATTACAATCATACTTTCCTTTTGACAGTCACATTATAAAGCATGATGTATTGCAATTAATCTCAATTAGCTGATCACAATTAAAATTAATAGCTTATTATTGCTGATAAAAAATCATGACTCTCCTGTTCTCAAATGTGCAAGTAATTCTTGTAATTTTAATACAAATGTGCATATTATTACTAATTGATTTAATCTCATTGTATTTGGTTCATGGATCCAATTTATTAAAATATTGATAGTGTGGTAATGATTTGTCTCCCCATTTCATTTACACTAAAAGACACAATTCGTACAATGGTCTGCAAGCCCATCATGATCTGCCGCATGTTAACCGCCAAAATTCTTTTATGTCTTCACCCTTGATCTTACCAGTGGTCCTGTCCACCTCACTGTCCTCTGGACATGCCAACATGCTGCTGTCTTATGACCAAGACTCTAGTTAATTTCTTGGCTTTGAAAGAAATCCCCCCATATATCCATTGATCAGCTCATTCGACTCCTCAAATCTTTACTGAAACCTCACATTCTCGATGAGACCTATTCAGTATTTCAAACTGCCTCCCAGCTGAAACATTCCAAAACCCCTTAGTCTTCTGTGTATTTTTGAAAGGATTTATTGAGATATAATTTACATAGTGTAGAGTGCACATATTAATGTCTACAAGTCAATGGCTTTTAGTATATACGCAGATAAGTGGAGCCATCATCACAATGAATTTTAGAGCATTTTCATCACTTCAAAAAGAAACCCCACTTTCTCTAGCTGTTAACCTCCTATGCACTCATCCCCTACTCAATCCTAAGCAACCACAAATCTGTTTTCTGTCTCTGTAGATTTTCCTATTCTATTTTCATCTAAATAGAATCATACAATAGGTGGCCTTTTGTGCCTGGCTTCTTTCAGTTGGCATAATGCTATCAAGGTTCATATGCGTATCGGTACTTTATTTGTTTTTATACCTGTATAACATTCAATTTCATGGATATGACATTTTGTTTATCCAATAATATTTTTATTGACATTTGAGTTGTGTTCAACCTTTGGCTATTTTAAATACTGCTGCTAAGAATACTTGTGTACAATTTGTGTTTGAACACCTCTTTCCAATAATCTGGGTGTATACCTGGGAATAAATTTCTGGGTCATATGACAATTCTATGTTTAATATATTTAGAAGCCATCAACCTATTTTCCAAAGTGGTCAGTTCTAGCCATAGCGTATCTAACTGTGGTTTTGATTTGTAGTTGCCTGATGAGTGATGCTGTTGAGTATCTTTTTATGGGATTATTGACCGTTCGTGTATCTTCTTGGAAAACACATCTATTCCTATCATTTATCAGTTTTGAGTTGGGATATTTGTTACTGAGTTAAAACAATTTTTCTATATTCAAGATACATATATATGCAGACATATAGATATGTGTTTTTCAAATATTTTCTCACAATTTTTGAGCTGCCTTTTGACTTGCTTGGTTGTCCTTTGAAACACCAATGTCTTTAATTTTTAAGAAATTTTAAATATCTCATTTTTATTTTGTTGCTCATGTTTTTGGTGTTACAGCTATTTCTTTGCTAGATCCAAAATCCTGAAGATTTTCCCATATGCTTTATTCTAGCTCTTCCATGTATGTCTTTAATTCATTTGTGTTAATATTTTTGTATGCTTTGGGGTAAGGGTTCCAATTTATTATTTTGCAAGTGGCGATCCACGTGTACGCTGTTGACCCAGTTTGTTCAAAGACTGTCCCTTCCTCATTGAATTGCACATGGCACCACTGTAAGAATCCATTGACTATAGACACATAGTTTTATATATGGACTCTCAATTCTCTTCCATCAATCTATATATTTTTCTTTCATCAGTGTTGTGTTGTCTTGATTACTGATGCTTTGCCGTAAGGTTTGGAGCACGGGGGTGTGAATTATCCTAATATGTTTTCTTTTTTCAAGACTATTTTGGCTATTTTGAGTCCCTTACATTCCCATGTGTATTTTAGAATCAGCTTGTCAGTTTCTAGACAGAAGTCTGTTGGGATACTTGCAGGGATTACGTCAAATCTGTAGTTCAACTTGAAAGTACTACAATATTAAATCTTCCAATTCATGGCTGTAAGATATTTGCTAATTATTTAGATCTTCTTTAAACAATAATTTTTAATTTTCCGAGTAAAATCTTGTATCACATTTTCCAAATTAATTATTATTTCTTTTTTTGATGCTATTTTAAATTGAAGTGTTTTCTTAATTTCATTTTTGGGTTTTCATTGTAGATGTGTGCAATTGATTTTTGTAGATTTATCTTGTATGCTGTAATATTGCTGAAATAATTTACTAGTTCTATTGTTCAGTGAATTCCTTAAAATTTTCTATATACAAGAATATTATTTTCAAATAAAGTTTTATTTCTTCCTGTTCAATATGGTTGACTCTTTTTTTTTAGTTGCCGACTTGCCCTGCATAAAATCTTTAGTACAGTGTTGACTAGAAGAGCTCAAAGTATATATCTTATTCCTATCTCTGACCATAGCGGGAAAGCATCCTTTACCATTAAGTTGCATTCTTGCTGTTGGCTTTTCACAGGTGCCATGTATCTGGTGTAGAAAGTTCTCTATTCCTGGTTCATTGAGTTTTTATTTTTATTTTTAATCATTAAAGCATTTGGATTTTGTTAAATGTCTTTTCTGAATCTATCGACATGATCATGCAATTCTTGTTTCTTATTCTATGGATAAGATGTATTACCTTAATGGATTTTGGGCTGTTAAACCAACCTGAGATTACTAGTATAAATTTCACTTTGTCATAGTGTATAATTCTTGTATATGTTGCTAGATCTGATTTGTTAGTAGTTTTTAAGGAATTTTGCATTTATACTTATAGTAGTTTTATTTTTCTATGCTATTTGGACTAATTTTTGTATCAAGGTAACACTGGCCCCATAGAATAAATTGGGAAGTGAATATTTCTCTTTTTTAAAAAAGTCAGTCAAGAATTAATATTAATTAGTCAATACTAACAAATATGATTAATATTATAAATTATTAATTTCTCTAATTTTTATTTTCTTCCTTCTGCTTGCTTTAGGTTTAGTTTGCTATTCTTTCCAGTGCCTTAATGTGGAAGGTTATCTTATCTCATCCTTTCCTTTGTCTTTTCATTTTCGAAATAGTGTCTTTTTAGCATCAGGTGAGCTCCCCAGGTTGGTAGTACTCCATGTTTATTGCTGTACAACAATGACAGGTAATATGTCCTGAAGACAATGGAAATTTAACATTCAAAATCCTCCTAGATTCCACCTTATGTGATATGTCTCTTCCTTTGATTGGTCCTAATTTCTACCCTTTCTCTATTATAAACCATGAGTACAATGGCATTCAATGACTTTTGTGAGTCTTTTTAGTAAATTCTTGAAACTGAGGGTGTTCTTGGGAAACCCCTGAACTGGCAATTGGTGACAAAAGTGCAAATCATCTTATATGGCCTCTTCCTTTGAACTTTGCAGCTGGACCCAAACTCTGCACAATTTGGGGCAGAAGTCTCGTGTTGACTTTGCAGCCTAAATTATCTTGTAGTTTGTCTAACCCTCAATAAATTTGTTTTCATCAAATATTGTATTTGTTACCCCAAAATTACCATCATGGTTTTTTCTCCAAATAACTAACATTGGGAGAAATAGCCAGCTGAATCTGTAACTCAACAGAAACAAGTGATCCATATACCATATAAGTGGCCATTTCATTTTGCCTCCTTCCACCAGATCTTAGCAACCTCAACCATTGCCATGAGCCACTGTAGGCCTACCATCTACAAACAAACAAGTATCTTTTAAAAAGACTTCATACTCCCATTTGATAAATTTCCCAGCAAAGAGATGTTTACTTTAACTCTATGCAAGTGGCTCATATTCTCAAAGTCTGGAGATATTATTCATGAAGTGTGAGAAAATCATCCCAGCGATGCCAGCACATTCTCCTTCCCATGATCTGCTTACTTTGCAAAGATATTCAGGCCATAGGTGAGAGATTTGTATTTCAAAGTACAACGATTTTATGGAGGTCATTGAAACTTAGATTTAGCATTTTAGCACAGTCACGCATCACTGAATGACAGGGATACGTTCTAACAGATGCATCCATAGGCAATTTCATCATTTTGCCAACGTCAGAGAGAATATTACAAACACCTAGTTTGTACAGCCTACCACGTTTAGGTTATATGGTATAGCCTCTCTCCCCTAGGCTACAAACCTGTGTACTACATTACTATACTGAATACTGCAGGCAATAAGAACACAGTGGTAAGAGTTTATGTATCTAAACATACTTAAACATAGAAAAGAATGTAAAAATATGTATTATAATCTCATGGGACCACTTTTGTATATGTAATCCATCTTTGACTGAAATGTTATTATACATGACATGACTCTATGACAAAAATAATACATTTTAAAAAATGTACACATGTATCAAACATATTATTATAAAAATAAAAATCTTCAGTGTAAGAATTTGTAATGATCACAAAATGTTCACAGCTTATATTTAAGTACAGTTTCAAATGCCTAGTGCAATTACTATTTATTTCTTTGTGTATTTTAACCATGTATATAATAAATATTTTTCAGGTTCAACAATATATATCAATCCTACAGGCTCTTATAAATATTAGCTAAAATCAATTGGTAAATTCATGTATATATATGCTTACCTGTATCAGTGAGCGTGTGTGCATGTATGTTTGTGTAAATGTAATTTTATGTGTGTGTAAATGTAATTGGATGCATCCTTATATTTACCTTTACCTTCAAGATTTCCAAGATTCATTTATTATCTTTAGATGATGGGCATTTAAAGATTTACCAAATACAACTGTATTAGTGGAAAATATCAAGATGTTATTAAATTCATCTTGTGCACATAATTGTTTCTATAATTTTAAGTTTCTTGCAAAACTTGCAGTAATGCTCATGCACAAAATAATTTCCTAAATAAAAAAAAAAGGTTTTCTCAGTCATTAATTCTTAAAATTATTTCTCCCCAATAATTAATGTGAATTAATTCTTAATTCTTAATGATAGAATAATGTTGCCCTTCAGAGTTCGGAAACTTTTACATGTTGTACACATTTCACAAACCAGAACAACTTCTGAAATATTGGCATTAATTAATGTCACTCAGCAATTATTGATTTCAAAGGCATTAAATATCATTCCTATTCTGAATCACAAGGGTACTTTGGCATCTTATTTAATCAAGCTCTTTGTATCATCATCTACAATTTAATTACTTAACAAACATTTCTCTGTGTGAGAAAGATTGAGCAGGTTATTGTGCTTTTTTAAGATGCAACTTTTGCTTAATCTAGAGATAGGCAATGCTCCCTATAAGGGACAAGGAGAAAAATAAATGAGCAATAGAGATGTGACAGGCATGGAAAAAGACACTACATTTATCAAACAAATAGGGCCACGGATGACGATAATGGGGATCAAATCTTGAGATACTGACTCAGTTTATAACCTCACTGTATAATAGAGCAAATCATTTGTTAATTTTTTTACAAATGGAATTTAATTTAATTAAGATGAATACAGTGTTTTAAACAAGGCAGGTCATCTTAAAATAAAATAGTGGAATAAAGTGATAAAACCAATGTAAAAATCGTAAACATTTTATAAAGAATTTTTGTCATGTAATTTAATATTTTTGTTCATTTAAAATCACCCAAATCAAAATAATTTTATCTTAATTAACAAATAATCATCAGAAGTTTAACTAATTTTTACTTTATAATACTAGGTTTAAAAATTCTGAACTATAGTTTTAATCACATATGCTTATATATAAAATAGACAGGATATATATTTACATGTTCACAATATTATATTGTAATTGCTCCTATGGATGTGGTTTTTCAATAGAATTAATAAGTACTTTAAAAAAGTTTCAATTTCAATGATGTATATGATTGATTTTTCTTAGAAAAAGCATACATATATTGATAGGTAATAATATGAAAATCTTCTAAAGGCATTACAGGAACACGAAAATGTAATTAAATACTCACTAATTTGTAATGTTTTATGTAAGTGGAACACATTTAACTGAAAATTGCTTTTATATAATACTCAAACGCGACTAAAAACTTTTTAACCAGCGGAGTAAGTCTTCAAATTGATAATCTGGACTATATTGGAGGAGAAATTTCAGGCACTCAAATATTTGAAATGCTACAAAATATTTATATAAACTATTATTTAACAATTTCTGTTTGTAGAGTGCTATACAGTAATCAATATAAATGACATCTCAAGTCTTTCTATAGCTTTGACCACATTTACCTCCTAATTTTAATTATTAATATGTTGGAGCAGTGCATACAACTAGATTCTGATCTTCCTTTTTAATGAGTACAAATATGTGCTTTGAGACAGCATTAAAGAAAGAGCACCTTGTAAAAATTCAATGCCAAGAGACAAGATATTCTTGATTCTGAAGTCTTGTTCTTTTATACAGCAATGTAATTAATAAGAAGAAAAGGAGGACATAGATGTGGAGCCTATTTTAATAAAAAATTGTCTGTAGATTTTCATGATAACATTTAAAAATCTACTATATTTAGTTAGTTACAAGAAACTAGGTTGTGGGAACATATTTGGTCAACAAAACACCCCTACCAAGGGCTGACAAGAAAAAAAGTTAGGTATCACCTTTCTTCTCTGCAGATGGCCTGAGATGGGTTAATTTGAAAGAATGCTTCCAAAGCTGAGGTGACCCCTGAGAACAGCATAATCCACTGCTGTCTCCCGCATTCAGTTTCTCAGTCTGTGCTCTTTTAATTTTGTGGGAAGGGAAGCCAGCCCTTTAAACCAATCTTCAGCATGATGGCAGAACCAAGGAGTGTGGACAGGTGGCACGGTGTCTGACTTTGTTCCCGCAGCCACTTGTGCTTTCTCTGGATCTTCTCTGCCCTAGGGATAGCACCACTATTGAAAACATATCTTTGTGACATTCTCTATGCCAGGAACTCCCAACACATTTTCCTTGAAACTGATGAAATGAATAAAAATAAACCAAGAGGTGTGCTGTTTGTTTCTGTTTCCTGCTTTCTGCAGCCCTTCTTGATCATCTAATATTTTCAAATACATTGTTGATCACCAAAAGGAGCATAAGGGGTATATTGATTTGTAGCAGATGTATTAATAGCCCAGCCCCTATTCCTTACCTGTAGCTGCTGGGAAGAAAACCACTCTTAACACTCTACAAGGTCTCATCTCCAGAATTTGCAGCTGTTTCTAGCTGAGGACTTTCTCTAGCAGCATGGGAGCTTGATACTGGGCAAGTGGGAAGAAAAGGTGAGGATAACTAAGAAGAATCTCCCTGGATTCAGTGATGTAATTCTGAGGCATGTTCCACATAGCTTCCCATAGAATTAAGCCCCGATATCTAACACAGGAACTTGCCTCTTAACACGTGTGGTACTGGCTTTTCTATCTTTCCTGTTTTATTTTGTTCTCTCTTCCTTGTCTCACTTTCGCTGTGTCCTCACTCCTGCTTTAAGAATACCCAAACAAAAACACTCATTTTTTTTTAAGAGTCTCAGAATACAGTTGATAGTGTAACTTGTAATCTATGATAATCAGCTTGGATGCTGTACTGACAGGAAGATGGTGAACTCACAATGTCTAATTAAGATAAAATTAAAAAGTATATTGATTCATGTCAAAAGATTTAAAAAACCTAAGTGGCAGTGTCACAATTTCTTCTTTTTAGTTTACATGGTTTCTTAAACGCCTACAATTATTTTAAAGGAAGCCTTGAATCTAGGAAAAATTGAGACATATGGAATAAATTACTAACCCATTTCTCCTTGAAATCCATTAGATGCTTGATGATTTCTCACATATATTTCTGAATTGAAAAGCTAGCTGTGAATTATTTTTATATGCATATCCTTAGGTAATATTTTGTTTTTAACAGTGAATTGAAGGTTTAAAGATTAAATTATTCTATCCAGAGAATAAAAAGCAATTATTTCACAAGGAGAACATGTGTACGTTGACACGACATTTTAAAGTCTAGAATTTAAAAAAGGACCCATATACTTTTGTGTCAAATAGAATATGTTTGTATCAGTCTGTCTACAGTTTTACACCTGTCAAAATGTACTTGAACTACAACAACAACCTTGAACAATTTTGAAATTGATGATTCCTCTGAAACTGATTAAAAGAATTATGGTAGAGTGAAATTCTGATTGACATAATTTGGGAGAGAAATTATTCCTTGGACATCAACCTCTGCCAAGATAGTTTATAATGACATTGAGGCTTTTTGATTTACACAATTTGTTATATAAAAAATACTAAGACGATGGCAGATAATACACAGACTTTAATTAAAATTGTACTACAATTAAATGTCTAAATAAATTAGAAGGGTACATGGTACATCTAATTGTATGTTTATATATTTTATTTGTGCATTTTTTTCCTAGGGTTTCTTTTGCTTTAGTTTGTAAAACGTTCTTATGTTTATAATAATGTAGCATATACTAAATAAAGAAAAATCAGGAAATAGAAAATGAAGAAGAAAACATTAGCTATTGTCAACCAAACAAAAATTGTGCAATCTCTAAGCACATGAACTATGTAATATTTGTACAGCATAGTACAATGTTTATGCTTCACAGGGTGAGGTAGAGACTGCAAAACCTTGAACTTGGGACAAACAAGAAAGTAAGGAAATTTTCACAACATATTAATATTATAGAAAATGTTGAACTTAACAGTTAAGATACAAGTAGTGAAAAATGATAGTATTTAAGGAGATCTAGAAAATTTAATCTATACCTGTAATGTGTGAGAAGTATTAGAATAATGCTTGTATTTCTGGATTGTCATCGATTTCTATTGAGACTGGAAACATAATAGAAATGAGCAAAAAAGAATTTAAATTGTGGATACTTGAGTTTTATACCTAGGAGTTCCAGAAATACATTTTGTTACTATCAAAGCAGTTGGCACAAGAGGGTACAAAATTCCCTAATTGTGTCTATGTGGAGAAGACATAGACAGAGAATAGCAAAACAGAAATAGCAAAAAAAGCACAAATAAATTTTACCTGTATTTTGAAGTAAAAGCCAATTACAGAGGGAAAACATGAAATTTGTGTTTTATCAAAATTTTTCTCTTTCTCATAATATAGTTGAATATATTACTGGAAAAAATTTGAAGCACTGGTATGTTCACACATAAAAGTAAAATATAAGGTCAAAACCATGGGAATGCAGGGAGCAGACAAAATATAACTAAACACGGAAACTGATTTTTCCCTACGGACATGTAGCAAAATGAATGAGTGCAGATTCCTATTGTCATACATTACATAGGACAGTAAAAAAATACATAGATTTTCCCAAGATAGGGCATCACACAGGAGCTCCTCCCTACAGCTAAGACCAACATTTCTATCCTCAGTATAAGGAAGATCAGAGGTAAATTAGTCCCATTTCACATTCCCTGGAAATGGCAAATAAAAATGATTTGAGATTGGACGGATTTAAAGAAACTCAATCATTAATGATTAACAGCAACTAATTTAAAAATTGTTTAAATGTGCAGTCCAAACATATGTCCGAACACCTTTAGGCCAAGAATTAACATAATGTGGTCCCAGAATGGTGGTGCCTTTAGTAGAATCACAAAAAAATTCAACTTCTCTTTGGCAAATTTTCTACTTATTAATCTGCAAAAGTGCACAAAAATAATTTTCAGAGAAAAATAAATATTTGTCATTCAAAGACATCTAAGCATGCAAGGAAATGATATTCCACCATTTGAAAGGAAAGCAGAAAAAGACTACAAACAGATCCACAAAGGTTCATTAGTAGAAATATCACTGTTAGATTACAAAGCACATTTGCTTACAAAAAATTTTTTAAAAAATGAATATATTGTTAGGAGACTAAAAAATTCATGTAGCAAATTTGAAAAGAAGTTTGTATAAAAATGTAGTTATTTTAAATTAAAAACTCAAAAATGAATTCATCAGATTAGACATGGCCAAGGTGAGAGTTCATAAATATTTCAGAATGCATTACAGAAAATTTTGAAAAATGTAAAATGTGGACAGAATGATGAAGAGACATGGAAGATACAGTGAGAAAGTGTAGCATGTGTTTAGAGAGCGTTCTCATAGAACAAGGGAACTGGGAAGGGACAATATGTGTTGGTATTTTGTCTGAAAGTTCCCTAGACTTTTGTAAGACACTGATCTGCATATTCAAAAACTCCATGCATGCTAAGCAAGCTACAATGGAGATACACCTACACCTATGTATCTCCTAGAGAAATAGTAAACACCCATGAAGGGAAAAATATTTCAATTACCACTAGAAAAATGAAATTACTTTTAATCATACCGAAATCTGAAAAAATGAAAGGTAAAATAAACAATATTATTTGTTCAGAATAATAATGCCATTCTGAATTTCTAAACGAAGAAAAATATTCATCAACCTGTGGCTAAATAACATATTTAGAGAAAAAAACAAAACGCCACCAGCAGAATTCCACTAAAGAAACTAAAGAGAAACTCTGAAAATATGCTTCAGAAAGGTTGAAGTTCTGAAATCAAAGAATGAACACAGAGTAAAATTTATTGTAAACAAACAGATAGAACAAATAAGAAACTGGATGTTGAAACAAAAATATATTTAAAATTAGATAAGCACTGCAATATGTATGATAAAACGAAAATTATTAGGGCTGAAGTACTCAAAGAAATCTTAATTGTATGACAAGTGCAGAAAAGTGAGTATGACTTTGCAACACCTTTTCTTCTTCGAATGGAAAGGAAAGGAATGGAATAGAATGGAATGGAATGGAATGGAATGGAATAGAATGGAATGGAATGGAATGGAATGGAATGGAATGGAATCAAATGGAATTGAATGGAGAGGAATTGAATGGAATGGGAGATGAGATTGTGCCATTGTGTTACACAATGGGTGAAACAATGAGCCACTCTCGAAAGAAAGGAATGGAATGGAAAGCAAGGGAGTGGAGTGGAGAGGAGAGGAGTGGAATGGAGTGGAATGGAATCAGATGTAATGGAATGTAGTGGAATGGAATGGAATGGAATCATCATCGAATGGAATAGAATGGAAATATCATCGAATGGAATCAAGTGGAAACACCATCGAATGGAAACGAATGGAGTCATCATTGAATGGAATCAAAAGGCATCATCATCCAAAGGACTTGAATGGAATAATCATCGAATGGAATCGGATGGAATAATCATCGAATGGAATCAGATGGAATAATCACTGAATGGAATCGAATGGAATCATCATCAAATGGAATCGAATGAAATCATCATTGAAGGGAATCGAATGGAATCATCAACAAAAGTAATCGAATGGAATCATCGAATGGAATCTAAAGGAACCATCATCAAATGGAACTGAAAGGAATCATCATTAAATGGAACCGAACACAGTAATCAGCAAATGGAATCGAATGGACTCATGATCAAATGGAATCAAATGGAATCATCATCAAATGGAATCGAATGGAATCATCATCGTATGGAATCAAATTGAATCAATGAATTGAATCGAATGGAAAGATCACCGAAAGGAATTGAAGGGAATCATCGAATGGGATCAAATGGAATCATCGAAGGGAAACGAATGGAATCATCGAATGGATTCGGATGGATTCATCAGTGAATGGAATTGAATGGAATCATGGAATAGACTCGAATGGAATCATCATTAAATGGAATACAATGGAATCATCGAATGGACATGAATAGAATCATCATTGAATGGAATCCAATGGAATCATCATCGAGTGGAATCTACTGGAATCATTGAATAGACTCGAATGGAATAATCGAATGGGCTTGAGTGGAATCATCATCAAATGGAATCGAATGGAATCATCAAATGGACTCGAATGGAATCATCGTCAAATGGAATCGATTGGAATCATCATCAAATGGAATCGAATGGAATCCTCATCGAATGGAATCGAACGGAATCATCATCGAATGGAATCACCAAATTGAATCGAATGGAATGATCATCAAAGACAATCGAAGGGAAACATCGAATGGGATTGAACGGAGTCATCGAATGGAATCGATAGGAATCATCGAATGGATTCAAATGGAATCATCATCGAATGGAAACGAACGGAATCATCGAATGGACACGGATGGAATCATCATCAAATAGGATTGAATGGAATCATCGAATGGCATCGAATGGAATCACCATTGAATGGAATCGAACGGAATCATCGAATGGCATCGAATGGAATCATCATCGAATAAAATCAAATGGAATAATCGAATGTACTCGAATGGAATCATCAAATGGATTTGAGAGGAATCATCATCGAATGGAATTGAACAGAATCATCAAATGGACTCGAATGGAATCCTCATTGAATGGAATCGAATGGAATCATTGAATGGAGTCGAATGGAATCATCAGCAAATAGAATCGAATGGAATCATTGAAGATCAACGAATGAAATCATCATCGAATGGAGTCGAATGGAATCATCAAATGAACTCGAATGCAATCATCATAGAATGGAATCCAATGGAATCTTTGAATGGACCTGAATGGAATCATCATCGAATGCAAACGAATGGAATCATCATCAAATGGAATCACATGGAATCATCAAATGGAAAAGAATTGAATAATCATAGAAAGGAATTGAATAGAATCATCGAATGAAACCGCATGGAATCTTCATCGAATGGAATCGAATGGAATCATCATCGAATGCAATTGAATGGAATCATCATCGAATGGAATCGAATGGAATCACCAACGAATGGAATTGAAAGGAATCATCATCGAATGGAACCAAATAGAATCATCAAATGGACTCGAAAGGAATCATCGAATGGACTCGAATGGAGTTGTCATCGAATGGAATCAAATGGAATCATCGAACGGAATTGAATCGAATCATCATTGAATGAAATCAAATGGAATCATCGAATGGACTCGAATGGAAGCAATATCAAATGGAATCGAAAGGAATCATGGAATGCATTCAAAGGGAACAATCAAATGGACTCAAATGGAATCAACATCAAGTGGAATCGAAAGGAATCATCGAATGGACCGGAACGGAATCATCATCGAATGGAATCGAATGGAATCATCGAATGGACTTGAATGGAATCACTATCTAATGGAACCGAATGGAATCATCATGGAATGGAACCGGAAGGAGTCATCATCAAATGGAATCCAATGAAATCATTGAATGGACTCGAATGGAATCATCGTCAACGGGAATTGAATGGAATCATCGAACGGTCTCGAATGGAATCATCGGAGAATGGAATCGAATGGAATTATCAAACGGACTCGAATGGAATAAACTTTGAATGGAAACGAAGGGAATCATCAAATGGAATCGAATGCAATCATCGAACGGAATCGAATGGAATCATCGAATGGAATCCAATGGAATCACCATTGAATGGACTCGAATGGAATCATCATTGAATGGAATCGAATGGAATCATCGAATGGACTCGAATGGAAACATCATCGATTGGAATCAAATGGAATCATCGAAAGGAATCGAAAGGAATCATCATCAACTGTAATGAACAGGAATCACTGAATTGAATCGAATGGAATCGTCATCAAAAATATTCGAATAGAATAATCAAATGGAATCAAATGCAATCAACATCAAGTGGAATCGAATGGAATCCTAGAATGACATCGAATGGAATCCTCATCGAATGGAATCAAAGGGAATCAATATCGAATGGAATCGAAAGCAATCACTGAATGGACTTGAATACAATCATCAAATGGATTTGAAGGGAATACTCATTGAATGGAATAGAACAAAAACATTGAATGGACACGAATGGAATCATCATCGAATGGAATCAAATGGAGTCATCAAATGGACTCGAATGGAATCATCATCAAATGGGATCATCATCAAATGGAATCGAATGGAGTCATCGAATGGACACGAATGAATGAACAAATGGACTCGAATGGAAACATCAAATAGAATCGAATGGAATCATCGAAAGGAATTGAATGCAATGATTGAATGGACTCGAATGGAATCATCTAAAGGACACGAATGAATGGAATCATTGAATGGACTCGAATGGAATCATCGAATGGACTCAAATGGAATCATCATCAAATGGAATCGAATGGAATCATCGAATGGACTCGAATGGAATCATCCCATGGAATCAAACCGAATCGTCATCGAATGGAATCGAATGGAATCATCGAATGGAATTGAAGGCAATCATCATCGAATGGAATCGAATGGAATCATCAACAAATGGAATCAAGTGGAAGGAATCATCAAATGGAATCAAAAGGAATCATTGTTGAATGGAATGGAATGGAATCATTGAATGGAATTGAATGGGATCACCAATGAACGGAATCAAATGGAATCATCTTCTAATGGAATCGTAAGGAATCATCAAATACACTCGAATGGAATCATCATCGAATGGAATCATGTGGAATCATCGAATGAACTGGAAATGAATCATAATCAAACGCAATTAAAATGAATCATCATCGAAAGGAATCACATGTTATCATCATCGAATGGAATCATACGGAAACATCACAGAATGGAATTGAATGGAATCATCAGCTAGACTCGAATGGAATCATCAAATGTACTCCAAGGGACGCGTCAAATGGACTCGAACGGAATCATCATCGAATGGAATCGAACGGGATCATCAAAAGGACTCGAATCAAATCTTCAAAAGGACTCAAAGGGAATCATTGTAGAATGGAAATGAATAGAGTCATCAGACAGCCTCGAATGGAAGCATCATTGAATGGAATTGATTGGAAACATCGAATTCACTCGAATGGAATGATCATCTGATGCAATTGAATGGAATCACCGAATGGACACAAATGGAATCATCATCAAATGGAATCCATTGGAACGATCAAATGGAATCGCATGGAATTATCAAATGGAATCGAATGGAATCATCTTTGAATGGAATCCAATGGAATCATCGAATGGAATCGAATGCAATCATCATTGAATGGAATCGAATGGAATCATCGAATGGTATCCAAAGGAATCACCATTGAATGCCCTCGCATGGAATCATCATCATATAGAGTAGAAAGGAATCATTGAATGGACTGGAATGGATCCATCATTGAATGGAATCACCAAATGGAATCAAATGGAATCATCATCAAATGAAATCAAATGGAATCATCAAATGGAATCGAATGGAATCATCATTGAATGGATTCGAATAGAATCTTTGAATGAAATTGAATGGAATCAGCATGAAATGGAATCTAAAGGAATCATAGAATGGTATCGAATGGAATCATCATCGAATGGAATGGAATGGAATGGAATGGAATGGAATCAGCATCGAATGGAATCAAAAGCAATCATTCAATGGACTCTAATAGAATCAGCGAATAGACTTGAATGTAATCATCATCGAGTGGAGAAGAATGGAATCATCGAATGGACACGAATGGAATCATCATCGAATGGAATCAAATGGAATCGTCATCGAATGGAATCGTATGGAATCATCTAATGGACACGAATGGAATCATCATCGAATTGAATAGAATGCAATCATCATCAAATGGAATCGAATGGAATCATCATCAAATAGAATCGAATGGAATCATCAAATGGAATCGAATGGAGTCATTGTCTAATGCAATCGAATGAAATCATAGAATGGAATCCCATGGAATCAACATAGAATGGAATCGATTGGAATCATTATCAAATAGAATTGAATGGAATCACTGAATGGAATCCTCATCAAATGGACTCCAACGGAATCATCGAATTGACTCTAATGGAATCATCACTGAATGGAATAGAATGGAATAATCAAATGGAAACGAATGGAATCATCATCGAATGGAATCGAATGGAATCATCGAATGGAATCGAATGGAATCATGGTCGAACGGAAAATAAGGGAATCATCAAGTGGACACGAATGGAATCAACATCTAATGGAATGGAATGGAATCATCAAATGGAATGGAATGGAATCATCATCGAATGGAATCAAATGGAATCATCAAACGGAATCAAATGGAATCATCAATGAATGGAATCAAATGGTATCATGGAATGGAATTGAATGGAATCGTCTTTGAGTGGAATCTAAAGGAATCACCGAATGGACTCCAATCATCGGATGGAATAAAGTGGAATCATCGAGTGTAGTTGAATGCAATCATCATCGAATGGAACTGAATGGAATCAACGAATGGAATAGAAAGGAATCGTAGAAGGGACGCGAATGGAATCATCATTGAATGGAATCAAATGGAATCATCATGGAATGGAATTGAATGGAATTATCGAATGGACTCGAAAGGAATTGTGCTCGAATGGAATCTAATGGAATCATCAAATGGACTCAAATGGAATCATCATCGAATGAAATCATATGGAATCATCGAATGCAACTGAATGGAATCATTGAGTGGACTTGAAAGGAATTATTATGGAATGGAATTGAATGGAATCATTGAATGGACTTGAAAGGAATCATCATCAAGTGGAATCGAATGGAATCATTGAATGGACTCGAATTGAATCTTTGAATGGAATCGAATGGAATCGAATGGAATCATCATTGAATGGAGTCAAATGGAATCATCATCAAATGGAATTGAATGGAATCTTCATTGAATCGACTCGAAAGGAATCATCATCAATTGGAATCTAATCGAATCATCAATGAAGGGAATCGAATGGAAGCATCATCGAATGGAATCGAATGGAATCATCAACAAGTGGAAACGAATGAAATCATTGAATGGAATCCAATGGTGTCATCGAATGGACACGAAAGGAATCATCGAATGGAATCAAATGGAATCACCATCGAATGGAATCCAATGGAATCACGATCGAATGGAATGTTATGAAATCATCTCATGGAATCGAAGGGAATCATCATCGAATGGAATCGAATGGAATCATTGAATGAAAAGGAAAGGAATCACCATCGAATGGAATGTTATGGAATCTTCTAATGGACTGGAAGGCAATCATCATCGAATGGCATCGAATGGAATCATCGACTGGAAAAGAATGGAATCATCATCGAATGGAAATGAATAGAATCACAGAATGAAATCGAATGGAATCATCATCGAATGGAGTCTAATGGAATAATCATCGAATGGAATAGAATGGAATCATCGAGTGGACACGAATGGAATCATCATTGAATGGAATCGAATAGAATCATCATATGGACTTGAATGGAAACAACATCGAATGGAATCGAATTTAGTCATTGAATTGCATTGAGTGGAATCATCATTGAATGGAGTCTAAGGAAATCATCGAACGGACTCGAGTGGAATCATCGAATGGACTCGAGGGGAATCATCATCGAATGGAATCGACTGTAATCATCGATTGGACTCGAATAGAATCATCATTGAATGGAATCGAATGGAATCAACGAATGGACTCGAATAGAATCATCATCGAATGGAATCGAAATCAAAGAATGGACTCTAATGGAGTCATCATCAAATGGAATCTAATAGAATCATCTAATGGACCTGAAAGGAATCATCATTGAATGGAATGGAATGGAATCATCGAATGGACTCGAATGGAATCATCATCGAATGGAATCTAATGGAATCATTGAATGGACTCGAATGGAATAATCGAATGGGCTTGAGTGGAATCATCATCAAATGGAATCGAATGGAATCATCAAATGGACTCGAATGGAAACATAGTCAAATGGAATCGAATGGAATCATCATCAAATGGAATCGAATGGAATCCTCATCGAATGGAATCGAACGGAATCATCATGGAATGGAATCACAAAATTGAATCGAATGGAATGATCATCAAAGACAATCGAAGGGAAACATCGAATGGGATTGAACGGAGTCATCGAATGGAATCGATAGGAATCATCGAATGGATTCAAATGGAATCATCATCGAATGGAAACGAACGGAATCATCGAATGGACAGGAATGGAATCATCATCAAATAGGATTGAATGGAATCATCCAATGGCATCGAATGGAATCACCATTGAATGGAATCGAATGGAATCATCGAATGGCATCGAATGGAATCGTCATCGAATAAAATCAAATGGAATAATCGAATGTACTCGAATGGAATCATCAAATGGATTTGAGAGGAATCATCATCGAATGGAATTGAACAGAATCATCAAAAGGACTCGAATGGAATCCTCATTGAATGGAATCGAATGGAATCGTTGAATGGAGTCGAATGGAATCATCAGCAAATGGAATCGAATGGAATCATTGAATATCAACGAATGGAGTCATCATCGAATGGAGTCGAATGGAATCATCAAATGAACTCGAATGCAATCATCATAGAATGGAATCGAATGGAATCTTTGAATGGACCTGAATGGAATCATCATCGAATGCAAACGAATGGAATCATCATCAAATGGAATCACATGGAATCATCAAATGGAAAAGAATTGAATAATCATAGAAAGGAATTGAATGGAATCATCGAATGAAACCGAATGGAATCATCATCGAATGCAATCGAATGGAATCATCATCGAATGGAATCGAATGGAATCACCAACGAATGGAATTCAAAGGAATCATCATCGAATGGAACCAAATAGAATCATCAAATGGACTCGAAAGGAATCATCGAATGGACTCGAATGGAGTTGTCATCGAATGGAGTCAAATGGAATCATCGGACGGAATTGAATCGAATCATCATTGAATGAAATCGAATGGAATCATCGAATGGACTCGAATGGAAGCAATATCAAATGGAATCGAAAGGAATCATGGAATGCAGTCAAAGGGAATAATCAAATGGACTCAAATGGAATCAACATCAAGTTTAATCGAAAGGAAACATCGAATGGACCGGAATGGAATCATCATCGAATGGAATCGAATGGAATCATCGAATGGACTTGAATGGAATCACTATCTAATGGAACCGAATGGAATCATCATGGAATGGAACCGGAAGGAGTCATCATCAAATGGAATCCAATGAAATCATTGAATGGACTCGAATGGAATCATCATCAACTGGAATTGAATGGAATCATCGAACGGACTCCAGTGGAATCCTCGGAGAATGGAATCGAATGGAATTATCAAATGGACTCGAATGGAATAAACTTTGAATGGAATCGAAGGGAATCATCAAATGGAATCGAATGCTTTCATCGAACGGAATCGAATGGCATCACCGAATGGAATCCAATGGAATCACCATTGAATGGACTCGAATGGAATCATCATTGAATGGAATCGAATGGAATCATCGAATGGACTCGAATGGAATCATCATCGATTGGAATCAATTGGAATCATCGAATGGAATCGAAAGGAATCATCATCAACTGTAATGAACTGGAATCACTGAATGGAATCGAATGGAATCGTCATCAAAATTATCGAATAGAATAATCAAATGGAATCAAATGCAATCAACATCAAATGGAATCGAATGGAATCCTAGAATGACATCGAATGGAATCCTCATCGAATGGAATCAAAGGGAATCAATATCGAATGGAATCGAAAGCAATCACTGAATGGACTTGAATACAATCATCAAATGGATTTGAAGGGAATCCTCATTGAGTGGAATAGAACAAAAACATTGAATGGACACGAATGGAATCAACATCGAATGGAATCAAATGGAGTCATCAAATGGACTCCAATGGAATCATCATCAAATGGGATCATCATCAAATGTAATCGAATGGAGTCATCGAATGGACACGAATGAATGAACAAATGGACTCGAATGGAAACATCAAATAGAATCGAATGGAATCATCGAAAGGAATTGAATGGAATTATTGAATGGACTCGAATGGAATCATATAATGGACACGAATGGAATAATCATAAAATGGAATCGAATGGAATCATCAAATAGACTCGAATGAATGGAATCATTGAATAGACTCGAATGGAATCATCGAATGGACTCAAATGGAATCATCATCAAATGGAATCGAATGGAATCATCGAATGGACTCGAATGGAATCATCAAATGGAATCAAACCGAATCGTCATCGAATGGAATCGAATGGAATCATCGAATGGAATTGAAGGCAATCACCATCGAATGGAATCGAATGGAATCATCATCAAATCGAATCAAGCGGAAGGAATCATCAAATGGAATCAAATGGAATCATTGTTGAATGGAATGGAATGGAATCGTTGAATGGAATTGAATGGGATCACCAATGAACGGAATCAAATGGAATCATCTTCTAATGGAATCGAAAGGAATCATCAAATACACTCGAATGGAAATATCATCGAATGGAATCATGTGGAATCGTCGAATGAACTGGAAATGAATCATAATCAAATGCAATTAAAATGAATCATCATTGAAAGGAAACACATGGAATCATCATCGAATGGAATCATACGGAAACATCACAGAATGGAATTGAATGGAATCATCAGTTGGACTCGAATGGACTCATCAAATGTCCTCGAAGGGACGCGTCAAATGGACTCGAACGGAATCATCCTCGAATGGAATCGAACGAGATCATCGAAAGGACTCGAATCAAATCTTCAAAAGGACTCAAAGGGAATCATTGTAGAATGGAAATGAATAGAGTCATCAGACAGCCTCGAATGGAAGCATCATTGAATGGAATTGATTCCAAACATCGAATTCACTCGAATGGAATCATCATCGTATGGAATTCAATGGAATCATCGAATGGACACAAATAGAATCATCATCAAATGGAATCCATTGGAACGATCGAATGGAATCGCATGGAATTATCAAATGGAATCGAATGGAATCATCTTTGGATGGAATCAAATGGAATCATCGAATGGAATCGAATGCAATCATCATTGAATAGAATCGAATGGAATCATGCAATGGTATCCAAAGGAATCAACATTGAATGACCTCGCATGGAATCATCATCAAATAGAGTAGAAAGGAATCATTGAATGGACTCGAATGGAACCATCATTGAATGGAATCACCAAATGGAATCAAATGGAATCATCATCAAATGAAATCAAATGGAATCATCAAATGGAATCGAATGGAATCATCATTGAATGGATTCGAATAGAATCTTTCAATGAAATTGAATGGAATCAGCATGAAATGGAATCTAAAGGAATCATAGAATGGTATCGAATGGAATCATCATCGAATGGAATGGAATGGAATGGAATGGAATGGAATCAGCATCGAATGGAATCAAAAGCAATCATTCAATGGACTCTAATAGAATCATCGAATAGACTTGAATGTAATCATCATCGAATGGAGAAGAATGGAATCATCATCAAATGGAATCGAGTGGAATCATATAATGGACCCGAATGGAATCATCATTCAATGGAATAGAATGGAATCGTCATCGAATGGAATCGTATGGAATCATCTAATGGACACGAATGGAATCATCATCGAATTGAATAGAATGCAATCATCATCAAATGGAATCGAATGGAATCATCATCAAATAGAATCGAATGGAATCATCAAATGGAATCGAATGGAGTCATTGTCTAATGCAATCGAAAGAAATCATAGAATGGAATCCCATGGAATCAACATCGAATGGAATCGATGGGAATCATTATCAAATAGAATTGAATGGAATCACTGAATGGAATCATCATCAAATGGACTCCAATGGAATCATCGAATTGACACTAATGGTATCATCATTGAATGGAATAGAATGGAATAATCAAATGGAAACGAATGGAATCATCATCGAATGGAATCGAATGGTATCATCAAATGCACTTGAATGGAATCATCAATGAATGGAATCGAATGGTATAATCGAATGGAATCAAACGGAATCATCTTCGAGTGGAAACTAAAGGAATCGCCAAATGGACTCCAATGGAATAATCATCGTATGGAATCGAGTGGAATCATCGAATGTACTCGAATGGAATCATCGAATGTACTCGAATGGAATCATCGAATGGAATCGAATGGAATCATGGTCGAACGGAAAAGAATGGAATCATCAAGCGGACACGAATGGAATCAACATCTGATGGAATGGAATGGAATCATCAAATGGAATGGAATGGAATCATCATCGAATGGAATAAAATGGAATCATCAAATGGAATCAAATGGAATCATCAATGAATGGAATCGAATGGTATCATGGAATGGAATTGAATGGAATCGTCTTTGAGTGCAATGTAAAGGAATCACCGAATGGACTCCAATCGTCGGATGGAATCGAGTGGAATCATCGAATGTAGTCGAATGCAATCATCATCGAATGGAATTGAATGGAATCAACGAATGGAATAGAAAGGAATCGTAGAATGGACTCGAATGGAATCATCATTGAATGGAATCAAATGGAATCATCATGGAATGGAATTGAATGGAATCATCGAATGGACTTGAAAGGAATTATGCTCGAATGGAATCTAATGTAATCATCAAATGGACTCAAATGGAATCATCATCGAATGAAAACGTATGGAATCATAGAATGCAACTGAATGGAATCATTGAATGGACTTGTAAGGAATTATTATCGAATGGAATTGAATGGAATCATTGAATGGACTTGAAAGGAATCATCATCAAATGGAATCGAATTTAATCATTGAATGGACTCGAATTGAATCTTTGAATGGAATCGAATGGAATCATCATTGAATGTAGTCAAATGGAATCATCATCAAATGGAATTGAATGGAATCTTCATTGAATGGACTCGAATGGAATCATCATCAAATGGAATCTAATCGAATCATCAATGAAGGGAATCGACTGGAATCATCATCGAATGGAATCGAAAGGAATCATCAACAAGTGGATACGAATGAAGTCATCGAATGGAATTCAATGGTGTCATCGAATGGACATGAAAGGAATAATCGAAACGAATCAAATGGAATAACCATCGAATGGAATCCAAAGGAATCACCATCGAATGGAATGTTATGAAATCATCTCATGGAATCCAAGGGAATCATCATCGAATGGAATCGAATGTAATCATTGAATGAAATGGAAAGGAATCACCATCGAATGGAATGTTATGGAATCTTCTAATGGACTCGAAGGGAATCATCATCGAATGGAATCGAATGGAAACATTGAATGCAATTGAATGGAATCATCGAATGGAATCTGAATGGGATCATCAATGAATGGAATCAAATGGAATCATCTAATGGACGCGAATGGAATCATCATCGAATGCAATGAAATGTAATTCAATCGAATGGACATGAATGGAATCATCATTGAATGGAATCAAATGGAATCCTCATCGAATGGAATCGAATGGAATCATCAAATGGAATAGAATGGAGTCATCGTCGAATGTAATCGAATGTAATCATCGAATGGCATCGAATGGAATCATCGACTGGAAAAGAATGGAATCATCATCGAATGGAAATGAATAGAATCACAGAATGAAATCGAATGGAATCATCATGGAATGGAGTCTAATGGAATAATCATCGAATGGAATAGAATGGAATCTTCGAGTGGACACGAATGGAATCATCATTGAATGGAATCGAATAGAATCATCAAATGGACTTGAATGGAAACAACATCGAATGGAATCGAATTTAGTCACTGAATTGCATTGAGTGGAATCATCATTGAATGGAATCTAAGGAAATCATCGAACGGACTCGAGTGGAATATTCGAATGGACACGAGGGGAATCATCATCGAATGGAATTGACTGTAATCATCGATTGGACTCGAATGGAATCATGATTGAATGGAATCGAATGGAATCAACGAATGGACTCCAATAGAATCATCATCGAATGGAATCGAATGGAATCAAAGAATGGACTCTAATGGAGTCATCATCAAATGGAATCTAATGGAATCATCTAATGGACCTGAAAGGAATCATCATTGAATGGAATCGAATGGAATCATCGAATGGACTCGAATGGAGTCATCATCGAATGGAATCTAATGGAATCATTGAATGGACTCGAATGGAATAATCGAATGGGCTTGAGTGGAATCATCATCAAATGGAATCGAATGGAATCATCAAATGGACTCGAATGGAATCATCGTCAAATGGAATCGAATGGAATCATCATTCAATGGAATCGAATGGAATCCTCATCGAATGGAATCGAACGGAATCATCATGGAATGGAATCACCAAATTGAATCGAATGGAATGATCATCAAAGACAATCGAAGGGAAACATCGAATGGGATTGAACAGAGTCATCGAATGGAATCGATAGGAATCATCGAATAGATTCAAATGGAATCATCATCGAATGGAAACGAACGGAATCATCGAATGGACACGGATGGAATCATCATCAAATAAGACTGAATGGAATCATCGAATGGCATCGAATGGAATCACCATTGAATGGAATCGAATGGAATCATCGAATGGCATCGAATGGAATCATTATCGAATAAAATCAAATGGAATAATCGAATGTACTCGAATGGAATCATCAAATGTATTTGAGAGGAATCATCATCGAATGGAATTGAACAGAATCATCAAAAGGACTCGAATGGAATCCTCATTGAATGGAATCGAATGGAATCGTTGAATGGAGTCGAATGGAATCATCAGCAAATGGAATCGAATGGAATCATTGAATATCAACGAATGGAATCATCATCGAATGCAGTCGAATGGAATCATCAAATGAACTCGAATGCAATCATCATAGAATGGAATCGAATGGAATCTTTGAATGGACCTGAATGGAATCATCATCGAATGCAAACGAATGGAATCATCATCAAGTGGAATCACATGGAATCATCAAATGGAAAAGAATTGAATACTCATAGAAAGGAATTGAATAGAATCATCGAATGAAACCGAATGGAATCATCATCGAATGGAATCGAATGGAATCATCATCGAATGCAATTGAATGGAATCATCATCGAATGGAATCGAATGGAATCACCAACGAATGGAATTCAAAGGAATCATCATCGAATGGAACCAAATAGAATCATCAAATGGACTCGAAAGGAATCATCGAATGGGCTCGAATGGAGTTGTCATCAAATGGAATCAAATGGAATCATCAAACGGAATTGAATCGAGTCATCATTGAATGAAATCAAATGGAATCATCGAATGGACTCGAGTGGAAGCAATATCAAATGGAATCGAAAGGAATCATGGAATGCATTCAAAGGGAATAATCAAATGGACTCCAATGGAATCAAAATCAAGTGGAATCGAATGGAATCATCGAATGGACTTGAATGGAATCACTATCTAATGGAACCGAATGGAATCATCATGGAATGGAACCGGAAGGAGTCATTATCAAATGGAATCCAATGAAATCATTGAATGGACTCGAATGGAATCATCATCAACTGGAATTGAATGGAATCATCGAACGGACACCAGTGGAATCATCGGAGAATGGAATCGAATGGAATTATCAAACGGACTCGAATGGAATAAACTTTGAATGGAATCGAAGGGAATCATCAAATGGAATCGAATGCAATCATCGAACAGAATCGAATGGCATCACCAAATGGAATCCAATAGAATCACCATTGAATGGACTCGAATGGAATCATCATTGAATGGAATAGAATGGAATCGTCATCGAATTGAATAGAATGCAATCATCATCAAATGGAATCGAATGGAATCATCATCACTGAATGGAATCTAAGGAAATCATCGAATGGACTCGAGTGGAATCATCGAATGGACTCGAGGGGAATCATCATTGAATGGAATCGACAGTAATCAACGAATGGACTCGAACAGAATCATCATCGAATGGAATCGAATGGAATCAAAGAATGGACTCTAATGGAGTCATCATCTAATGGAATCTAATGGGATCATCTAATGGACCTGAAAGGAATCATCATTGAATGGAATCGAATGGAATCATCGAATGGACTCGAATGGAATCATCATCGAATGGAATCTAATGGAATCATTGAATGGACTCGAATGGAATAATCGAATGGGCTTGAGTGGAATCATCATCAAATGGAATCGAATGGAATCATCAAATGGACTCGAATGGAATCATCGTCAAATGGAATCGAATGGAATCATCATCAAATGGAATCGAAGGGAATCCTCATCGAATGGAATCGAACGGAATCGTCATCGAATGGTATCACCAAATTGAATCGAATGGAATGATCGTCAAAGACAATCGAATTGAAACATCGAACGGGATTGAACGGAGTCATCGAATGGAATCGATAGGAAACATCGAAAGGATTCAAATGGACTCATCATCGAATGGAATCAAATGGAGTCATCCAATGGACTCGAATGGAATCATCATGAAATGGGATCATTATCAAATGGAATCGAATGGAGTCATCGAATGGACACGAATGAATGAACAAATGGACTCGAATGGAAACATCAAATAGAATCGAATGGAATCATCAAAAGGAATTGAATGGAATTATTGAATGGACTCGAATGGAATCATCTAATGGACACGAATGGAATAATCATAAAATGCAATCGAATGGAATCATCAAATGGACTCGAATGAATGGAATCATTAAATGGACTCGAATGGAATCATCGAATGGACTCAAATGGAATCATCATCAAATGGAATCGAATGGAATCATCGAATGGACTCGAATGGAATCATCAAATGGAATCAAACCGAATCGTCATCGAATGGAATCGAATGGAATCATCGAATGGAATTGAAGGCAATCATCATCGAATGGAATCGAATGGAATCATCATCAAATGGAATCAAGCGGAAGGAATCATCAAATGGAATCAAATGGAATCATTGTTGAATGGAATGGAATGGAATCATTGAATGGAATTGAATGGGATCACCAATGAACGGAATCAAATGGAATCATCTTCTAATGGAATCGAAAGGAATCATCAAATACACTCGAATGGAATCATCATCGAATGGAATCGTGTGGAATCGTCGAATGAACTGGAAATGAATCCTAATCAAATGCAATTAAAATGAATCATCATCGAAAGGAATCACATGGAATCATCATCGAATGGAATCATACGGAAACATCACAGAATGGAATTGAATGGAATCATCAGTTGGACTCGAATGGAATCATCAAATGTACTCGAAGGGACGCGTCAAATGGACTCGAAAGGAATCATCATCGAATGGAATCGAATGGGATCATCGAAAGGACTAGAATCAAATCTTCAAAAGGACTCAAAGGGAATCATTGTAGAATGGAAATGAATAGAGTCATCAGACAGCCTCGAATTTAAGCATCATTGAATGGAATTGATTGGAAACATCGAATTCACTCGAATGGAACCATCATCTGATGGAATTGAATGGAATCATCGAATAGACACAAATGGAATCATCATCAAATTGAATCCATTGGAACGATCGAATGGAATCGCATGGAATTATCAAATGGAATCGAATGGAATCATCTTTGAATGGAATGAAACGGAATCATCGAATGGAATCGAATGCAATCATCATTGAATGCAATCGAATGGAATCATTGAATGGTATCCAAAGGAATCACCATTGAATGCCCTCGCATGGAATCATCATCAAATAGAGTAGAAAGGAATCATTGAATGGACTCGAATGGAACCATCATTGAATGGAATCACCAAATGGAATCAAATGGAAACATCATCAAATGAAATCAAATGGAATCATCAAATGGAATCTAATGGAATCATCATTGAATGGATTTGAATAGAATCTTTGAATGAAATTGAATGGAATCAGCATGAAATGGAATCTAAAGGAATCATAAAATGGTATCGAATGGAATCATCATCGAATGGAATGGAGTGGAATGGAATGGAATGGAATCAGCATCGAATGGAATCAAAAGCAATCATTCAATGGACTCTAATAGAATCATCGAATAGACTTGAATGTAATCATCATCGAATGGAGAAGAATGAAATCATCGAATGGACCCGAATGGAATCATCATCAAAAGGAATCGAATGGAATCATATAATTGACCCGAATGGAATCATCATTGAATGGAATAGAATGGAATCGTCATCGAATGGAATCGTATGGAATCATCTAATGGACCCGAATGGAATCATCATCGAATTGAATAGAATGCAATCATCATCAAATGGAATCGAATGGAATCATCATGAAATAGAATCAAATGGAATCATCAATTGGAATCGAATGGAGTCATTGTCTAATGCAACCGAATGAAACCATAGAATGGAATACCATGGAATCAGCATCGAATGGAATCGATTGGAATCATTATCAAATAGAATTGAATGGAATCACTGAATGGAATCATCATCAAATGGACTCCAACGGAATCATCGAATTGACTCTAATGGAATCATCACTGAATGGAATGGAAATGAATAATCAAGTGGAAACGAATGGAATCATCATCAAATGGAATCGAATGTTATCATCAAATGCACTTGAATGGAATCATGAATGAATGGAATCGAATGGTATAATCGAATGGAATCAAATTGAATCATCTTCGAGTGGAACCTAAAGGAATCGCCAAATGGACTCCAATGGAATAATCGTCGTATGGAATCGAGTGGAATCATCGAATATACTCGAATGGAATCATCGAATGCAATCGAATGGAATCATCGAATGTACTCGAATGGAATCATGGTCGAACGGAAAAGAATGGAATCATCAAGTGGACACGAATGGAATCAACATCTAATGGAATGGAATGGAATCATCAAATGGAATGGAATGGAATCATCATCGAATGGAATAAAATGGAATCATCAAATGGAATCAAATGGAATCATCAATGAATGGAATCGAATGGTATCATGGAATGGAATTGAATGGAATCGTCTTTGAGTGGAATCTAAAGGAATCACCGAATGGACTCCAATCATCAGATGGAATCGAGTGGAATCATTGAATGTCGTCGAATGCAATCATCATCGAATGGAATTGAATGGAATCAACGAATGGAATAGAAAGGAATCATAGAATGGACTCGAATGGAATCATCATTGAATGGAATGAAATGGAATCATCATGGAATGGAATTGAATGGAATCATCGAATGGACTCGAAAGGAATTATGCTCGAATGGAATCTAATGGAAACATCAAATGGACTCAAATGGAATCATCATCGAATGAAATCGTATGGAATCATCGAATGCAACTGAATGGAATCATTGAATGGACTTGAGAGGAATTATTATCTAATGGAATTGAATGGAATCATTGAATGGACTTGAAAGGAATCATCATCAAGTGGAATCGAATGGAATCATTGAATGGACTCGAATTGAATCTTTGAATGGAATCGAATGGAATCATCATTGAATGGAGTCAAATGGAATCATCATCAAATGGAATTGAATGGAATCTTCATTGAATGGAATCGAATGGAATCATCATCAAATGGAATCTAATCGAATCATCAATGAAGGGAATCGAATGGAATCATCATCGAATGGAATCGAATGGAATCATCAACAAGTGGAAACGAATGAAATCATCGAATGGAATCCAATGGTGTCATCGAATGGACACGAAAGGAATCATCGAATGGAATCAAATGGAATCACCATCGAATGAAATCAAATGGAATCACTATCGAATGGTATGTTATGAAATTATCTCATGGACTCGAAGGGAATCATCATCGAATGGAATCGAATGGAATCATTGAATGAAATGGAAAGGAATCACCATCGAATGGAATGTTATGGAATCTTCTAATGGACTCGAAGGGAATCATCATCGAATGGAATCGAATGGAATCATTGAATGCAATTGAATGGAATCATCAAATGGAATCGAATGGAATCATCAAATGGAATCTGAATGGAATCATCAATGAATGGAATCAAATGGAATCATCTAATGGACGTGAATGGAATCATCATCGAAAGCAATGAAATGTAATTCAATCGAATGGACATGAATGGAATCATCATTGAATGGAATCAAATGGAATCCTCATCGAATGGAATCGAATGGAATCATCAAATGGAATAGAATGGAGTCATCGTCGAATGTAATCGAATGTAATCATCGAATGGCATCGAATGGAATCGTCGACTGGAAAAGAATGGAATCATCATCGAATGGAAATGAATAGATTCACAGAATGAAATCGAATGGAATCATCATCGAATGGAGTCTAATGGAATAATCATCGAATGGAATAGAATGGAATCATCGAGTGGACACGAATGTAACCATCACTGAATTGAATCGAATAGAATCATCAAATGGAATTGAACGGAAACAACATCGAATGGAATCGAATTTAGTCATTGAATTGCATTGAGTGGAATCATCATTGAATGGAATCTAAGGAAATCATCGAATGGACTCGAGTGGAATCATCGAATGGACTCGAGGGGAATCATCATCGAATGGAAACGACTGTAATCATCAATTGGACTTGAATGGAATCATAATTGAATGGAATCGAATGGAATCAACGAATGGACTCGAATAGAATCATCATCGAATGGAATCGAATGGAATCAAAGAATGGACACTAATGGAGTCATCATCAAATAGAATCTAATGGAATCATCTAATGGACCTGAAAGGAATCATCATTGAATGGAATACAATGGAATCATCGAGTGAACTCGAATGGAATCATCATCGAATGGAATCTAATGGAATCATTGAATGGACTCGAATGGAATAAGCGAATGGGCTTGAGTGGAATCATCATCAAATGCAATCGAATGTAATCATCAAATGGACTCGAATGGAATCATCGTCAAATGGAATCGAATGTAATCATCATCAAATGGAACCGAATGGAATCCTCATCGAATGGAATCGAAAGGAATCATCATGGAATGGAATCACCAAATTGAATCGAATGGAATGATCATCAAAGACAATCGAAGGGGAACACCGAATGGGATTGAACGGAGTCATCGAATGGAATAGATAGGAATCATCGAATGGATTCAAATGGAATCATCATCGAATGGAAAGAACGGAATCATCGAATGGACACGAATGGAATCATCATCAAATAGGATTGAATGGAATCATCGAATGGCATCGAATGGAATCACCATTGAATGGAATCGAATGGAATCATCGAATGGCATCGAATGGAATCATCATCGAATAAAATCAAATGGAATAATCGAATGTACTCGAATGGAATCATCAAATTGATTTGATAGGAATCATCATCGAATGGAATTGAACAGAATCATCAAATGGACACGAAAGGAATCCTCATTGAGTGGAATCGAATGGAATCATTGAATGGAGTCGAATGGAATCATCAGCAAATGGAATCGAATGGAATCATTGAATAGCAACGAATGGAATCATCATCGAATGGAGTCGAATGGAATCATCAAATGAACTCGAATGCAATCATCATAGAATGGAATCGAATGGAATCTTTGAATGGACCTGAATGGAATCATCATCGAATGCAAACGAATGGAATCATCATCAAATGGAATCACATGGAATCATCAAATGGAAAAGAATTGAATAATCATAGAAAGGAATTGAATAGAATCATCGGATGAAACCGAATGGAATCATCATCGAATGGAATCGAATGGAATCATCATCGAATGCAATTGAATGGAATCATCATCGAATGGAATCGAATGGAATCACCAACGAATGGAATTCAAAGGAATCATCATCGAATGGAACCAAATAGAATCATGAAATGGACTCGAAAGGAATCATCGAATGGACTCGAATGGAGTTGTCATCGAATGGAGTCAAATGGAATCATCGAACGGAATTGAATCGAATCATCATTGAATGAAATCAAATGGAATCATCGAATGGACTCGAATGGAAGCAATATCAAATGGAATCGAAAGGAATCATGGAATGCATTCAAAGGGAATAATCAAATGGACTCAAATGGAATCAACATCAAATGGAATCGAAAGGAATCATCGAATGGAACGGAATGGAATCATCATCGAATGGAATCGAATGGAATCATCGAATGGACTTGAATGGAATCACTATCTAATGGAACCCAATGGAATCATCATGGAATGGAACCGGAAGGAGTCATCATCAAATGGAATCCAAGGAAATCATTAAATGGACTCGAATGGAATCACCATCAACTGGAATTGAATGGAATCATCGAACGGGATCCAGTGGAATCATCGGAGAATGGAATCGAATGGAATTATCAAACTGACTCGAATGGAATAAACTTTGAATGGAATCGAAGGGAATCATCAAATGGAATCGAATGCAATCATAGAACGGAATCGAATGGCATCACCGAATGGAATCCAATGGAATCACCATTGAATGGACTCGAATGGAATCATCATTGAATGGAATCGAATGGAATCATCGAATGGACTCGAATGGAATCATCATCGATTGGAATCAAATGGAATCATCGAATGGAATCGAAAGGAATCACCATCAACTGTAATGAACTGGAATCACTGAATGGAATCGAATGGAATCGTCATCAAAAAAAATCGAATAGAATAATCAAATGGAATCAAATGCAATCAACATCAAATGGAATCTAATGGAATCATAGAATGACATCGAATGGAACACTCATCGAATGGAATCAAAGGGAATCAATATCAAATGGAACCGAAAGCAATCACTGAATGGACTTGAATACAATCATCAAATGGATTTGAAGGGAATCCTCATTGAATGGGATAGAACAAAAACATTTAATGGACACGAATGGAATCATCATCAAATGGAATCAAATGGAGTCATCAAATGGACTCGAATGGAATCATCATCAAATGGGATCATCATCAAATGGAATCGAATGGAGTCATCGAATGGACACGAATGAATGAACAAACGGACTCGAATGGAAATGTCAAATAGAATCGAATGGAATGATCGAAAGGAATTGAATGGAATTATTGAATGGACACGAATGGAATCATCTAATGGACACGAATGGAATAATCATAAAATGCAATCGAATGGAATCATCAAATGGACTCGAATGAATGGAATCATTAAATGGACTCGAATGGAATCATCGAATGGACTCAAATGGAATCATCATCAAATGGAATCGAATGGAATCATCGAATGGACTCGAATGGAATCATCAAATGGAATCAAACCGAATCGTCATCGAATGGAATCGAATGGAATCATCGAATGGAATTGAAGGCAATCATCATCGAATGGAATCGAATGGAATCATCATCAAATGGAATCAAGCGGAAGGAATCATCAAATGGAATCAAATGGAATCATTGTTGAATGGGATGGAATGGAATCATTGAATGGAATTGAATGGGATCACCAATGAACGGAATCAAATGGAATCATCTTCTAATGGAATCGAAAGGAATCATCAAATACACTCGAATGGAATCATCCTCGAATGGAATCGTGTGGAATCGTCGAATGAACTGGAAATGAATCATAATCAAATGCAATTAAAATGAATCATCATCGAAAGGAATCACATGGAATCATCATCGAATGGAATCATACGGAAACATCACAGAATGGAATTGAATGGAATCATCAGTTGGACTCGAATGGAATCATCAAATGTACTCGAAGGGACGCGTCAAATGGACTCGAACGAAATCATCATCGAACGGAATCGAATGGGATTATCGAAAGGACTCGAATCAAATCTTCAAAAGGACTCAAAGGGAATCATTGTAGAATGGAAATGAATAGAGTCATCAGACAGCCTCGAATGGAAGCATCATTGAATGGAATTGATTGGAAACATCGAATTC